>NC_000002.12:109610830-109913860 GCF_000001405.40 Homo sapiens
AATCCCAGCAAAATTATTTGTAAATATAGATAAGACGATTCTAAAACTTACACAGAGAGGCACAGAACTAGAATAGCTAAAAATCTGGGGGAGAGAAGAATAAAGTGGGAGAAATCAGTCTACCTTATTTCAGACTTACACAGCTACAGGAATCAAGACTGCGTGCTAACGGAGAACCCAGAAACAGACTGAAACAGACCCACACAAATATGCTCAACTGACTTTTGACAAAAGTGCATCAACAACTCAATAATGGAAAGGGAGCCTATTCAACAAATGGTGCTGGAGCAACTGGACATCCATAGGCCAAAAAATGGCCCTCAACTTAAGTCTGACACCTAACAGAAAAATTAACTCAAAATGGGTCATAACATAAATGTAAAACATAAACTATAAAACTTTTAGGAAAAAAATAAGAGAAAATCTTTGGGATCTAAGGTTAGGCAAAGAGTTCTTAAACTTGACACCAAAAGCACAATCCATAAAAGGAAATAATGATAAATTTCAACAAAACTGAAAACTTTTGCTTTGCAAAAGACCCTGTTAGAAGATGAAAAGATAAACTACAGACTGAAAGAGAACATTTTCAAATCACATATCTGAGAAAGGACTGGAATCTAGTATACCTAAAAAACTTTAAACCCAACAGAAAAAAAAAATCTAACTAGAAAATAGGCAACATGTTGGGAGGCTGAGACGGGAGGATCGCTTGAGCCCAGGAGTTTGAGACCAGCCTGGGCAACATGGTCACACCCCTGCCTCTACAAAAAATACAAAAATTTAGCCGGCTGTGGTGGTGCACACCTATAGTCCTAGCTACTTGGGGTGGCTGAGGCAGGAGGATCGCTTGAGCCCAGGAGATTGAGGCTGAGGTTGAAGTGAGCCATCTTGGCACCACTGCACTCTAGCCTGGGTGACAATACGAGAAATCCAAGTTAAAATCACCATGAGGTGTCACTATATACCTATAAGAATGGCTAAATTAAAAATAAGGACACCACCAAATGCTGGTAAGGATGTGCAGAAACTGGACCTCTCATACTTTCCTGGTAGGGATGCAAAATAATACAGCCATTCTGAGAAAGTCTGGCAGTTTCTTACAAAACTAAGCATGCAACTACCATATGACCCAACAATTGTATTCCTGGGCATCTATCCCAAAGAACTGAAGACTTATGCTTACATTATGAGTTACTGTACATGAATGTTTATAGCAGCTTTATTGCCAATAGCCAACAACTGAAAACAACCTAGATATCCTTCAAACTGTGGCACAATCATACCATGGAATACTACCCCAGCAAACTGCAGATATATGCAACAACCTGGATGAATCTCCAGAACTTTGCTGAGTTGAAAAAAAAAAAATCCAATCTCAAAAGGTTACTAACTGGGTGATTCCATTATATAAGTCTTGGAATGACAAAATTATAAGAATAAAAACGAATCACTGATTGTCTGGGGTTAAGAAGGAGGCAGGGCAGGAAAGAAGTGTGTGTGGTTATAAAAAGGCATTAAGGGATCCTCCTGGTCCTGGGAACATCCTTTATCTTCACTGTATCAATCAATGACAATATGCTGGTTGTGATATCGTACTATGGGTTTGCCAGATCTTATTGTGGAAAGGTGGATAAAGGGTACAGGGTTCTCACTATACTGTATTATTTCTTACAACTGCATATTAATCTACAATTAACGCAAAATACAGTTTAATTCGAAAATAAGTAAAGTTAGCCTCAAAGCAAATTAAGTACAATTAAAAATAAATCTAACATCAGCTAAATGAAGTGTTCTCTTCTGCTCAAGCTTGTTTGGATACGTAATCTATGAATCAAAGAATTTATAAAACACATTTTCCTCACCAGGACCCCTCAATTTTCCCTCACTCACACATGCACACAAACACAGCAACTGAGACAAGGGGGTCCAGACAGAAAATTTGAGATTTTTAAAAAATACGCGATAGAATGAAAAGAGACCTGGGCTGAATCAGGGAGAAAAATCTTTGTCCAGGTTCTATAAAACAAACCAACGGTGTCACTTTGGACGGATCCTCTAATCTCTCAGCCTGCAATCTGAACTGTTTCTACAATTTAAACTTCTCATGTAGGAGGTTGCTTAGTAGAGTGGTTCTCAAACTTTTTGGTCTCCAGCCTCCAAAGAGCTTTTGTTTACACAGATGAAAACCACCAATGTTTACTATCAAAAATTAAAAGGGAGAATTTGTTTTTAAGAATACACAGGCATCGGGCCTCCAAACGGCGGTGAGATCACTCCATACCATGTAGCCTTTGGAAAACTCGATGTACACGACCTTGGTACTATTAACGAAAATAGTTGTAACCACACTTGGAAAACCGCTGGCTTACTAACAAGCGAGATAAATCTACAAAAGTAACTGGAAAGGTTCAAAACAGTGAACAAACGCGTTCTTTTAGAGTACAAAAGAGTCAAGGCGGGAAAAAAACGGTTTAAAATCCCAATGGAGGAAAACTTGGACGACCACACCATCGGATAAAACGGGAGAGCTTTTGAAAAGCCAGGGGAGCCGGGCTTTCTCCCGGCGGCAGGGAGGCTCGGAAGTGCTCACGGCTGCAAAAGATGACCGCTATTCAATCAGTCCGCACTGCGCCTTCAACTCCGTTATAGCCGTAAGAGACCCACAAACACCGCTGTGGATGTAACTTTTGGCAAAGACCGGGAAGTCGTTCAAGAACTCTCCCACCGTCCCGACGCTGGCGCCGCGCCCCGCGAACCGGGGTCCGGCCGCGCCCAGGCTCCGCAGAGGCTCCTCTCCCGCCCCAGGCGCCCGGCCGCCGCGGAAGCCGGGGAGCACTGGGCGGGCGGGGCCGGAGGGGGCGCGGGTCACAATCCCGGGCCGGACCAGGGGGCCGGTGGGTCGAGGGCGGGAAGTCCCGCGGGGGCCGGGGAGCGCGGGGCTGGGGCCCCGGCGTCGGCGGGACTCACCAGGTGCCGCGCCACCTCGGAGGAGGCCATGGTCGCGGGCAGGGGCACGGTGAAGCGGCTGTATCAGCCCGGCCCCGAGCGGCTGGTCCCGGCGACGGCGGCGGGAAGGCCGGAGGGCAGAAGCAACGGGCGGGGCGCGAGGCTAGGCTGCCTCCGCGACGGGGAAGGGACAGGGGCGGGGCCGAGCTGGAGGCCTCCGGGGGCGGGGTTGGGGCGGACGCCCTGTGGTGCGCGCTGAGCGTTTTGCCTGCGCCAAGCGAGCCCCTCACAGGAGCTACCCTCGACGCCTGAGGACTGAGCGTCAGCGTTGGGGCGGGCTGAAGGAGAGCTGGGACTCCAGGAAGACGGCGCGAGGAATGCAGGCGGGAACTGCGGAGCAGTGATTGCGGCCCTCGCGAGGCCGGAAGTGGGCGGGCCTTGAGGCGAGGCCGCCCTAGGTAGGTGTGGCCGAGACAGCGGGGAGCGGAAGTGGGCGTGGCCTGGTGGCGTGGGCGCGGGGCGGGGGTGCGGGGGGCGTGTCCGCCCGGGCGCGGCCCAGTGAGGCGGTGGCCGAGTCCTCTGGCCTCAGACGCGTAGGCTGGCAGCCCGCTGAGCCCGCCAGACTCCGCCGCCGTCGGGAGCCGGCCGCTGGGAGCCCGTCGCTATGGGACCGCGCTGAGCCGCCCGCTGGCGGGGGAGCAGCGCGGTCGAGGATGGAGGGGCCGGCAGAGTGGGGCCCCGAGGCGGCGCTGGGCCCCGAGGCGGTGCTGCGCTTCCTGGCGGAGCGCGGGGGCCGGGCCCTGCACGCCGAGCTGGTGCAGCACTTCAGGGGCGCCCTAGGCGGCGAACCGGAGCAGCGCGCCCGCGCCCGCGCGCACTTCAAGGAGCTGGTGAACGCCGTGGCCACTGTGCGCGTCGATCCCGCCGACGGCGCCAAGTACGTGCACCTCAAGAAGAGGTTCTGTGAAGGGCCGTCCGAGCCCTCCGGGGACCCGCCGCGAATCCAGGTGACCGCCGAGCCCGAGGCCCCCGACGGCCCTGCCGGGCCCGAGGCGCGCGATCGGCTCCCCGACGCGGCGGCCCCGGAGTCGCTCCCTGGACAGGGCCGCGAGCTGGGCGAGGGAGAGCCCCCCGCCCCCGCGCACTGGCCGCCCCTGAGCGCCGGGGCTCGCAGGAAGAACTCGCGGCGCGACGTGCAGCCCCTACCGCGGACTCCAGCCCCGGGGCCCAGCGAGGACCTGGAGCTCCCGCCACATGGCTGCGAGGAGGCGGACAGGGGCAGCTCCCTTGTGGGGGCTACCGCACAGAGGCCGGCCCGCCAGAACCTCCGTGACCTGGTGATGGGCAGCTCCCCGCAGCTGAAGAGGAGCGTGTGTCCCGGGGGCAGCAGCCCGGGCAGCTCCTCCGGGGGAGGACGCGGCAGAGGCGGGGGCGACTCAGACAGCGCATCGGTGGCCTCGTCGTCCGCGGAGGAGGAGAGCAGCGGCGGAGGCTCCGTGACGCTGGACCCCCTGGAGCACGCGTGGATGCTCTCTGCCTCCGATGGCAAGTGGGACAGCCTGGAGGGCTTGCTCACCTGCGAGCCCGGCCTGCTGGTCAAGCGGGACTTCATTACCGGCTTCACTTGCCTGCACTGGGCCGCCAAGCACGGCAGGCAGGAGCTTCTGGCCATGCTAGTCAACTTCGCCAACAAACACCAGCTGCCGGTGAACATCGACGCCAGGACGAGCGGGGGTTACACCGCCCTGCACTTGGCAGCCATGCACGGCCACGTGGAGGTGGTGAAGCTGCTGGTGGGGGCCTACGACGCCGATGTGGACATCAGGGACTACAGTGGGAAAAAGGCCTCCCAGTACCTGAGTCGGAGCATCGCCGAGGAGATCAAGAACCTGGTGGGAGCCCTGGACGAGGGTGACGGGGAAAGCGCCGCGGGTAGCGGCGGCGGGCGCTGGAGGCTTTCAAAGGTGCTTCCCTCGCATCTCATCACCTACAAACTCTCACACGCCCTAGAAGATGGAGGGGACCATCACCACCATCACCACTCGGCTGAGGGGTGGGTCGGAGGCAAAGCCAAGGATCCAGGGCGCAAAGCCTCGGGCAGCTCTAGTGGACGTATAAAACCCAGACTCAACAAAATCCGATTCAGAACCCAGATCGTCCACACCACACCCTCTTTCAGGGACCCAGAGCAGCCGCTGGAGGGCAGGGGGGAGGAGGGAGTGGGGGAGGAACGACCTGTTAAAGGCCACTCGCCCTTCACATTGAGACCAAAGTCCAATGTATTTGGGTAAAAATTGCTTCTTTTAGAAAATGCAAAGGTTTATTTGTCTTAATAAATTGAATACTAGGTGTTGTAAGGAAGTGAGACCAGAAGGACAAGCTAAATTATGCATTCTTACTTGAGGGATCGGAATGGATGGGGCGGAGTTCTCTTCAGGCTAGCCTTCTGGGAAAAGTGGATGTCTTTTTCAGAGATTCATCATACCTTGACCTGTACCTCTTCTCTGCCCTCCACTTCCCTGCCCTGGAGTCCGTTTCTGGAGACTAGAAATGTATCTAAATTGGGGGAACAGAATGAATGAATTAATGAATGAGAGTTCCTTTGCTTTAACCATTCCTGGATGCCTGCAAAGTAAGGAATAATGCAGTTTTTATGTATCTGATTTTATAAGGGGTTACTCTTTCAAGAGTAACAAAAAAATGCAAACTGTAATGAAACTACATTGTATTTCTAAGTGTGAAAACGACAGGCTGCCCCGTTTTTACTAATTGCATTTGCATTTTAAGGTACTACTGAAGGTCAGATCAAAGTTGAAATGCAAAAATACTAATTAGAGAATAATGTGAATAAAATGGGAATCTTCTTGGTATTTTATGTGTATTGTAAGTAGCAGTTAAATTATTTTTTTAAAAGCAATTTCAGTTTTAATCACTGAACAAAAGAAACAGGCAACATTCACTTCTGTAGTATGGTTTCCACCTATCTCTAACACCACTATTAAGGTACACCAGTGTTAAGGTACATTAATAACTACACAAAATTTTATTTAAAGAGAACACTTAGCAGCCTATGATAGTTTTCAATAAAATGTTGCCTCTCTTTCGGATTCTCACTAACTTTTGTTACTATTCTAAAAGTTTGAATTTGCTGGGGTGTTTATTCTGAGGATTATTTAACCATTGTTCTATTTGGCATAACCCTATTTAATGGTGCTTAGAGCTGAATTACCTACAGAAACTGTTTCTGGTTTAAATAATTAGCACAAATTGGCCTAAGTATTCATGAGCCCATGTTTCTGTGAAGTAATTATTAAACCAACTTAATGATTCTTATGTAAGGTACACTTTTTATTTTAATACATTGGTAGTCTCTATGACTTGTAGCAATGTTTTACAAATGTTTAAAATGCTAAACTTAATTTTCCAAGCTTTTCTTGACAATTAGATACCTATCCTGTAGTTACTGAAAATCTGGGTAGTAAATCTACCCAATTAAAATGGCACTTTATAAAAGGGAATAGAGAAGAGATGGGACTATTTCTATATTTAAATGCTGCTGGCTATTCCTTTGTATATAAATGAAAAATACCATTCATTAAAATTAAGTACTCGTTTAAGTATGGTTCTTAATTACATTTCATTCATTTATATTAGAGTAAATGGCTTCATAACTACTTTAAAATTTAACCCACAAGCATATTAAATCTGTTTGTTATAAGATTGGAAACAATTTTTGAGAGGGACTAATTTAAACAAGTCCTCCTTTAGTCTTTTGGGTCGCGTAGTTGCTGAAACCTAAGTACCTGCAGCCTACAGGATAAGGAAGTTCACAGCCTGCGGGGTGAATGAACCCATGTGTGAACTGCACAGAGCAATTCATAGAAAATGCATAGAAATTTGTAACACTTTGGTCACATCTGTCTCTAGATGGTCATTGAATTTGTTTAAAGATGGATGAAAGGCCAGGCATGGTGGCTCATGCCTGTAATCCCAGCACTTTGGGAGGCCGAGGCAGGTGGATCACTTGAGGCCAGGAGTTTGAAACCAGCCTGGCCAACATGGTGAAAACCTGTCTCTACTAAAAATACAAAAATTAGCCGAGCGTGGTGGTGCGTGCCTGTAGTCCCAGCTACTTAGGAGGCTGAGGCATGAGAATCACTTAAACCTGAGAGGTGGAGGTTGCAGTTGAGCCAAGATCACGACACTGCACTCCAGCCTGGGCAACGGAGACTCTGTCTCAAAAAAAAAAAAAAAAAAGATGAATGAAAATATGAAATATATAAACTAGTATCCATTTATTTGCATTTATTGTGGGATTTCAGATATGAACGGTGTAAATTTGAGAAGCACTTATGCATACATGTGGGTGAAAAACCAATCTAATTTTGTATAAATAAAAACAGGCTCCTGGAAGGTGAAAAGTAGTCATTTGTTCTAAATCTATACATATTACTTGTATCTAGTGCAGAATAAGCTATAACATCCCATTGAGGAATCTTAAATTTCATAGACATGTAAAGCTGAAGTAACTCTAAAGAGCAGATGCTTCAGAACCATCAGAAGGTTCTGGTCAACAGTCAGTATTATCTCTTAAATGTATATGTTGGTCACTAATTGCACAAAATCTATAATTTGCCAGGGCTTTAGAGATTGAGTCAATATGTCATTTACCATGGTTTTCCCACTGAAGGCTTTAACTTTTCTGATAAAATAATATTTTAAATTTTCAAAAACCCATTCCTGAGGAGAACTACTTCTAGCATTCCTTTTCATGATGTGCTTTTGTGCAGTAAGTAGCATTTTCGGCTACTTAACTTTACATTCCTCTTATTTTTCAGTTTCCAGTCAAGATTATAAAAAGCAAATGATTGATATAATTTGATATTCATAGAGTTGTGCCTACCTTTAATGGAAAAATACATGTCAGATACTTAGATGTTTATTGATATGAGACTATGTGGTTAAAAAACCCAAGTATGTCCATGTGTTTCTTATAAGGTACACTTGAAACTAGTGAGTGTTTGTCACATTTCACTTTCATGGTATATAAAATGCAGTTTGCATATATAACTTGAATATCTGGTACTAGTTTTTTCACGCCTGCAATCTTGGAGTCTAGGTTGCCTTGTCTCTCCTATTTTTAAATAAGTGAAATTTGGGAGATTGTAAAATCTGTAAAGTTTGTTTTGTGAAAATAAAATGTTCACAGTAGAATTTTTCTCTGAATTGTCTAAGTTTCTGTCGTCCTTTAGACTTTTTACATATACTGTGTTTTACAGTTCACAAAATGCTTTTTGAAGTTTCAGTTTATTTGACCCTTTTCCTATCCCTTAAGATTATGGGCCATATATTGTTGACTTACAGATAAGAAAATAGAGGTTAATGGTTGTTCAGGGTCACACAGTAAAAAGCTGTTAGTAAGATTATAAGAGTCAGGGCTTTCCCACAACGTTATCTTTTCTGCACATTGAATTGCCACATTTTTAGCAAAACTGCTGTAGTTTGGCACCAGTGATGGAGGAATCAACTTGGAGAGAAGGTAATACCTCCACCACTACCTAAAAAAAAGCTGTATGGGTTTTGCACACACCATCTGCCATAAACCTGCCCTACCCAGGGCTGACTTCAAGACAGGTGTAGGAATACCGTTTTTCATTTTTCAGCCTCTGTGAAGCATTGAGAGTTAATTACCTCATCAAGGCTTCCTGTGATCTGTATTTTTAGCAAAATTCAACTCTGTTGAATGGCAAAGGGATGTGGTACTCCTTTGGTGTAATCGCCCACTATTGCTCTATCCGGGAGATCCCACTGTGATGGCTGCTGGGGTTATTCTTGTTTTATGATAACCCATAAAATATTTTTCAGGATCACTGAAAGACTAGATAAGTAGTTTGTTTTTCTAGAATAACTTCTTTCCTTAGAAGTACATGTCTTAAAAGGATTTATTAACCAGTTCACTTAAAGATATTTTTGAAATTTTCCTAGTAAAAATTATTTTTATTTTGCTAAGTAAATAGCATTATTTGGAGTTTCTTACATGATTAATTCCAGGATTAAATACTTGGAATTTGCTGTAAACCAGTATTCCTTCAATGATCACCCAAGTCTTCATAAATCACTGAATATTAGAGGGTTGGAAGATGACTCTACAGAAACTTGTTTCTCAAGATACAGAAGTCATGTGGTTCACATAACTACCTGCTTTTTCCATGAAGAACACTATACTTTTTTTCTCAATCTTCTCTTTAAATGTCAGTTTCATCTCAGTAAGTAGCTTTCCTATTCTGTTAACTAATAGCCTATTTTTCCACATCGATGCATTGGTAAGGAATGTGTGACAAATGTTCTACCCTTGCACAGTGCCTGGCATGTTGAAGGTACTCAGTAAGGGTCTTTTAATGGAAAACATTAAATATTTTATAATGTTACATAATATGGATAATTCAATTACATGCATTCATGCTATGTGAATAGTTTTTTTATATAACATGGCTCTTAAATACCAGCCTATCAGTTCATCTGCAGCTCAGCCAAAAGAACAGCAAGTTATTCCAATCCTGAAGATAAAATCAGCTTTATTAGAACTGTACTTCGTGAGCGATTTAAGAGATTTTCAAGAGTAAATTTGATTATAAGAAAATTTTGCTGGGCGTGGTGGCTCACGCATGTAATCCCAGCACTTTGGGAGGCCGAGGCAGGAGCATCGCCTGAGGTCAGGAGTTCAAGACCAGCCTGGCCAACATGGTGAAACCCAGTCTCTACAAAAAATACACAAATTAGCTGAGCATGGTGGTGCATGCCTGTAATCCCAGCTACTTGGGAGGCTAAGGCAGGAGAATCACTTGAACCCGGGAGGCGGAGGTTGCAGTGAGCTGAGATTGTGCCACTGCACTCCAGCCTGGGCATCACAGCGACTCTGTCTCAAAAAAAAAATAGAAAGAAAGAAAGTTTCCTTACAAGCTGACTCAAGTCCAAGACCTGTAGGAGAAATTATTCTAATTGGCCTTAAATAGTCTAAGTACTGTCAGGTATACAAATGACTACTTATTCTGTGAAATCCCAAAGAGCAAATGAATAGGGAAATGAAGTTTAGTTTAACATGGAGAACTTTCTAATAATCATTTTAAACATACCATGGACTGCCTTGTGAGATAGAACATTCAGCCTTTGGAAATGTGTCAGAGGTTGCATGAGCACCTGAAAATTTAAAATAGATCATTTTAAAGCACACTTGTGACCAGTTCTGTCTCAAGAAACACTGCTCTAAACCATATTCATTCTGACCAAAGCTTTGGCCAAAAGCAGCCTAACTTAGGATAAAGTTAACCAGTGCTTTGCCAGTGGTATAAAGTAGAATCATATAAGTTGTTGGTTTGTTGTTGTTGTTTTCTTTTTGAGATGGAGTCTTGCTCTGTTGCCAGGCTGGAGTGCAGTGGCGTGATCTTGGCTCACTGCAACCTCTGCCTCTCCGGTTCAAGCGATTTCCCTGCCTCAGCCTCCCGAGTAGCTGGGACTACAGTCGCGCGCCACTACGCCCAGATAATTTTTTGTATTTTAATAGAGACGGGGTTTCACCATGTTGGCCAGGATGGTCTCGATCTCCTGACCTCGTGATCTGCCCACCTCGGCTTCCTAAAAGTGCTGGGATTACATGTGTGAGCCACTTTTTTTTTTAACCCAACTTTATGCTATTCTGATCAAAGAACCTGGGAGCCCTCCATTAGAATAGTCTTCTGGATCTCTAAGAAACTTTGAATATAATAGTTTAGAAACATAATTGAGCATTCTTGAGATTTGTCCAGAAATTTCTGATATTGATGTTGGATCTTTGAATTTGCATTTAAGAGGCAATGATGGCCAGGTGCGGTGGCCTACACCTGTAATCCCAGCACTTTGGGAGGCCAAGGCAGGTGAATCACGAGGTTAGGAGTTCGAGACCAGCCTGGCCAACATAATGAAACCCCATCTCTACTAAAAATACAAAATATTAGCTAGGCATAGTGGTGGGCACATGTAATCCCAGCTGCTTGGGAGGCTGAGGCAGGATAATCTCTTTAACCCGGGAGGCGGAGGTTGCAGTGAGCTGAGATTGCACCACTGTACTCCAGCCTGGTCCACAGAGTGAGACTCCATCTCAAAAATAAATAAATAAATAAATAAATAAATAAAGAGGGAATTATTTGGTTGTAGTCAGTTCAGCACTATTGAGCAAAGAATCACCTTTGGCTTAGCCAGGTTTAGAATCACCTAGGTGCTGACATGGCAGCAAGACTAAGGTTAAGACTAAGACGGCTAAGACTTTCAGGAAGCTTACTATATATACCCGATGAGGTTTCAAGTACTTTATAAAAAGCAAGCTGTTTAACTCTCATAATACCCCTTCCCTGATTCTAGTACCTCACTTCTACTGATGGAGAACTGAAATGCAAAAACCCAAATAGCTGCTACTTGCCCAAGGTCACAAAGCTAGTTCTTAGCAGTTCAGCTTTGTGCTCAGGCAGACTGGCTCTAAGGTTTGTGGGAAGCCCTAGTGGTACAGGAAATACCACTTCTTTGGGAACATAAGAGACAGTCAACTGGCCTGAAGTTTATGGGGCTAGCACCTAATGAAGTACAAATGATACAGGAAATTCATACTATTGCAGAAGAGAGCAAACTAAGAACCAAAAACAAGCATTAATGATTGAGACAGATAATGACTTGAACACTCTGTTGTTACTTCACAGCAGTAGGGTTAGAACTGGATTTTTAGGGGTTTGCATTTTCCAGTGTCACCTAGGATCAAATTAATTTGGGTCAGGAAAGAATATTTCTTCAGCTCAGAATGGTGGAGCTGCTAAAATATTTGAGGTGTAGTTATATTTCTTTGTTTAGGCTCACCTCCCCTCTGTCCAGTCCCCTTTCACTTGTCTAAGCACTTAAGCATTAACGGAAGGGCTTAGCCCACTTCCACATAATCATGAGATTAAACGCCAGCGTAGAAGAAAACCAGCAACACGGCATCTGGTTTTCGTACTATACATTTATAAATTTGCAACCCACTAAAAGAATTTTGATAGTTCATTTTGAGGCCGGGCACAGTGGCTCATGCCTGTAATCCCAGCAATTTGGGAGGCTGAGGCAGGTGGATCACCTGAGGTCAGTAGTTCGAGACCAGCTGGCCAACATGGTGAAACCCTGTGTCTACTAAAACTACACAAATTAGCCAGGTGTGGTGGCACAGGCCTGTAATCCCAGCTACTCGGGAGGCTGAGAAAGAAGAATCACTTGAACCCAGGAGGCAGAGCTTGCACTGAGCTGAGATTGTGCCATTGCACTCCAGCCTGGGCAACAGAGTGAAACTCTGTCTCAAAAAAGAAAACAACAACAACAACAACAAAAAGATAGTTCATTTTGGCACAGGCGGGAGTGTTATGTTTGTTCTATCGGAATCTATTACAAAGGGTGCTATTTTCCCTGCCTGTAAATCCCTAGTGGCCTCTTCCTTGAGCCCATACCCACCCCCGGCCACTTGTCAGTGTCCTCCTCTGTGCCCCTGCATGTCCCTCTCTGGTGCACCACCAGTTTTCTTGCCCACTGTCCAACTGCTCTCCAGAGGGGATATCTCAGCCACACAGCTATCCTGAGCAGGCTTGTACTCGGGGGCTGTTTATGGGTTAACAGAATGAACAGCTCTTCTTGCCAGCTGGCCTCCTGCGGTCCGGACTCTGCCCCACAATTCTTGGATCTCTAAGAGGGTGACCTATCTGGAGCTTCCCCTGACTAAAACCCAGAGTGACCCCGATGGATGGCTTTTGGCAGGCGACTCCAGTTTCTGTGTGGTCAGGTGGAATTTGCCTAAAAGCTATCCCACTCTGATTATTCTTCCCAATGTCTGACCTTGAAATGGCTCATGGCTTAAGGTGTGCACCCAGGTGGGTGCTGTGAGAGAATTCTGTCCAGGAAAGAGAATGCTTTGGTCCGTAATCAACCTCTAGAAAACCATGATGCCTTTATCAAGAAGGTGGATACCACCATGGAAGCCAAAATCAATCTCCTAAAAGAACTCCAAAAACAAGGTTGGTAGGTTTGGGGTGGGGAGAGGAAAGGAGAAGGGAGAGGACCCAGGAGAGCCCAGGATGGGGTCTGGACAGCCAAGAGGTGCTCAAGAGAGTTTTTGGCAAAACACAGGGGTCTTCCCCTATGTCATCTTTGTGCCCATTTAATTTTACAACAACGTGATAGGTGCCTTCTGTGCACTGCACAGCTTGGGAAGGAGCTGGGTCTGCGGTTGACTCAGAGCTTTGCAAACTCACTTCTTCAAAAGAGGCCAAGGGAGCATGGAGGGTGGCCTGAGGCTAAGACAAAAACAAACACCAAAGTTCAGCCCATCTTACAAAATTGTTCTGAGATAACCTTCACTCAGGTGGTGCTCCAGGGAGGGGTGGCAGGAGGCAAGCAGAGCGGAGCAGGTAGAGGCCATCTGGCAGAGCGCTTTGAAAGCTAGCCTGAGAAATTGATTCAGAAAGAGGCTCTGGGAAGCTTTTTGAGCAGGAAGGTAACATGATGCATATTATATTTTAAGAAATTCACCTGGAAGAATCAACCGCTTTTACTACTCTGACCATTATTCTGAACCATGACACATGCTTTCAGCTGAACTTGCCCATCTCACAAACATGATTTCACTACTAGAGTGTTCTTCAGGTTTCCATCTACAGCCATCTGTGAGTTGTCTGGAGAATGTTGCTTGAGGTCTGCTTCTCTTTTTCTTCCCTTGTAGGGAGGTAATGAATAGTCTAGATATCTGAGATTGTGGTCTGATCGTACCAAGTGCTGCTAAAGATGTGGTGCAAAGAGAACTCTCATACACAGAAAGGGAGTCATTAGTGCCACCCTGGTGAGTAATGTGGAAAAACTACTTGGAAACGCAGTTGAAGACACACATACTCTTCAACTCAACTATTTCACTTCTCATTGCGTATGCTGCACCAGTGGTGGCCTTGGAACCAGCAGTATCCTCTTCTTAGAAATGCAGAATCTAGCCGGGCATGGTGGCTCACTCCTGTAATCCCAGCACTTTGGGAAGCCAAGGTGGGCAGATCACCTGAGGTCAGGAGTTCAAGACCAGCCTGGCCAACATGGCGAAACCCCGTCTCTACTAAAAATACAAAAATTAGCCTGGAGTGGTGGTGGGTGCCTGTAATCCCAGCTACTTGGGAAGCTGAGGCAGGAGAATTGCTTGAACCCAGGAGGTGGAGCTTTTAGTGAGTGGAGATGGCACCACTGCACTCCAGCCCTGGTGACACATCTCAACAACAACAACAACAACAAAAAAAAAAAAAAAAAAAAGAAAAGAAAAGAAAGAAAAGAAAAAGAAACGCATAATCTCAGGCCCCTCCGAGTCCTACTAAATTGGAATCTGCATTTTAGCCCCTGGGAATTCCCAGGCACTGGCCTGGAGATCTCAAACATATGTGCATAGGTATTTGTTGCAGCATTGTTTGTAATAGCAGCAGAAAAGGGAACAACCCAAATAGCCAACATATGGAGAACAGATAAATTGTGATGCTGTCATACAATGACATGTATAAAGCAGTTAAAAATAAATGAAGTAGGCCAGGTGCAATGGCTCATGCCTGTAATCCCAGCACTTTGGGAGGCCGAGGCAGGCGGATCGCGAGGTCAGGAGATCGAGACCACCCTGGCTAAGATGGTGAAACCCCGTCTCTACTAAAAATACAAAAAAAAAAAAAAAAAATTAGCTGGGCATGGTGGCACGTGCCTGTAGTCCCAGCTACTCGGAAGTCTGAGGAAGGAGAATCGCTTGAACTCGGGAGGTGGAGGTTGCAGTGAGCCGAGATCACGCCACTGCACTCCAGCCTTGGTGACAGAGCAAGACTCCGTCTCAAATAAAATAAAATAAAAATACAAATAAATGAAGTAGAGCCATATATGCCAGCATGGGTTGCATCCAAAATCATAACATGAAGAGAAAGAAAAGCGAATTGCAGACTGAAATGTAGAGTAGGATACACTGTATACAAAATGTAAAAACAAAACAATAATATTCTGTTTCATTTGGGGATACAAGCATGCTTAGTCAGAGTATTGACCATAAAGACCAAATTAAAGACATGGTTACCTCCGGGAGAAGGGGAGTGAAGTGGAGAAACTGAACTAGATCTGTGGTGTTCCCTTTCTTTAAGAAAAAAATTAGAATGAAACATAGCAAGATGTTTAAATGTGATAAAGCTAGGGTATATATTTGTCTACTACATTTTTCTGTGTTAGAAATATGGTATAAGGGGAAAAAAGAATTAAAATGACAGGTGGACCTTGGTCTCCCTTGCTATAACCTTCCTGTTCGTCCCTATTTTGTTGTTTCTTGAACTCATTGACAGTAACATCTAGATGATAACATCCAAATGCCCCTGAGAAGGGCCAGGCGCAGTGGCTCACACCTGTAATCCCTGAACTTTGAGAGGCCGAGGTGGGTGGATCATTTGAGGTCTGGAGTTTGAGACCAGCCTGACCAACATGGTGAAACCCCATCTCTACTGAAAATACAAAAAATTAGCCATGTGCCTGTAGTCCCAGCTACTCGGGAGGATGAGGCAGGAGAATCACTTGAACCCAGGAGGCGGAGGTTAGAGTGAGCTGAGATTCCGCCACTGCACTCCAGCCTGGGCAAAAGAGTGAGACTCCATCTCAAAACGAAAAACAAAACAAACAAACAAACAAACAAATGCCCCTGAGAAGGCTGTCTTTCCATTCTTAACACACCAGACAGAACTGAACTGAAGAGGTGGACATCAGCAACATCAGCCAGTCGATGGGGAGGTGAGTTAATGGGGAGGTAAGGCTGCTGTGCAGACTGGCCACTCGACTCTATTCCAGCCCACTTGCCCAGGGCCCCCTTCCAGAAGCTGGTACATTTCTTAGGCTCAACAGGATGCTGCTCAGACCTGTACTTCTGAGGATTTTCAGTAGACTGGCTTCTGCCAAGCTGCCTTGCAGATGAGGAAGGTAAAAGTAAAGTGCAGGCTGTTTTTCTGCCATCGTCACTCCTGCAGGCAAGCTGGCAATAGGGCCTTTCCTGGGCAGGGGAGCCCTTGTTGGGTCTTTAGCTTTGTGGGTGTCCATAACGGTGTACAGGTGTCCAGTCTGCTGGAGTGGGCTACGGCTGGGTGGTGTGTGCTCAGACTTGTGGTGGAGGCAGTAGTCAAGGAGTAGTTGTGACTTAAAAACAAACAAACGAACAGGGCTGGGTGTAGTGGCACACACCTGTAATCCAAGCTACTTGGGAGGCTGAGCCCAGGAGTCCAGGAGTTCCAAGCTATAGTGTGCAATGATCACACATCTGTGAATACCCACTGCACTCCAGCCTGGGCAATACAGCAAGACTTCAGATTACAAAAACAAAAACAAAACAATTATTTGTGTATTTATTTAGTTTGAGATGGGGTCTCGCTCTGTCACCCAGGGTAGAGTGCAGTGGTGCTATCTCAGCTCACTGCAACCTCTGCCTCCCGGGTTCAAGCGATTCTCCTGCCTCAGCCTCCCAAGTAGCTGAGATTATAGGCATGTGCCACTGCACCTGGCTGATTTTTGTATTTTTAGTAGAGATGGGGTTTCACCATGTTGGCCGGGATGGTTTCGAACCTCTGAGCTCAGGTGATCCACTCACCTTGGCCTCCCAAAGTGCTGGGATTACAGGCATGAGCCACCATGCCCTGCAAAAAACAATTTTTAATGGAAGAACATAAAAGGCCTGAGGAAAGCACATACATTCTGTATATATAATGATGATTTTTCATAAACTAAACACATCTGTGTAACCAGCACCCAGAACAAGATAGGAAACATCAGCTCCCCAGAAGCCCCTCTTGTGTCCCTGCGAGGCATGATCTTCTTCACAAGGGTGACACTCTCCTGACTTCTAACACCTTAGGTGATCTTCCACACTTTCTGTATATCCACACAAATGGAATTATGAAGTACATATTATATGTCTGACTTTACTCAGCAATGTTTGTAAGATTTATCCATATTGTTGCTTATAGTTGTAAATAGACGGTCTATTCTCATTGCTATATAGTTGTATGACTATAACACAATTTATCCCTTCAACAGTTGATAATCAGTTGAGGAGGGCTATCATTTGGGGGTGTCACTGTGAACATTCCAATGAAAGATTTGTGGTGAACATACATACAATTTATGCATTGCTGGGCTTGAGAGGGTGCGTATCTGTGTCTTTGATGGACATGGGGCATTGACTTCTTGATTTTCTGTCTTCTGGATGGTAACAGTGGTGGCTGCTCCTGTGGCCCATCTCATGGACATCTTCTGGGAGGATCCTGAGCACTGGGCCTGCAGCCACCCTCCATCATGCAGAGATGCTCCAGGCTACTAAACCACTGCAGAAAATCACATTTAAAAAGATAGATTCCAGCTGTGTGCAGTGGCTCACACCTGTAATGCCAGCACTTTGGGAGGCTAAAGTGGGTGGATCACTTGATGTCAGGAGTTCCAAACCAGCCTGGCCAACATAGCAAAACCTCATCTCTACTAAAAATACAAAAATTAACTAGGTGTGGTGGCTTGCGCCTGTAATCCTAGCTACTCCGGAGGCTGAGGCATGAGAATTGCTTGAACCCAGGTGGCAGAAGTTGCAGTGAGTGGAGATCGCGCCACTGCACTCCAGCCTGGATGACAAAGTGAGACTCTGTCTCAAAAAATAATAAATAAATAAATAAATAAATAAATAAATAAATAAATAGATTCCCACTATTCCCAGTATGGCCACATTCAGTTTATACTAATTTAAGCCTCCGTCATTTATATCCTCATTTATATTCTAATACTTTCTCAGGTGGATACATTTTTTTCTGCTAACCTCGTCCTCTTTTTCTCAAAGCTCTCTGCTTGCTTATGTATATTCCAACCTGTCCACGTTGTGCTTCAAGGCACTTTGCCAATAAGATGACATGGTACTTTTTCAAAGCACATTCCAGGTAGTGTGTTTATCTACTTTTATACAGTAGATTTTTTTTAACCTTACCAAAAAATATTTAAGTGAGTGAGAGTTATTTTTCTCTTCCTTTTGAGGGAGTTCGTGCTCTTGGCAGGCAGGTTGGCAGTCATTTAAAATGTCTAACTAGGCTGGGTGCAGTGGCTCACGCCTGTAATCCCAGCATTTTGGGAGGCTGAAGTGGGTGGATCACCTGAGGTCAGGAGTTTGAGACCAGCTGACCAACATGGTAAAACCTCGTCTCTACTAAAATTACAAAATTTGCTGGGCCTGGTGGTGGATGCCTGTAATCCCAGCTACTCGGTAAGCTGAGGCAGGAGAATCACTTGAACCCAGGAGACGGATGTTGCAGTGAGCTGAGATCCTGCCACTGCACTCTGGCCTGGGCGACAGAGCAAGACTCCGTCTCAAAAATAAATAAATAAATAAATAAATAAATAAATAAAATGCTTAACTAACATTTAAATACTGAAGAGCTGCCAGCAAGTACAAATGTCACCTGGCCTAAAGATATATATATATATATATATATATATATATATATATATATATATATATATATATTTTTTTTTTTTTTTTCATTTTCCTGGACCTCATTTTCACAAGCTTGAAAAATTGTAAATCTTCACCTTAATATAACAATTAACTTACAAGTATTTACTAAGTTGAGAATTGATTTTTAAATCTCAACACCATGCTGTACAAATTTGAATAGTAAGTACGAAAATGTGTGTATGAGGCGAGGCACAATGGCTCACACCTGTAATCCTAGCACTTTGGGAGGCTGAGGCAGGTGGATCACTAGGTCAGGAGTTTGAGACCAACCTGGCTAATATGGTGAAACCCCGTCTCTACTAAAAATACAAAAATTAGCCAGGCATGGTGGTGCATACCTGTCGTCCCAGCTACTCGGGAGGCTGAGGCAGAAGAATCGCTTGAACTCAGGAGGCAGAGGTTGCAGTCAGCCGTGATCACACCACTGCACTTCAGCCTGGGCAATAGAGCAAGACTCCGTTTCAAAAAAAAAAGAAAACGTGTATGAGTATGGTTTGGTAAATACACACATACGTTATGTACCCCGCTAATATTTATTAATTAAAAAGCAATTCTAGAGCTCATACTGGGAGCAGCAGTACCTCCCCCATGGAGAACACAGTGAGCTAGATGTCCCAGGCTCTGCCCTGAAGGGACTCACAGTCAGAAGTAAAATACAACACGCCCACACATAACTACAGTGCAAGAAAGAATGAGAAGAAAATCCATGTGGGCTAGACAGACAAAGTGACACTAAGGTTTAGGAGACAGGAGAAATTCCAGCTGGAGGATTGCATGTATTATGTGTGTAAGCGTGTGTATAATTATAATCCTCTAGCTGGAATACATATATGTGCACATATATATATATTTATGTATATTATGATGTTCTGACATCTTAAAAAACCCTCCCTGGGGCAGCCAATTCTTGGAGATAAGAAATAACAGGCTCAGGTTGGAGCATGCCTTTGACAGGCAAACAAACCAACCCAGAGCCAGCACTCCTCTATCTGGCCTGCAAACCCTAGCAGACGGCTCCTCTACCTCAATCATCCCAAGGCCAGGTAGTACTCCAGGCAACCAGGGACCATCCCTAGAGTCTAGAGCCCACCAGAATTATCCGCTCTAGCCAATCCTATACTGTCCATTCTGCCCTGCCTTGCGGTTCCTGTGGAAACCACCATAAAGGCCATGGCCTGACCCTTCCCTGACTCCTGTCTTCCACCTCCTGGCCACCCTGGTGTCTGCTGTGTGGCCTGTGTAGCGCGGCATGCCTCCTTTCTCTAGGACCGATGAGCATAATGCACTTTGCTCTCCCCAGTCTCTCCTTTGTTTCCTCTCATAGCCACACCTGACTGATGATTTCCTAAAAGAGTACAAAACAAGGATCAGGAAAGACTTTGTGGAGGTAATGTTGAGGGATGGATAGTATGAGTATAGAAAGTTTTCAAGATTGAGGCTGGGCGCGGTGGCTCATGCCTGTAATCCCATCAGTTTGGTAGGCCAAGACAGGCAGATCACCTAAGGTCAGGAGTTCGAGACCAGCCTGGCCAACATGGCGAAAACCCATCTCTACTAAAAATACAAAAATTAACTGGGCGTGGTGGCAGGCACCTCTAATCCCAGCTACTCGGGAGGCTGAGGCAGGAGAACCACTTGAACCCGGGAGGCGGAGGTTGCAGTGAACCGAGGTCACGGCACTGCACTCCAGCCTGAGCGAGACTCCGTCTTCAAAAATCAAAAACAATAAACAAACAACAGAAAGTATCCAAGATTAATAACTTGAAAAGGAAAAAGGGCTTGCTGTTGATGATTAAACAGACATGATATCATTGCTATATGACCTGGAAGCTGACTGTGGCAGTCACAGGATTGCAGATGTCATCTCATTCAGCTCCGAGATAAGGGATAAGTCACCTTGTGGCAGAGCCAGGACTTGGACCTACAACTGCGGATGCTCAGCCCTACACTCCTACCTCCATGTAGACTATTTCCTATGAATTGGAAAAATTATACTTTCTTGTCATATGAAATATTTTGAAAAGAAGTCTTATTTGTAATCCCAAGTCTTTTTGGAAAGTGAGTTAAGTATATAGATATCAATTAATAGGTTGAATGATGACATCTATAATAATTTATCAAATTCTGGCCGGGTGCAGTGGCTCCCACCAGTAATCCCAGCATTTTGGAAGGCCAAGGTGGGCAGATCACCTGAGGTCAGGAGTTCGAGACCAACCTGGACAACGTGGTGAAACCCTGTCTCTACTAAAAATACAAAAATTAGTAGGGCGTGATGGCGGGCACCTGTAATCCCAGCTACTCAGGAGGCTGAGGCAGGAGAATCGCTTGAACCTGGGAGGCAGAGTTTGCAGTGAACTGAGATTGCGCCATTGCACTCCAGCCTGGGTAACAAGAGCGAAACTCAGTCTAAAAAAAAAAGAAAAAGAAAGAAATCTCATTATCTCTGTTGTATAACAAATAATTTGTCTAGTCTTTGTCCTGAATTCCTGGTATGGAGACTCTAAAAACCCTTGGGGTTTTTTGAGTGGTAGGGCTTTTTTATGCTACTAAGGTAAAGGTGGAACCCTAGACAGCCTCAAGATGGGGGCTGGTTACCAAAAGACCCGCCCAGCCTGGTGATTAGAGGGTTGGGGAATTTGAGTCACCTGACCTTGAAGAGAGGAGGGGGGTCTGGAGGTTGAGATTAATCACAGGTTCAGTAGTTTAATCACTTGTGCCTACAAAATAAAATCCCAGTAAAAGCTCTAGAACCGGAGGCTTCCAGGGCCTCCTGGTTGGTGAACATGTTGATGTGCCAGGACGTGATGTGCCCTGATTCCACGAGGAAAGGCCACTGAAGCTCTGCATTTGGGACCCTCCCATATTTGTATGCTTTACAGTGAAGCTAATCATAAGCATTGCACTTTCCTGAGTCTGCCAGTTGTACTAGCAAATGATCAAACCTAAGGGGGTCATGGGAACTCCCAAATTTGGAGTCAGAGTACAATTGCCCTGAGGACCCTCTGAGACTTGTGGCTGGTGTCTGAAGGGGACTAGGGGTCTGTGGTGAACTTTGCCCTCAATCTGTGGCATCTGCACCAGCTCCAGGAAGTTAGTGTCGCAATTGAATTGCTGTACACCCAGCTGGTCAGGTCAGTTTGGGTGGAAAGAGAATGTCATATTATCCATTTAAAACTTGATGTCCAGCCGGGCGCAGTGGCTCACGCCTATAATCCCAGGACTTTGGGAGGCCAAGGCAGGCGGATCACAAGGTCAGAAGCTCGAGGCCAGCCTGGCCAATATGGTGTTTAGTAGAAACCCCGTTTCTACTAAAAATACAAAAATTATCTGGGTGTGGTGGCGGGCGCCTGTAGTCCGAGTACTCAGGAGGCTGAGGCAGGAGAATCGCTTGAACCCAGGAGGTGGAGGTTGCAGTGAGCCGAGATCACGCCACTGCACTCCAGCCTGGGCAACAGAGCGAGACTCTGTCTCAAAAAAAAAAACAAAACAAAACAAAGCAAAACAAAAACTTGACGTCCAAGATGAAACACACACTAATCATTTTAGATTTCTTTCCCTTCAAATTCTTTCAGTTCCCAACTCTTACCAGTTACCACAAATGTGATACCTTCTTTGTATTGTACTCGCGCTCTGTGGAGAACAGCATGGCTTGGAGGAGGGGAACTACGTTAGGCAGGGTTTTGATGGGAAATAGAAGGCACATCCACTGGAATTTTTTTTTAAAGTTTTGAACGAAGACATGATTTTAAAAAGAACAGACAGGGACGGTCGTGGTGGCTCACACCTGTAATCCCAGAACTTTGGGAGGCCATGGCGGGTGGAATCACCTGAGGTCAGGAGTTCAAGACCAGCCTGCCAACATGGCAAAAACCTCGTCTCTACTAAAAATACACAGATTAGCCGGACGTGGTGGTGCTCGCCTGTAGTCCCAGCTACTCGGGAGGCTGAGGCAGGAGAAACACTTGAATCCAGGAGGTGGAGGTTGCAGTGAGCTGAGATCGTGCTACTGCCCTCCAGCCTGGGTGACAGAATGAGACTCCATCTCAAAAAACAAAACAAAACAAAACAAAACAAAACAAAAAAACAGACAGAATGAAGGTAACAGGCAGGAAATGATGCTGAGGCGCCCAGGGGAACAGGCAGGAAATGATGCTGAGGCGCCCAGGGAAGCAGCTACCACCCTCAAGCCTGAGGTATCATCAGTGCTTGGGTGGCAGAGGACCTCAAGAAGGGGCCATCCAGCAGGACCTGCCATTGCAGAAGGACACAGCCCTGCAGAGCCACCGCCAAGAGGGAAGGGACAACCCCAACCTCTCTCTTCTCTCCTCTCCCAAAATAAAGCCAAGATAAAACGGAAACCCAGATGACTCAGCTCCCAGGTAGAGGATGAAGCTGGGGGAAATGAATGATTTAGCGTTGAAATGAGCATAGGTCATTGTAAGAGACTGCTAGATTCCAGGACTGTCACAGATGGGTTGATGTGCAAAAAGTCAGCCTGGCGCAATGGCTCACGTCTGTAATTCCAGCACTTTAGGAGGTCAAGGTGGGTGGATCACAAGGTTAGGAGTTCGAGACTAGCCTGGCCTATATGGGGAAACCCCATCTCTATTAAACATACAAAAATTAGCTGGGTGTGGTGGCGGGCACCTGTAGTCCCAGCTACTCAGGAGGCTGAGACAGCAGAATCACTTGAACTCAGGAAGCGGAGGTTGCAGTGAGCCGAGGTCGCGCCACTGCACTCCAACCTGGGCGACAGAGTGAGACTCTGTCTCAAAAAAAAAAAAAAAAAAAAAAAAAAAGAAAAGAAAAAGATACAATAGCTTTGACTGAATGTATTCAAAGATATAATAGCCAGGAATCTTTCCCAGTTGATGAAAAATACCAGTCACCGATCAGGAAGTCCAACAAATTGCAAGCAGAATAAATAAACAGAAACCAATAGAAACCCACACCTACACACATCATAATAAAATGTTAGAATGCCATTTACAAAGAGAAGACATTAAAAAAAGCCATAAAGAAAAAGATTATCTCCAAAAAAGGGTGATTAGGCTGAATTTGTATCTGAATCACATCACTGAGGGCCAGGAGGCCAGGGAATGAGAGCTTCAGAGCATGCACAGAAGTAGCTCTCAGCTGTCACAGAAGGTGGAGCTTCCAGGACTTTCTAGATGGAGGGCAAAATAAAGATATCTTTCAAACAAATAAAAATGGAGATAGTTTGCCTCCAACACAGTTACTCATTAAAGAACTATACTGGGGCTGATAAAGTAATCCCAGATGGAAATCCTGAGACTCAAATGGTGACGTGTATATTGGTACATCTATGTGGAAAAATCAAAAGAATATTGACTGCATAATACAATAATAACAACAACTCATGATGTTAAAAAGTAAGAGAGAACTAACATGGGAAGGAGGCTTAGATTAGCATAAAGATTATAACCAATATTTACTAAAACTAATTATTTGCACATAATACAAAGTCACAACCACGAATGCATGTTCATGAAGAAATAAAAGGACGAGTAAACAATTATGATTGTCCCTTTATGATTAAATATTCCTTTGCTGGCATGTTTACTTATTTTGTCATCTACCAGCAATCATTCACAAATAGGCTGTGGCAAAAGCCTAAGTGATAAGACACATTCATGGAGAAACTTGAAACTAATGATGCTCTAACATTTTCTGTAAATTGTAAAAATAATGTTTTGTCACTGACCTAGGTGTTTAATCTACTGTATAAAACTCCAGTGTTAAAAAAAAAAAAGAAACTCCAGTGTTCAGCAGAAGTGAAAGAGCCTCTTGGCATGTATTATTTTGTTTTATTTATATTTATTTATTTATTTTGAGATGGAGTCTCGCTCTGTTGCCCAGGCTGGAGTGCAGTGGTACCATCTTGGCTCACTGCAACCTCTGCCTCCCAGGTTCAAGTAATTCTCCTGCCTCAGCCTCCTGAGTAGCTGGGATTACAGGTGCATGCCACAATGCCCGACTAATTATTGTAATTTTAGTAGAGACAGGGTTTCACAATGTTGGCCAGGCTGGCCTCGAACTCCTGACCTCAGATAATCTGCCCACCTCGGCCTCCCAAAGTGCTGGGATTACAGATGTGAGCCACTGCGCCCAGCTAGCATATTGTATTTTAAGCAGGCATTTGTTCAATAATCCAACACCCATCAAGCACTGGAGTGAGTGGCAGATCCTCGCTGTGAGAGCGTTTTCCTAGTTCATGAGGAGAGCCAGATGCTACATCCAAAAAGGGAGCTGAGCCATAACTGGGTTGTCTGACCCTACCTCGTCTCAGATGGTCGGTGGGGGACACAGAGCAGAAGTCAGAAAACTGGATTGTGCAGATGAAGTGAGAGTACTCTGTGCCTCAAAAAGAATTCACTTGAAAAATATTACTGGATTCCAATTAGATGCCATGCACTTTCCCGGGTCCTAAGTTGCAAACATGAATAAGATATGCTGTCTAACTTTTCCCACTACTGGAAAGTGGTAAGTAAACACAGAATTGTATTACGGTTATTAAGTGCTATGGCATGAATGTTGGTATACTCCAAGAATTCTTATGTTGAAATCTTCACCCCAATGTGACGGTGTTAGGAGGTGGGGGCTTTGGGAGGTGATCAGGTCACAGTGGAGCCCTCATGACTAGAATTAGTGCCCCTACAGAAGAGGCCCCGAGAGCTCCCTCTCCTCTTCCTCCATGTGAGGATACAGAGAGAAGGCACCATCTGTGAACCAGGAAGTGAGCCCTTACCAGACACTGAACCTGCTGGCACCTTGATCTTGGACTTCCAGCCTCCAAAACTGTGAGAAATAAATGTCCGTTGTCTATAAGCCACCAAGTCTGTGACAATTTGTTCTAGCAGCCCAAATAGACTAGGACATTAATAATCTGATGATGGTTTAGAACTCTCATGGTTTTTTTCACTGAGAAGAGCATACCAAGATTTTTTTTTTCTATTAAAAATAATATGCCTTCTGATAGGATACACATTACTTCTATGAAAAGAAGAACACATTACTTCTATGAAATCTTTGCCAAAATTGCATAACCCAAAGGAGACAATGAGGAACTCTTGACAAACCCAGATGGAGGGACTTTCCTAATCCTGGCATGTACTCTTCAAAATGCCAATATTGTAGAGGACAGAGAGACTGTGGAGCTCTTCCAGATTAAAGGAGACCCAAGAAATATGACAACAGAATGCAACATGTGACTCAGACTTCTGCTATGAAGGCCATTATTAAGATAATGGCAAAATCTGAATAAGATCTGAAGATTAAAACAGTGTTGGCTGGGTGCAGTGGCTCACACCTATAATCCCAGCACTTTGGGAGGCTGAGGTGGGCGGATCTCCAGAGGTCAGAAGTTCAAGACCAGCCTGGCCAACATGATGAAACCCCGTCACTACCAAAAATATAAAAATTAGCCAGGCGTGTTGGTGGGCACCTATAATCCCAGCTATTCAAGAGGCTGAAGGGGTGGCCTGCCCCTCCACACCTGTGGGTATTTCTAGTCGGGTGGGACGAGAGACTGAGAAAGAGAGATAAGACACAGAGACAAAGTATAGAGAAACAACAGTGGGCCCAGGGGACCAGCGCTCAGCATACCAAGGACCTGCACCGGCACCGGTCTCTGAGTTCCCTCTGTTTTTATTGATTATTATCTTCATTATTTCAGTAAAAAGGAATGTAGTAGGAGGGCAGGGTGATAATAAGGAGGTCAGCAACAAACATGTGAGCAATAGAATCTATGTCATAATTAAGTTCAAGGGAAGGTACTATGACTGGACGTGCATGTAAGCCAGATTTATGTTTCTCTCCACCCAAACATCTCAGTGGAGTAAAGAATAACAAGGCAGCATTTCTGTAAACATGTCTCGCCTCCCACCATAGGGCGGTTTTTCTCTCATCTCAGAATTGAACAAATGTACAATCGGGTTTTATACCGAGACATTCAGTTCCCAGGGGCAGGCAGGAGACAGTGGCCTTCCTCTATCTCAACTGCAAGAGGCTTTCCTCTTTTACTAATCCACCTCAGCACAGACCCTTTACGGGTGTTGGGCTGGGGGATGGTCAGGTCTTTCTCATCCCACAAGGCCATATTTCAGACTATCACATGGGGAGAAACCTTGGACAATACCCCACTTTCAAGGGCAGAGTTCCCTGCGGCTTTCTGCAGTGCATTGCGCCCCTGGTTTATTGAGACTAGAGAATGGCGATGACTTTTACCAAGTATACTGCTTGTAAACATTTTGTTAACAAGGCACATCCTGCACAGCCCTAGATCCCTTAAACCTTGATTTCATACAACACATGTTTTTGTGAGCTCCAGGTTGGGGCAAAGTGGCTGGGGCAAAGCTACAAATTAACAACATCTCAGCAAAGCAATTGTTCAAAGTACAGGTCTTTTTCAAAATGGAGTTTCTTATGTCTTCCCTTTCTAGATAGACACAGTATCAGTCTGATCTCTCTTTCTTTTCCCTACAAGAGGCTGAGGCAGGAGAATCGCTTGAACCCGGGAGGCGGAGGTTGCAGTGAGCTGAGATCACACCACTGCACTCCAGTCTGGGTGACAGAACAAGACTCCATCTCAAAAACCAACCAACAAACAAAAAATAGTGTTGCGACGATGCTAGTTTCCTTATTCTGATCACTGTTCTGTGATTGTGTAAGAGGATGTCCTTCCTGCGAGGAAATGCATGCTAACTATCTGGGCTAAAGAGCATCATGACTGTACATGACTGTACTTTCAAAATACAAGAAAGAGATAGAGGAGGATAAAGTAAATGTGGCAAAAGGTTAACAGTTGGAAGCACGATGAAAGATAACATGGGAGGTCTTTGTGCTCTTATTACAACTTATATTTAAACAGGCAAAAGAGTTAAGAGTTAGGCTTTTCAAGGATTCCTAGCACTCACTAGAAGCAAAATGAGGCTCATTTAAAGAAAGGGGTAAACACTACGTTTGCTCTCTGAAAATAGTTTCAAATGAGGCATAACTACTCCCCGAAACTTTCATTTTCATGTTCCATCAGAGCAAGCTCAGGTTCCAAATTCCCCACCAGGTGTGCATGTTATGTGTTTGGACTGGTGTGGGGTTGCTTTGTTTTTCCTGAAGGTGAGCTCCAAAGTGGAGCTGAGCCATCTACAAAAAGATAGCAGTGATCTAATTGCTGGTCTCCTGCATGACCTCTTCCCATTGACTAGCTTAAAAATCAGTTAGATTTAGCTTTCAAGCATGTGTCAATAAAATAAATTCCAGATTTCCCAGGTAATATATTTCCAAAGAGTAGGTTTGCACAGTAGTACAAAAACAAAAATTGTTTTTGAATGGAGTCTCAGTAATAGGGAGCCTGTTTTTCAATTCTCTTTTAGATTCTTTTAACGGCTCATTCATGGGGGCTTGATCTCAGCTGCAAAGACTGAAAAAAAGAAACAACCCCACAGTTCTAAATGCCTAGGAAATTGCATTGCTGAAGTGATTCTCTTGTAACACTCTCTGGTTCTTTTGCCAACCCCCTGAGATGATGCTTCTTGGCATACATAGAGACTGGAGACTTTTCTCCTACCTCCAGTAGAGGTCTGGCCTTGCTCCAAAACAAAGCCTGCACCCAGCAGATGTTGCTGCTAAGAGACGTCGCCTGGACTTTCTACACAATATTCTCTGACAGAAGGGGCTAGTTGACTAATGCTTAGAATGATTTTTGTCATTGTATATTCCTTTCATATGTCAAGGTAGTTTCATCTCCAGCACCTACTCATTTGCAGATATTCACTCATATTTTTCGTTCTGAATTGAGAAATTGATAGTAATCAGTGATGGATTTAGCATTAGGCCAAATCTACACTAAGCAAATAAGCAGGTGTTTCTCTACCTCAGTAGATATTGTGGAAAAGAGAATTCCTCTAAAGTCTTCTGCAGGCTTTAATAAGTGTTTATTGGACCCCAGAAATCATATAAGAAATATTGGCTCAGCTGGACGCGGTGGCTCACGCCTGTAATCCCAGCATTTTGGGAGGCCAAGGTGGGCAGATCAAGAGATCAAGAGATCTAGACCATCCTGGCCAACATGGTGAAACCCCGTCTCTACTAAAAATACAAAAATCAGCTGGGTGTGGTGACACATGCCTGTAATCCCAGCTACTCGGGAGGCTGAGGCAGGAGAATCGCTTGAACCCAGGAGGCGTTGGTTGCAGTGAGCCGAGATTGCACCACTGCACTCCAGCCTGGCAACAGAGTGAGATTCCATTTCAAAAAATAAAAAATAAAAAAAAATAAAAAAATGGGCTGTAATCTCAAGGCTTTTCATAAAATGCTGTTAAGAGGTCATTTATGTTTTCTAACAATACTAGATTTTTTTTTTTTGAGGCAGAGTCTCACTCTGTCACCCAGGCTGGAGTGCAGTGGTGATCTTGGCTCACGGCAACCTCCACCTCCTGGGTTCAGACAAGTCTCCTGCCTCAGCATCCTGAGTAGCTGCGATTACAGGCGCATGCCACCATGCCTGGTTAATTTTTGTAATTTTAGTAGAGATAGGGTTTCACCATATTGGTCAGGCTGGTCTCAAACTCCTGACCTCAGGTGATCCACCCACCTCGGCCTCCCAAAGTGTTGGGATTACAGGCATGAGCCACTGCGCCCAGCCATAATACTAGATTAAGGTCAGAAAAGAACCCAAGTAACTTCCTTCTCCGCAAAGCTGTGAATATCTCTTTCCTTCTTCTGCCTTCTATTTTTTTTTTTCTGAAAGCATGCACTAAGTAGAATGGAGGAGTCCCACGAATGCTTAGAAATGATATGCTTCCAGCCCAGCACAGTGGCTCATGCCTGTAATCCCAGCACTGTGGAGGCCAAGGCGGGCGGATCACCTGAGGTCAGGAGTTTGAGACCAGTCGGGCCAACATGGCGAAATCCCGTCTCTACTAAAAATACAAGAAGTAGCCAGGCATGCTGGTGCATGCCTGTAATCCCAGCTACTTAGGAGGCTGAGACAGGAGAATCGCTTGAACCTGGGAGGCAGAGGTTGCAGTGAGCCAAGATCGTGCCACTGCACTCCAGCCTGGGCAACAGAGTGATACTCCATCTTAAATAAATAAATAAATAAAACCATTCCTTTTGTTTTCAAAACCCAAGTCTCCTTTAATATTTAATGTTTCCTCACAATCACTTTGACCAGTAAGCATGTGTTTCAGGGTCCCTTTTCTGGACAGACTTAAGCCTGTGGCGGAGAAGCTTATTCTCTGAGGGCCTCGCGGGACTGCAGCACAGCAGCAGGGTCCACTGTTCTCAGCTCCGGACAGTGCCTTCCAACTGCTCTTAGGAGTCCCGGCCACACTCAAGTATAAAGTAGAAGGCTCAGATTCCTGGGCTCTGTCTTCCTTCTGTCTGACCGCTGTTTACTGAACAGTCATACCGAGTCCCTAAGCCTGGAGACTGAGCATCTGCTGTTCTCAATCAGGCCCAGGTGTAGCAGGAAGGACCGAATCCTATGACTGAGTGCCTGTCCACAACCCCAGCCTTTCCTTCCAAATCGACTCTTAAAACCTCCTGACACTTGGAGGCTATGGCTTTTAGGTTGGGCTTACTAAAGGATAGAAATGGAGGGTAGATCTTCGAGAATTAAAGTGGGGACAAGATAGATATTTGGGATGTCTAAAAAGTACATAACTACAAATAATGGCCTCCAAATATAGACTGGGCTGAGTATATACCAAAATAATTGAAAGCAGAGACTTGGGTTTTGAAAACAAAAGGAATGGTTTTATTTATTTGTTTGTTTGTTTGTTTGTTTGAGATGGAGTATTGCTCTGTTGCCCAGGCTGGAGTGCAGTGGAGCGATCTTGGCTCACTGCAACCTCTGTCTCCCAGGTTCAAACGATTCTCCTGTCTCAGCCTCCCAAGTAGCTGGGATTACAGGAATACACCAGCATGCCCATTCATAGCAGCATTATTATTCGCAGTAACTAAAAGATGGAAACAACCCAAATGGATGGATGAACGGATAAGCAAAATGTGGTCCATACACACAATGGAATGTTATTCAGCCTAAAAAAGAAGGAAATCCTGTCACATGCCACAACACGGGTGACCCTTGAAGACATGATGCTGACTGAATAAGTCAGTCACAAAAAGGCAAGCACTGCTTGATTACACTTATATGAGGAGCCTACAGTAGTCAAATTCATAGAGACAGAAAGTACAATGATGGTTTCCAGGGGCTAGGAGGAAGGGGCAAAAAGGAGTTATTTTTAATGAGTGAAGAGTTTCAGTTTGGAAGGATGGAAAAGTTCTCCAGATGCATGAATCCAAATTAGGTTCATGCACTGCATCTGGCTGATGTATCTCTTGAATCACTTTTAATTTACAGTTCTTGCTCCACCCCATCACCATCTTTTTTTTTAATACCTTGCATTGCACTGTGACAATTGCACAATGTGAATGTATTTTATTTTATTTTGAGATGAAGTTTCACTCTTGTTGCCCAGGCTGGAGTACAATGGTGCAATCTCCATTCACTGCAACCTATGCCTGCTGGGTTCAAGCCATTCTCCTGCCTCAGTCTCCCCAGTAGCTGGGATTACAGGCGCCTGCCACCATGCCCGGCTAATTTTTGGGTTTTTAGTAGAGACGGGGTTTCATCATGTTGACCAGGCTGGTCTTGAACTCCTGACCTTGTGATCTGCCCACCTTGGCCTCCCAAAGTGCTGGGATTGCAGGAGTGAACCAATTTTTTTTGTATTTTAATAGAGACAGGGTTTCACCATGTTGGCTAGGCTGGTCTCGAACTCCTGACCGTGTTATCCACCTGCCTTGGCCTCCCAAAGTGCAATTATAAGTGTGAGCCACTGCACCTGGCTGCTTTCAGCTTTATTTTTCCTAATTTAACTTTCAGGTATCATCATCTTTTTCCTCCCAAGCTTTCAAATTTCTACCACTAGCATTTAACTGATTATTGACACTTAACAAAACCAGATTCATTTACCACTTACTCTGGACTGTAGTGCTATGTGTGCTAAAAAGCGCCAAACAAAGTTCTTGGTCTCAGTAATTTATAACCTAGATGGATAGGAAAGTCATGTGCACATAGAAAGGTAACTAACAAGGCCGGGAGCGGTGGCTCACGCCTGTAATCCCAGCACTTTGGGAGGCCGAGGCGGGCGGATCATGAGGTCAGGAGATTGAGACCATCCTGGCTAACACGGTGAAACCCCGTCTCTACTAAAAATACAAAAAATTAGCTGGGCATGGTGACGTGCACCTGTAGGCAACAGAGCAAGACTCCATCTCAAATAAAAAAAAAAAAAGAAAGGTAACTAACAATATCAGTGCTGAAGGTGAGATATACAAACTTGTGTGTTATTGATTACCACAGAAGGGAAAATTTTTTAAGATTGGAAGTGTTAGAAGAGATGAGACTTAGGCTAAATCATGTGATGACTGAATGCTTGGTTCCAGCATAGGACAGTGTGATGTATGCACTCAAAGTCTGGAATCTGCATCTCATATTGGAAGATAAAGAATAGTCTTGGCCGGGTGTGGTGGCTCACGCCTGTAATCCCAACACTCCAGAAGGCTGAGGCAGGTGAATTGCTTGAGCTCAGGAGTTTGAGATCAGCCTGGGCAACACAGTGAGACCCTGTCTCTACTAAAATTTTTTTTTAAAACATTAGCCGGGTGTGATGGCTCACATCTATAAGTCCCAGCTACTCAGGAGGCTGAGGTGGGAGGATTGCTTGAGCTCAGGAATTTGAGGCTGCAGTGAGCTGTGACCGTGCCACTGCATTCTAGCATTCCAGCCTGGGCGATAGAGCAAAACTCTTTTCAAAAGAAAAAAAAAAAAAGATCATCTCCCAACTTGGCTAGAAAAGCATGTACTAGTACATAAATGTTCCATAAACATAGCATAAACTCCAGTTCAAATTGTCAGAGGCGTTTGAACCAGAGCAACTCCATCTTGAATAGGGGTTGAGTAAAATGAGGCTGAAACCTACTGGGCTCTATTCCCAGACGGTTAAGCATTATAAGTCACAGGATGACATAGGAGGTCGGCACAAGATACAGGTCTTAAAGACCTTGCTGATAAAGCAGGTTGCAGTAAAGAAGCCTGCCAAAGGCTGGGCGCAGCGGCTCACACCTGTAATCCCAGCACTTTGGGAGGCCAAGGCTGGCAGATCACCTGAGATCAGGAGTTTCAGACCAGCCTGGCCAACGTGGTGAAACCCCATCTCTACTAAAAATACAAAAAAAAAATTAGCCAGGCGTGGTGGCACGTGACTGTGGTCCCAGCTACTTGGGAGGCTGAGGCAGGAGAATCACTGGAACCCAGGAGGTGGAGGTTGCAGTGAACTGAGATCACACCTCTGCACTCCAGCCTGGGCCACAGAGTGAGACTCCCTCTCAAAAACAAACAAACAAACAAAAAACCCTGTTTCCTGAATGCTTGGGGAGACTCATTTGAGTAATAATAGAACTCTGGGCTGGGCTCAGTGGCTCACACCTGTAATCCCAGCCCTTTGGGAGGCCTAGGCAGGCGGATCACGAGGTCAGGAGATCAAGACCAGCATGACCAACATGGTGAAACCCCATCTCTACTAAAAATACAAAAATTAGCCGGGCATGGTGGCAGGCGCCTGCAATCCCAGCTACTCGGGAGGCTGAGGCAGGAGAGTCGCTTGAACCCAGGAGGCGGAGGTTTCAGTGAGCTGAGATCGCACCACTGCACTCCAGCCTGGGCGACAGAGTGAGACTCTGTCTCAAAAAAAAAAACAAAAAAACAAAAAAAAACTAAAAACTTAGCCAGGCGTGGTGGTGCACGCCTGTAGTCCCAGCTACTCCGGAGGCCGAGGCAGGAGAATCTCTTGAACCCAGGAGGTGGAGTTTGCAGTGAGCTGACATCACGCCACTGCACTCCAGCCTGGGCAACAGAGTGAGACTCGTCTCAAAAAAAAAATCAGACTCCAGTCTCCTGCACAGCTGACTCTGCACGAATTTCTCTTTCACTATTGCAATTTCCCTGTGTTGATGAATCTACTCTGTCTAGGCAGCTGGCGAGGTGAATGCCTCGGGCGGTTCCAATGGTATTGAAAACCATGGCCTCTTATCAGATCACTAAGGTAGAGAATATGGTTAAAGAAAAGTAGTTTGTGTTAGAGTTGGGGTTTTTCAGAATCTAAAGAAAAATTGCTTAAAAACTGTCTGCAAAATAGCTCCAAGGGAAAAAAAGAATAGAAAAGAAAGTGGGCTTTTGTAGTAACCACATTCAGAACTGTGAACTGGCTCCTGTGTTCTCTTTATCCCCAAGGGCATGTGAAACACTGTTTTCCCGGGCAGTCACAGCAAGGCTGCCTGGATGAGGCCGCTGGGACTGGAATGTCAGCCTGCGGCCTGCCCTCCACTTTTCTTAGCGGAGCTGTCATCTAAACCTGGACCTTGTTTTCTGCCCTGCCTCCCCCCGGCTGCTTGTCAATATTTGCTTTCTAGATCACAAGATCCTAAGCCCCAAGGCCTGTCACTTTAAACAACCAGAAGAGGAAGTCAACAATAACCACTCTGGTGAAGCTGTCTACTTTAGGGACGTTTCCCTAGTTGGTTTGCTCCTGCGAGTTCCCACTCCCAGGAAAAGCACTGCAGTGCTAACTGAGCAGCTTTGTTTGCCTCCCGACTGTGTGGCCCCCAGCAACTATGCCAGGATTCACAAGCCAGCGGGATCCTAAATGTCTGTGTGCATGGCAGCAAGGTTGCTCTTCAGCCTGTTGGCAAAATTCTCCCACAGCACTTTTATTTCTCAGGCACGCCTTCATGGGCCCCAGAAATTAATTCCTTGACGGCTGTTGTGGAGCCTTAGTTGCCAGCGAGAGGCAACCAAGGTTTAAATGTAAATTAGCTTACAGAGTGAAGGGAGGTTGCAAATACCCCTCCACTTAGTACGTAAATTCAGCAACCTTAATCTAGAACAGCAAGGAGTCTTAGAATTGGCACAGAGTGGGCACCCAGCCCCTTCTGGCCAAATCCCTGATGAGAGATGCCTGAAATTCACCCTTTCAGCCTGAGATTTTGTTCTCTGTGTAAAGCCAATTGTTGCTGTCATTAGTAAGCGAAACTACGCCTTACAAAAGTAAATGCGGGTCCTCCTCAGTTTGCTTCTGAAAGAAGGCTTTCCGGGGAGATGTGCTAAACAAACCAAGCCTGGCTGTACCTGCAAGCTCAGGCTGCCACATGGTCTGAAGCTTGGATTCCTGAGAGGTGCGACAGGCTCAGGGTCCCCTGCCTGGACTCAAGAGTCAGCCTGTCTAGACTGGAATTCCCGACCCTTCACTTAAATATGTGGACAAACCTCTTTCTGCCTCAATTTCCTCATCAGTCAAAAATAGTTATTACTAGTGCCTACCTCCTAGAGCTGCTTGGAGGTTAGAATCTGTGAACATAGATGAAGCTGTGTCTATACCCGGTAAGTCCAGCATGAGTGTTCATTGTAATTATTTGATTATGGCTGTCTCCCACATACTGGCTCTCAGGGGTGCGCCATTCCCATTTCAAACTCTATGCTCGGAGTGTAGACAAAACTCTCAACGCAGCCAAAAAAGGCTGAAATGCTCATGAAAACTTCACAGACACCAGGGAGAACTCAAGGGAGCTAAAGTCAAAGGAAACGTGAAGCCTGACACCAGCTGAGCTCTACCGGCTGGGGCCGGAATGCTGTCCCCAACCTTCCCTCCTCCGGCATTTGGTCCTTCTGAGGCAATCTACCATGCTCTCACCCTAGGCTATGTTCTGTTAGTTGATTTTATTTCTGGTCTTCTCCCAGGTGACTGTCCCTTATCCGTAAGGCAAGACCTACTTCACCCAGAAAGTGGCACTGGCTTCAGACTAGGACCAGGGTCAGGTGTGTGAGACGCTCACATCGGGTGCAAAATGTAAGGGGGCAAGAGGCAAAAAGTCATCCAGATAAATGATATTTTGATGCAATATTTTAAAAAATTAAATGAATTTTTAAAAATCACAAATAAAATATTACTATATTAAATGCAGACAGGCTCTGACTGCATCATGCCCAACCACACTGGAGCCTGAGGCAAAAGGAGTAATGCTCTCCCCTGTACTCATGTTTGCATGTATTTGTAAACGGCTAATAATTTTTTTTTTTTGAGATGGAGTCTTGCTCTGTCGCCCAGGCTGGAGTGCAATGGCACAATCTCGGCTCACTGCAAACTCTGCCTTCTGGGTTCAAGTGATTCTCCTGCATCAGCCTCCCGAATAGCTGGGATTACAGGCGACTGCCACCATGACTGGCTATTTTTTTTTTTTTTTTTTTTGTATTTTTTGTAGAGATAGGGTTTCACCATGTTGGCCAGGCTGGTCTTGAACTCCTGACCTCAAGAGATCCACCCACGTAGGCCTCCCAAAGTGCTGGGATTACAAGTGTGAGCCACTGCTCCCGGCCACAAATGGCTAATAATTTTAAGAAAATATTGTTGGAAGGGTTTGCTTCCATCAAAGCCAGGAAAGTAAAATGGTAATTCTATTTTGGGTGTAAGCAAAATGTTTACATTGAAAACAATACTAGGAGTTTTAATAAACTTGTTTTTCAAATTTTCAGTATTTTTTCACTACCTCAATGTTCTATGGAAGTTTTTAAAATCGTGGAAGAAATACATAAAACATCTGTAGATGAGATGCAGTTTTTCCCTTTGTCTGATCCACAGGGCAGGGTGCTGGGCTCTGCTTCCCAGCCCAGACCTTCCTGTGCGTGATCCTTTTGGGAAGTGTCAGCCACTCAATGGCTCTCCTCACTTTTTTTTTTTTTTTTTTTTTTTTTTTGAGATGGAATCTCGCTCTGTCGTCAGGCTGGAATGCAGTGGCATGATCTTGGCTCACTGCAACCTCCACCTCCTGGGTTCAAGCGATTCTTCTGCCTCAGCCTCCTAAATATCTGGGACTACAGGCGTGTGCCACCACGGCCAGATAATTTTTGTATTTTTAGTAGAGACGGGGTTTCACCGTGTTGGCCAAGATGGTCTCGATATCTTAACCTTGTGATCCGCCCACCTCAGCCTCCCAAAGTGCTGGGATTACAGGCGTGAGCCACCACACCCGGCCCTCTCCTCACTTTTTTTATTTTTTTGAGATGGAGTCTCACTCTGTCACCCAGGCTGGAGTGCAATGGCGTGATCTCGGCTCACTGCAATCTCCGCCTCCCGGGTTCAAGTGATTCTCCTGCCCCAGCCTCCCTAGTAGCCGGGATTACAGTTGCCTGACACCATGCCCAGCTAATTTTTTGTATATTTGGTAGAGATGGGGTTTCACTATGTTGGCCAGGCTGGTCTCGAACTTCTGACCTCAGGCGATCCACCCGCCTCAGCCTCCCAAAGTACTGGGATTACAGGCATGAGCCACCCCGCCCGGCTCGGCTCTCCTCACTTAAACAACATTAGAGCCAGAGAAGCAAAACTAGGCTTGCTTGTATGCCCTTGCTTCTTGAAAGTCTTTGGCAATCTGGTCTGACCAAGAATTTGAGAACAAGCATCATTCCACAAATGCCCGTTAGCTGCCTCACTCAGTGCCCACTGAGGCCTGGCTCTGGGGTGATGTGTCACACACCCTAACCCTTTGCTGAGCTGCTTAAGTATGTTGGAGGAGGCAGAAAATAAACAAGTGGGCCAATTAGCAGTAATCACACATTAGGAGGGGTTACAGGATGGAAACAGAGAGGGTGCAAGAACTAAGTGGCCAAGGTTGGCTTCACTGAGAGCATGAGAGGCACAGCCCCGCAGAAGGGATAGTGACCGCTTGGGTCCTCGGGTGGGAATGCTTGGCGTGGGCTGGGAGCTGAAGGGAGAAGAATGTGAACACCGAACCACTGAACCAACAGCAGAGAACTCAAAGGCAGGAAGGAGGCTTGGCTGGCTGCAGCCTGGCAGGGATCTGTGGACAACATTCTCTGTGCAGTGGGAGTCCCTGGAAGATTTTAAGCAGCAGAAAGACACCATCTGATTTACACTTTTTTTTGAGGCAGTTTCACTCTTGTTGCCCAGGCTGGAATGCATGATGCAATCTCGGCTCACTGCAACCTCCGCCTCCCAGCAGTTCTCTTGCCTCAGCCTCCCAAATAGCTGGGAATACAGGCATATGTCATGATGCCCGGCTAATTTTGTATTTTTAGTAGAGATGGGGTTTCACTATGTTGGCCAGGCTGGTCTTGAATTCCTGACCTCAGGTGATCCACCCGCCTTGGCCTCCCAAAGTGCTGGGATTACAGGTGTGAACCACTATGCCCAGCTGATTTACATCTTTTTTTTTTTTTTTTTCTGAGACGGAGTCTTGCTCTGTTGCCCAGGCTGGAGTGCAGTGGCGTGATCTTGGCTCACATCAACCCCTGCCGCCTGGGTTCAGGCAATTCTCCTGCCTCAGCCTCCCGAGTAGCTGGGATTACAGGCACGTGCCACCACTTCGGGCTCATTTTTGTATTTTTAGTAGAGATGGGTTTTCAGCATCTTGGCCAGACTGGTCTTGAACTCCAGACCTTGTGATCCACCCATCTTGGCCTCCCAAAGTGCCGGGAGTGTGGAGTGCTGGGAGTGTCTGCTGTGCGGAGGATGGACTGGTTGCGGGTGAGAGGGCTGGATGTATAGGTAGGACAATCAGGTAGGTGGCTGCAGTCACAACAACGGCGACCTGGACCAGTTGACGGCCTGGTGCTCGGTAACTACTTTCACCCCAAAAAGACAAAACGGTAATAGATAATGCTCACTAACAGTTATAATTTTCAGTATTTATTGCAAACTAGGAAATAAACACCTGATTACCAAACCATTTAAAGAATGAGAAAAAGCAAGATTCATCAAAGCTGGTAAAAGCAAAACTGAAAAATTGATTGCAAAACTATAGTGGTTTGATTGGCTCCATGACTAAAGTCCTGGAGACTAAATGAATAAAGCTTAAGTTGAAGCTTTCTAATATGAGGTATGTGTTCCTGAAAATGGTACTTTAAATCTATTGTAGGGATTTAATATTTAAAGGTATTATGAATTTCTTTTTCTTTTTCTTTTTTTTTGAGACAGAGTCTCACTCTGTCGCCCAGGCTGGAGTGCGGTGGCGTGATCTCGGGTCACTGCAACCTCTGCCTCCCGGGTTCAAGCGATTCTCCTGCCTCAGCCTCCCAAGTAGCTGGGATTACAGGCGTTCACCACCACACCCGGCTAATTTTTGTATTTTTAGTAGAGATGGGGTTTCACCATGTTAGCCAGACTGGTCTCAAACTCCTGACCTCAGGTGATCCGCCTTCCTCGGCCTGCCAAAGTACTGGGATTACAGGCATGTGCCACCATGCCCAGCCAGTATTTTGAATTTTATACCTTCCTAAAGTGAAGATTTTCTGTAAAGCATGTGATTACTTCCTTGATTATCTCTTGAGAAAGTTTCAAGTTTTTGGTTTCTCATTTTCTTAAGACCTGATTTCTAGAACACAAATTTTCTTTAAGAAAAATTCCCTCTGATGTGTTTAAAGAAAAACATTGGCTACTTCTGCAAAAATGAATCTTGGAAAGCCATTGCAACAATAAGTTAGCCCATTGGAGGCCACGGCCCCACCCTTACTGGCACGTTTTACTAGACATAACGAAATGATAATTCCAGGCTGCAATGATCCTAAAGTTTCTCAGAACAGTCTCAATTTTGGATATTCCTCGTGGGACAGTAATATGGGTGACTTTCTTTTCTCAATTGACTCACAGATATTTGTGTTCCTTTGTATTTTGTAGGAAACAAAAGTCGCTGAGATGATGGAAATCCATAAGGCTCATCATCATACGTTCTGGTGAGGCTACAGCACACACAGCATGAATCGGGTTTGGAGAATGGAGCCTATGCCACACAGATAGGAATTTAATCTGGGGAATTATCAGCAGCTGACAGAGCAAACAACGGGAAGGTAAGGCATCCCAGAGGTTAGTCATTGCAGGAAGCCGCTAGTCTCCCAAGGCAGAAAGACAAAAAGTGGAGGTGAAGCCAGGTGTCCAAAAGCCAGGACCACCTATGTGAGCCAGGACTATGGGGGAGGGCCTGCCCGGGCAGAGCTGAAGCACTGAGGAGAGACAGCTGGAGATGCTATCTGAGTGGGGAGACCGGGCAGGGGTCCCACTTTCCCTCCTTACCAATCTGTCACCAGTGCCTCCCACAGGACCACTGATGTGGTTTGACTGTGTCCCCACCCAAATCTCATCTTGAATTGTAGCTCCCATAATCCCCGTGTGTTGTGGGAGGGACCCAGTGGGAGATCATTGAATCATGGGCGGAGCTTCCTCCGTGCTGTTCTTATGGTAGTGAAGAAGTCTCATGAAATCTGATGATTTTATAAGGGGTTTCCTCTTTCTCTTGGCTCTCATTCTCTCTTTTCTGCCACCATGCTAAACGTGCCTTTTGCCTTCTGCTATGATTGTGAGGCCTCCCAGCCATGTGGACCTGTGAGTCCAATAAACCTCTTTTTCTTTATAAATTACCCGGTCTTGGGTATGTCTTTATCAGCAGCATGAAAACGGACTAATACGACAACCTAGCAGGAAGCTGGCGGGGGAGTCTGGGAAATGCAGTCTTGAGGGACAGTCCCCAGTGGTGCAGGGCAGAGAGTGGAGGTAAATGGCTGGCACAAGCATGCCCTTGCTGCCCAGTTTCCATTCTTGTAGTTCTACCCGTATTTAACTCCTGCCAGGACCAATTTCTCCTTCATACACCAACTTCTCCTTCATACATCCTCTCCCCACAAAGGGAGAGGCAAAGTCCCAGCAACCCCTGTACCTATCTCAAAATGAGTTACAAGGTAATAATGAGAGGGTTCACTACCATTTCCACCCCTTGATTCCTGGGCCTGTGAATGTCTTCTGTGGAAGAAACAATACCACATATTACTCCCTGGCTCATGGCATCCTGTAGGGCTTGGCTCCTAGATGGTTCCATAACTGAATATACATAAGACTGGGCTCAAGCAAGTTCAGAAAGTACAAGTATTGAGCAGGTGGCCCAGTGTTCCATGACACCTACTCCTGCTGCATTGCTCTCCCAAACAAATGGAAGCTCTTTATGACCATACAAGAGGAGAATGAAAGCTGGGGTCTAGTTTACAATTAGGTCTACATAATATGTTGGCACCAACAAGAAATAGACTGCTGTTGCACCAAGCACCTCTCAAGGGTGGCCCTGAAGAACAGTGGTGAAGAAAAATATTCCCAATGGACAAAACTTTGAGCCCTTTCCCTAAAAGGAGCAGTCACCAGAGGTGAGGATCTGTGCTGACTCATACGCCTTGGCTAATGATTTGAGCGGTTGGCTGGGGACTTAGAACAAAATTGGAAGATTTATGACAAGGAGGCCTGGGAAGAAGTCAGATCTTTCAGAATGGGGAGAGCATGATGATGTTTGTGTCCTGCATGACTGTTTCCCAACGGCATCCACCGCAGAGGCTTTCAGAAGTCAGATGAACAAGATGATGGCGATGATGATTCCTGCTACTCCCTGCCCCAGCTTGCTTCATGGTCTGTGTACAAAATGGCCCTAGCAATGAGATGAAGGTTGCACATGTGCTCAGCAGTGCAGCCCCACTCTCACCAGGGCTGACCCAGCTATTACCCCTGCTGACAGCCCAACCTGCAGTGACAGGGGCCAATGCTTCCTCCCCAGCACAGTACCATTCCTGAGAGCAGGTGGTGTGTGGCAGCTGCACGGTAGTGGGTTGCTTACATGAGACCCTTCCATCATTGGCAGCATTTGTCCTTACTACATTAGACAACTATGCTGTCTGTGGGTTTGCTTCTCTTGCCTGCTGTGCTTCTGCTGCGCCACTATCCATGGACTTAAAAAAGGATTTTTGTTTGTTTTTTTTTTTTTGAGACGGAGTCTCGCTCTGTCACTCAGTCTGGAGCGCAGTGGCGCCATCTCGGCTCACTGCAAGCTCCGCCTCCCAGGTTCACGCCATTCTCCTGCCTCAGCCTCCTGAGAAGCTGGGACTACAGGCACCCGCCACCACGCCCGGCTAATTTTTTGTATTTTTTTTAGTAGAGACGGGGTTTCACTGTGTTAGCCAGGATGGTCTTGATCTCCTGACTTCGTGATCCGCCCACCTCGGCCTCCCAAAGTGCTAGGATTACAGGTTAAAAAAGGTTTTGTCTCTCATCACCGTATCCTGAGAAACTTCACGCTGACCAAGGGACCCCTACACAACAAAAGAAGGAAGTCACGTTTCACACGACTATGGATTCCTCCTGCACGTGCACAGCCATGTGGCTGGGTGGGTCAGACAGCACCCAGTTCATGGAGGCAACTTGAGTTACCTACCCATCCAGTGTCCCATGGCCAAGACTTCAGTCTCTACCAGAGGCCAGGAGGAAGCCAGAGAGGTTTCTCAAAAGCATAAATTATAGTTCCCTGTAGAAGCTACGGATTTGCTCTGACTGGTAGAACACAGAGATGTTTCGCGTTCTAGAGATTAGCATTGATATATATTTAGTGTTCAATAAGTCCCCAGTGTCTTAGTGTTTCCCTTTCCCAGATGCACAGTCAACCTGGTAAGGCTCCTGGGCTCGTCTTCAATAAGGGATCAGTGCCCCTATGAGCTAGCAAAGTCCTGGGAATTGAAAGAGAAATAATTGCCTTTTGTGTTTACTAAGGCAGCTTCTGCTGATCAGCCTAGAATTTCTCTGCCTCTATAAATGAAGTAATGCTTTAGGAAGGTGCCAGTTTGTTCCATTTCAAAGGTGACTGTGGCTGGGCGTTGTGGCTCATGCTTGTAATCCGAGGACTTCGGGAGGCTGAGGCGGGTGGATCATGAGGTCAAGAGTTCGAGACCAGCCTGGCCAACACAGTGAAACCCCGTCTCTACTAAAAGTACAAAAATTAGCTGGCCGTGGTGGTGGGCACCTGTAATCCCAACTGCTTGGGAGGCTGAGGCAGGAGAATCACTTGAACCTGGGAGGCAGAGTTTGGAGTGAGCCGAGTTCGCGGCACCCTACTCCAGCCTGGGTGACAGAACTAGATTTCGTCTCAAAAAAAAAAAAAAGTGACTGTGATCTCTGTCATTCACTCCTGTCATGCATGACAGGCACTGCAGCCCCTTGTCTGCTGGCAGTGCTGCTGGCTGCTAGGCGCTGCTGTAGCTTTTCATCCTTCCCACTGGATCAGAAAGCCCATTTTATAGGAATCTCCCACTGTCATTCTTGCAGGGCTGGCCGAGGCTGCTGGCCCTCCCCTCACCAAAGCATTTCTCAAAGCCTTTGTAAAGGGTGTCTCTGAGTCCTTCTGGGTGTGACATAGGTGGTGGGTAAGCGGGTCACACAAAATAATTTCCTTTCAATTTTCTCATATTCTTGAATCTTTGAATTCCTTCCTTGACAATATGCCAGGGAAGTCCTGGCCTCCTTATTTTGTTTAATGCAGTCCACTGTTGGGCCTAGGTTTCAATCAATCAAACAAACAAACTGCTAGGGCCTTTTCTAGCTCTTCAGGTAGCGCTCATCTCCAGAATCTTATTGGTAAATGTAGTCCAGTCCAACAGCAAAGTCTTGCAGTTGCTTTGGCAGTAAGCTGTGTTCTCCAGGAACAGACCTGGGAGGCATGGATCTGACTCTACGGGTCTGGAAGTAATAAGCAGAGGTGATGAATAAGTCTTTAGGAAAACAGGAATTTCCTTGCAAGGCAATTACTCCAGGTGAGGTCCCTGAGCAACAAATGGTGTCCTCAGACAGTGTGGGAGGGGTTATTTCCGCTGGTTAGGAAGCCTGGGTGGATTTGGAGTTCAAGGTTCTCAGATTCATATAAATCCATCCAAATGTCCCCATCTCAATCTCCAGGTCCCACTACCCCCACTAACAAGGTTCTACTCCCCTTACCTAACCTTAAATAAGAGACCTAACAAGGCTGAAGGCTGAACTCATCTTGTAATTTGGAAGTCTACAAAACTAGGTTTGGGGTCTAGTCCTCTGCTTGTGATATAGAAATAAAAAATGTTGTTAGGGTCACCACGGAAATTCTCAATTTCTTTGGTCATGCCTTCAGTTAAGCTAAGAGTTTAAGGCCCTGAGCTTAGCATTTTTTTCCCTTTTCATTATGAGCTCTCTAGTACATGAAGAAGCCAGCCCTTCTTCATTACTACCATATCCATCATTACTGCCATACGCCTCATTACTACCACACCCATCTAGTGCAGCAGCTGCTTATGTCCCAAAGCCTTGCTTTTCACTAGCCCTTCACTGAAAGCAAAGATGACAATTTAAGTCATTGTGATATCATAGAATTGATAGAGCTCATCACTGCTTTCAAGCTCAAATACATAAGCAATCCCAGAATTCCTTGGACTGCTTCTGGGATCATGACTTATGCCAGTTAGGAACCAATCAGGGCAGGGAATACACCTGAGGCTGAACAGACACATCTGGCATAGGAATGGGGCACACAGTTTGCACTTGACGACTTACCAGCTGGGTAATCCTTGGAATGTGGCGTGACCTCTCAGAGTGCTCTAATTTGTAAAGGGAGGTGATCTTATTTCTTTTCTTTTCTTTTTTTTTTTTTTGAGATGGAGTCTTGCTCAGTCACCCAGGCTAGAGCGCAGTGGCGTGATCTCGGCTCATTGCAACCTCTGCTTCCTGGTTTCAAATGATTCTCCTGCCTCAGCCTCCCGAGTAGCTGGCATTACAGGTGCCCACCACCATGCCCGGCTAATTTTTGTATTTTTAGTAGAGACGGGGTTTCACCATCTTGGCCAGGCTGATATCGAATTCCTGACCTCTTGATCCACCCGCCTCAGCCTCCCAAAGTGCTGGGATTACAGGCATGAGCCACTGCACCCGGCTGGTGATCTTTTTTCTCTGTTTTACCAGATATGTCCTGCCAGGTGGCCATGAACTATGTGTCTCCGTTCCCACTGCTTTCAACCACAGTTCTTTGGAACTGGGAGGATGTCAGAACACAGTCGATAGGTGACTGGCCTTGAAGGGCTCTGTCCAGATAGAAAAACTGGTCCAATCAAGTCTCTCACTCAAGAATTGAAATGGGCAAGGCCTGGAAGCTCCTTAGGTTTGGGAAAGTTTTGGAGCCATGGATGAGCTGATGAAGAAGCAGAGGTGACTCATGCACAGGAAGAGGATGGGAGGGGAGCAAACTTGGAGGGGCAGAGACTGGGGAGACTGCGGAGACAGTGAGGCCTCCATCGAGGGTCAGCACCCACCCAGTGTGCATTTGGTTCTGCCCTGTTCCTTCACTTGGGTCCCTGAGAGACCCCTGCATCTTTATTTTAAAGCAGAAACAAACAAACAAAAGCAGAAACAATAACAACAAAAAACCCTCCCTTCCACTTGAACTGTTTGTGTGGTCTCTCTTCCTTAAAGCCGAAAGATTCTGGCCTGGGAACAAAAAGAACACGTCTCCTATATCATTGTATTAAATGAGGAAGCTTGTGGGAAAGCCCAGGTGTACTGAAACAAAATAAGCAACTCGTTTTCAGAGTCAGACATCTTAGGGTTCAAATTCTTGGTCTACCACTTATTATCAATCTGGCCCTGGGCAGCTTCACCTCCCTTTGCCTCAGTTTCCTCAACTGTAAAATGAAGATAATTCTATTTGGAATGCCCTTCTAGACCTGTCAGTTTTGATTTGTAAACTGCTAACCATTCTTCTAAGTCTAGTTCAAGTGATATCTCCACAAATCCTAAGTCCCCAGGGGAGTCCCCTCTCTTCCCTGCCTCAGCAGGATGATCCTATTCTGCCCACAGAACACTAATTTACACATCTGCAGTATCTTTGCTACTGCACCATGAGCCACAGCAGGGGCCATGCCAATCCCCCTTATCCCAATCAGGCATGGCAGAGAGCCTCTCTGAGATGAGGTGCTGGATAAATGTTTCTTGAATGAGTAAAGTGTATACCATCCATTGGAACCACATTCTGTCTTTCTTTTTAATTTGCAACTCCTTTTCTTAAAATTCTGGGGTTTTTTTGTTTGTTTGTTTGAGACAAGGTCTTGCTTTGTCACCCAGGCTGGAGTGAAGTGGCACTATCTTGGCTCACTGCAGCCTCTGCCTCCCAGGTTCAAGCAATTCTCCTGCTTCAGCCTCCAGAGTAGCTGGGATCACAGGTATGTGCCACCATGTCCAGCTAATTTTTTTGTAGTTTTAGTAGAGACAGGGTTTCACCATGTTGGCCAGGCTGGTCTCGAACTTCCAACCTCAGGTGATCCACCCTCCTCGGCCTCCCAAAGTGCTGGGATTATAGGCATGAGCCACCGCACCTGGCCTTTTTCTTAAACATTCTAAAGGAAGCGCAGACTGCTCAGGTGCTTATCATATACGATTATGTCTGAAATGTATCTCACATGATAGCAATTATAAAATTAATTTGCCCTTTGGCGTTAATGAATGTCATGTGAGTATTCTGAGTTTTCTTCAACTAAAACATTAGTGAATGCAGAATAAGACCTTGAGAAGGAAAAGAGATAAATGGAGAGTAGATGAAGCACAGTGTACTGAGTCTTCTAAGATGATGAAAATAATTTAGAAAAAGTAGGGCGGTTCATAGAAGAAATCAACAGCCCCCAATGGAGAAGGGAAAAATGCAGATGGTAAAAATTAACTATAGAATGGGGACAATATTCTGGCCCATTATTTCAACAATTGGGCCAAGAAAATCCATGATATGATTGGAAATATGAAGTCATTTCAGTCAATTAGAAACAACCTCTGGATTCCCTAATTTCATGAATGGCCCAACCCTAGTATCACCTGAGTGCCCAACGGTTATTGACTCTGCTCTGTGGGGGACAGGCCAACATCCTTGCATTTCAACATGCCAGACACACTTTGGGAGGCTAAGGCAGGCAGACTGCTTGAGGTCAGGAGTTTGAGACCATCCCAGGCAACATGGAGAAACCTCGTTTCTACAAAAAAATACAAAAAACTAGCCAGGTGTGGTGGTGTGTGCCTGTAGTCCCAGGTACCCAGGAGGCTGAGGTGGGAGGATCACCTGAGCCCAGGAGGTTGAGGCTGCAGTGAACCGTGATTGTGCCACCAAACTCCAGCCTGGGCAACGGAGTGAGACCCTGTCTCAAAAAACAAACAAAAGCGAAAACATGGCAGACAGCTGTTTATGAAGCAGAATTAGGATGTTCCCAACCATGTTTTCTATATTCTCATAGAGAGAAAATTATAAAAGTGTAATATTTATTTTAAGTTGGAGTGAAGTTTAAATTGGCTATAAATTCCTCAGTTGCATTTAACTAGGAATAAGATTAATATCTTTTAAGCGGGAGGAGGCAATACATTCCCAGAGGAAACTGAACCGATGGAAAGCTCCACAGGCATGAATTAGCTGAGTTTTTTTTTTTTTTTTTTTTTTTGAGATGGAGTCTCACTCTGTTGCCCAGGCTGGAGTGCAATGGCACAATCTTGGCTCACTGCAACCTCCTCCTCCTGGGCTCAAGTGATTCTCGTGCCTCAGCCTTCTCAGTAGCTGGTATTACAGGCACGCACCACCAGGCCTGGCTAATTTTTGTATTTTTAGTGGAGAAGGGGTTTAACGCTATTGGCCAGGCTGGTCTCGAACTTCTGACTTCAAGTGATCTGCCTGCCTCAGCATCCCAAAGTGCTGGGATTACAGGCGTGAGCCACCGTGCCGGGCCTGAGTTTGTTATTATAATAGTTATTTGATGTGGAGGTCTCACCCAAGTTCATAACTTTGAAATTAGGCTGCATCAGAGTTCACGTATAGAACCTGATTCTCACTTTTTTCCTCAATTTAATGATTTCATTCTTAATAGGTATAAATCAGCCGGGGCGGTGGCTCATGCCTGTAATCCCAGCACTTTGAGAGGCCAAGGTGGGTGGATCACAAGGTCAGGAATTCGAGACCAGCCTGGCCAAGATGGTGAAACCCTGTCTCTACTAAAAATACAAAAAATTAGCCAGGCATGGTGGCAGGCACCTGTAATCCCAGCTACTCGAGAGGCTGAGGCAGAGAATTGCTTGAACTCGGGAGGCAGAGGTTGTAGTGAGCCAAGATCATGCCACGGCACTCCAGCCTGGGTGATGAGCAAGACTCCATCTCAAAAAAAAAAGAAAAAGATATAAATCAGAACCACAATATTCTCTTTTTATTTAAACAGACACCACGATATCTAGAGATAAGATCCTTTCAGAACAAGGTTGACTCGTGGGAAAGGATCTTATTAAAACCATTCAGAAATTGGCAAATGACATCAGTGATATTCCAAGAAGGAAATTAGTTAAGAAAATTCAATAAACTCTGGCCAGGCACAGTAGCTCATGCCTGTAATCCCAGCACTTTGGGAGACTGAGGGGGGCCAGATCACGAGGTCAGGAGTTTGAGAACAGAACAGCCTGGCCAACATTGGGAAACCCCGTCTCTACTAAAGAAACAAAAAATTGGCCAGGCACGGTGGCTCACACCTGTAATCCCAGCACTTTGGGAGGCCAAGATGGGTGGATCACGAGGTCAGGAGTTCGAGACTAGCCTGGCCAACATGGTGAAACCCTGTCTCTGCTAAAAATACAAAAACTAGCTGGGTGTGGTGATGAGTACCTGTAATCCCAGCTGCTTGGGAGTCTGAGGCATGAGAATGGCTTGAACTCAGGAGGCAGAGGCTGCAGTAAGCCAAGATCACGCCATTGCACTCCAGCCTGGGTGACAGGGCGAGACTCCGCCCCCCCGCCAAAAAATAAATCAAATAAACTCACAGCCAAGCGCAGTGGCTTATGCCTGTAAGCCCAGCACTTTGGGAGGTCAAGTTGGTTGAATTACGTGAGGTCAGGAGTTTGAGACCAGCATGGCCAACACGGCGAAACCCCATCTCTACTAAAAGTACAAAAACTAGCTGGGCGTGGTGGTGTGTGCCTGTAGTCCCAGCTACTCGGGAGGCTGAGGCAGGAGAATTGCTTGCCTGGGAGGCAGAGGTCGCAGTGAGCCAAGATCACGCCATTGCACTCCAGCCTGGGTGACAGAGATTTCATCCCCCCCAAAAACACACACAAAAAAACAAAAAAAACAAAACTCAAATAACAGCACCCCCGTGGCCCCAGGCTCCTTTCCATCTCAATTGGAGCCCTGTCTTCCTGTGGGGGATGTACTGTGATTTATCCAGGGCTGCAGTGCAGGTGGTCAGTGGTTCGCATGGACGGTGAGAGCAGCTGTGGGTGGGACAGATGGTGGGCTAGGCTGGGGGCTGGACAGCCCCTGCAGCAGCTGCTGAGCAGAAGGAAGATTTTGTCTGGCAGACAAATCTGAAAGCCCAGGGCCAGAGCAAAAACAATTCCTAGGTTAGAAAAGAAAACAAATCAGCGGGGGGCTCCAGATGAGGTATGGACTCTGAGGGGGCCGCGGGGCCGGGAGCCCTGAATGAGAGTGCTGTCTCTAGGCCCCCAGCCTACGATTCCTAGAAGGGGAACAGCAGCAAAGCAAATCTCCAGTCTGGGAGGGCTGATGGTCCAGGCAGCCAGGCCCCGGCCAGGTATGAGGGTTGGACACCAGCTATGGCTCAGTCTCAGGCACAAGCAAATGCCCAGATAGCAAAGTTGGGGCACAAGATAGGGGCCCATGCTGAGCAGCAGGTGCTGAGCTGTTGTCTCAGGCTGGGGTCAGTCCCAGTGAGGCAGGAGAATAAGGCCTGGAGGCAAAGAACTAAGGCCAATTTGTGCTTATTTCCTAGAAATGAATCAAAAGGAAAACCCCACTTCTCCACACCCAATTAGGGAAAGGATCAGAAGCTACTCCCTTTGTACTGTGTCACAAATGAAAAATGGAACGTTCCTCTGATTTTTCCCTTCCTGCAACCAATCAGACTAGTTGGGCCAAGTCTTCATGTATAACTTTGTACTTCACTTCAGCCTCTGATTGGTCACCTCCTGCAACCAATCAGGCTGATTGTAGGCCAAGTCTTCATTTACATAGGGTGTAACCAAGTAACCAATGGGACATGTCTAGAGGGTGTTTACACCCCAGAAAACTCTGTAACCAGTTCTCTTGAGCCACTTGCTGCATCCTGATCCCACTCTGTGGAGTGTACTTTCCTTTCAATAAATCTCTGCTTTTATTGCTTCATTCTTTCATTGCATTGTGTGTTTTGTCCAATTTGCTCAAAACACCAAGAACCTGGATGACTCATAGTCAAGACCCTCCACCAGTAACACCAGAAAAACAAAGGGAGGAAAAGCTGAGCCTACAGGGAGGCATCAAGTAGTCCCCATGCCAGGAGGCAGATGGGGGACTGCTGGATGAGTAGCCAGTTGGCCTGGTGTGGCCCAGGGAGGGGCTGACGGCTGCCAGGAGCCTGAGCCGCAGAGTGCTGGTTCTGCCACCACATGACCTTAGCCAAATCTCTTGGAACCTCATTTTAATTTTCTGAAAAACAGTGATAATAACTTCAACTCCTCCTAACAGTCTGGGTTAAGGTGTCAGTTTCCTTCCCCAGCTCCTGGTGATCCATCTGGCCCTTGGGTGTAGAGAAGGTGCTAGCTGAGTGTCTGTCTTAAGCACTCTTCTCTCATTTTGTGCTTTCTCCTGAATTATCTCTACTCCTATAGCTACAGCTCTAGCTTGACCTCTGTTTCAGACCTCAATGTACTAATTAGGCATCCTTAGGTTAGTTAGGGTTGGCTTATCTGCTAAAACAGATATATGATAAAATAGATAATGGCCTGAACACAAAGGCAATGTATTTCCTGCTCAGCTAAAAAGCCCAAGGCTATGGGCAGAGGGACTCTCTTCCATGCAGTCACTTAGGGACCCAGGTTTATGGAAGCTCTGCCACCTTCAACATGAAGCTTCCTGTTTGCCCTGTCAATGCAGACTAACGGAAGGTGAAGGGGCATGAGGGAGCATTAGTAGAAGGGCTTTTTTTTTTTTTTTTCTGAGACGGAGTTTCACCCTGTTGCTCAGGCTGGAGTGCAATGGCACGATCTCAGCTCACTGCAACCTCCACCTCCTGGGTTCAAGCGATTCTCCTGCCTCAGCCTCCCGAGTAGCTGGGATTACAGGCGCTTGCCACCATGCCTGGCTAATTTTTTGGATCTTTAGTAGAGACAGGGTTTCACCATGTTGGCCAGGCTGCTCTCGAACTCCTGACCTCGTGATCTGCTTGCCTTGGCCTCCCAAAGTGCTGGGATTATAGGCATGAGTCACCGTGCCTGGCCAAGTAGAAGGTTCTATGGGCCAGGAATGGGAGTGTCACAAACTTTTGCTTATATTCCACTGTGGAGATCAGTCATATGGTCATACCTACCTGCAAGGAATACTGGAAAAGGTAGATAAGGGTGAGCCTAGAAAGTGCAAGACATGGGGCACAGTGAGTAGCTGGAAGTCTGCTGCATTTATCCTTGACTTTCAGCTGTCTTCAGGATATATCCCTTGGATGCCCTACAGGTAAACCTGTTCAAAGTCTAACTCATTAATGTCCCCAGTAAAGCCTGCTCCTCCTACTCTATTTCTTCCTCTGGTAATAGTATTATCACCCACCCAGATGCCCAGCTACAAACCTTTGAGTAAGCTTGACTTCTCCCTCTTCCCTAGATCCATCTTCCAGTAAGTTTTTGGTGGTGGCCATAAAGATGCACATTTCATGCCTCCTGCTGCAGGGATCATAATTGGTTGAAGGCCCCAGCTACTGCCCTTCAGGGTCCGTCTCTGTATCTGCTTGCAGACCACCCTTTCCAGACCATGACTGAGCACAAACACCCATTTCTGCCACATGCAGGAGTCTTTCCGAGGGAGACTTTGGCTCAAGGACTCCCCATCGCCTGGCAGAACTTTCTTAGGTCTGTATTGAGTCTGAGACTTTCCTTTGTCCTCCTTCCTTTTCTCTCCTTCACCAAGGTCAGACCTGCATTGCAGTCTGAAAGATCTTCCCACCTTCTCTGGTTCACCCTGTATATTTCTTTCTTTCTTTTTTTAAAAAACAGAGTTTCACTCTTGTCACCCAGGCTGGAGTGCAGTGGCGCGATCTTGGCTCACTACAACCTCTGCCTCCCAGGTTCAAAGGATTCTCCTGCCTCAGCCTCCCAAGTAGCTGGGACTACAGGCACCCGCCACCATGCCTGGCTAATTTTTGTATTTTTAGGAATTTTTGTATTTTATAATTTTGTATATTTAGTAGTAGATTTTGTATTTTGTATTTTTAGCCACCATGCCTGGCTAAATTTTATATTTTTGTGTTTTTAGCCACCATGCCTGGCTAATTCTTGTATTTTTAGGGTTTCATCATGTTGGCTATGCTGGTCTTGAACTCCTGACCTCAGGTGATCTGCCTACCTCAGCTGCCCAAAGTGCTGGGATTATAGGCATTAGCCACCATGCCCGGCCTCACCCTCTATATTTCATAGGTGTTTCCCTCAGTGAATCTCTTGCAAATAAACCTAACTCCTCATTGGTATCTGCTTCTCAGAGGATGTGAACTAAAGCAGTTTTCAAAGTTGTCCTCTTTTCTATTCCCACCGCCTTCTCCCTTGTGCGATTGCCATGGCTTCCTAATGATCCCCTGGCCTCCAATGTGGTTCTTCTCAAGCAGAGCATCTGTACTGCCACAGTGCTCCACTTCCAAAGTAGATATTAACACTCAGCTGATCAAAAGACTTCCATTGCTTCCACCTGCCATCTATGGACCACACCTGAGTTGCTTGGAACATCATTCAATTTAACCTTCACAATCTCTCCTTGGCCTTGACTCCACCTAGTGTCCTTCCCTCTCCCACACTTGGACAACTAGCTTTCCCTGAAGGTACTTTGTGCTACTCCCTCTACCTGAAATGCTCCCATTGATTTCTCATTCTATCAAAATCCTATTCATATTCATTCATTAGAGCTCAGCTTAAAACCTCCTTCATCCTCAAAGACCTTTTTCCTCCCTCTTGTGGGCTCTCACAGCACTTTGCACATACTCTGTACCTTGTATATCTCTATTTAAGAGCATGTCTATCTCCTCCATTAGCTGGGGATATTTGAAGGCAAGGAAGGTGTTTCATTCATTTGTGCATTCATTTCAGCAATCCACTGTGGAGTACCTACTGTGCCCTGCTTCTTGTCCTGGGTGCTGGAAGTAGATCAATAAAACAGATAAAAATTCCTACTCCTGTTGGCTTCTTTCTAGTGTATACCCAATGTTGAGTTGTGCTCTTGCATAGAGCAAGTGTCTCACAGTTTGCTAAATAACTGAAAAGGAGATCATCATTTTAAATTCCCTTACTGATCATATACAGAGCTCATGGCAATGCTGAAACTCACAACTATATTAGGAAGATAAAATGGAATTATAGCTGGAATGTCTGCAGAAATTGCAGAAGAACCATATAAACAGAAGTGAATTTAGTCTAAATTAAGGCCAGGAACACTTGAGGCAAAAGGTGGGAAGGTTGATAGAACACCTAAATTAAAGGGAACAGCCTCTGTGTTTGAGGCTAACAAGAATCCACACGCCAGCAAAGAGAACAGACGTGTCTAGGAGTCATTTCCCGAAATAACCCCTCCTCCAGTTGGCTTTGAGTGAAAAGCTCTAATGAGACCAGTGCCTCCCAAATGTCGCTGGACAGTAGCCAACTACAGCACAGTCATGGCTTCAGACACATGGACTCAGGGCTGGAGGCACAGGGTGAAATCTCTGCAGAGACAGCCCTTCATTCTCTTCTTCTGGGATACTTCCAAAGCCAGTGGATCACTCCTATGTAAAGCAGACTGCTCTATTCTGTTGCTCAGCAGCCCTAATTACATTTACTCCTCTTCTACTACCTCTTGGTTTTCACCCATCCTTCCCATTGAAAAAGGTCTTTTTACTTTGCAGCAAAATGCCATCACTCGATTTCCGTAAAGATGCATACGTTATAGAAATTCAAACAACAATATGAATTTAAACTCACCTTAAATGTTACCAGCCAGAAATAACCTTTATGAATATTTAGCAAAGATTCTTATAAAAATCTCTTGGCCAGGCACAGTGACTCACACCTGTAATCCCAGCATTTTGGGAGGCCGAGGCGGGCGGATCATGAGGTCAGGAGTGCGAGACCAGCCTGGCCAACATAGTGAAACCCCATCTCTACTAAAAATAAAAAAATTAGTCTGGCATTGTGGCCGGCACCTGTAATCCCAGCTATTCAGGAGGCTGAGGTGGGAGAATCACTTGAATGTGGGAGGAGGAGGTTGCAGGGAACACAGACCACACCATTGCACTCCACCCTGGGTGAAAGAATTTTAATTATTATTAAAATAAGTAAATAAATAAATAAAAATAAAAATATCTCAATGTGGGCCGGGCACGGTGGCTCACACCTGTAATCCCAGCACTTTGGAAGGCCAAGGCAGGTGGACCACCTTAGGTCAGGAGTTCAAGACCAGCCTGGCTAACATGGTGAAACCCTACCTCTACTAAAAACACAAAAATTAGCTGGGTGTGGTGGCAGACAACTGTAATCTCAGCTACTTGGGAGGCTGAGGCAGGAGAACTGCTTGAACCTGGGAGGTAGAGGTTTTAGTAAGCCAAGATCACGCTATTCCACTCCAGACTGGGCAACAAGAGCAAAATTCTGTCTAAAAAAAAAAACCAAAACCAAAATCAAAAACAAAATGACAACAACAAAAAAACTCAATGCATACCTACACATAGAAAAAAATAATTATACCAAAATGAGATATCACAATTCTACTTTTAAATTTTAATTTTAACCTTATTATCAAAAAACCTTTATGGAAGTACAGCATACATACATACTACCAGCTTGGGAACAAATTGAAATTGCAAATGCAATAATTATCAGAAAATGTCTTTCTTTGCTTGTGCGTGATGTGGTGGCAGCAGGTGCGGCTTTGAGATGCAGAATGATGCTGGTGAGTTCGTGGACCTGTACGTGCCGTGGAAATGGTCCGATAGCAACTGCATCATTGATGCCAAGGACCACGAATCCATCCAGAAGAATGGGACCAAGGTTGATAATGTCGCAAGCAGGTTTTTTTTTTTTTTTTTTGAAACAGTTTCGCTCTCGTTGCCCAGGCTGGAGGGGAATGGTGGGATCTTGGCTCACCACAACCTCCACCTCTGGGTTCAAGTGATTCTCCTGCCTCAACCTCCCAAGTAGCTGGGATTACAGGCACATGCCATGACGCCCAGCTAATTTTGTATTTTTAGTAGAGACAGGGTTTCTCCATGTTGGTCAGGCTTGTCTCGAACTCCTGACCTCAGGTGATCTGCCCGCCTCAGCTTTCCAAAGTGCTGGGATAGCAGGCATGAGCCACCGCAACTGGCCTGATCGCAGGCAGGTTTAACAGCCAGTTTAAAATGTATGCTACCTGCGGGGCCATTCGCAGGATGGGTGAGTCACATGACTCCATTTTCCAATTGGCCAATGCCAACAGATTGTATTAAAGAACTTTTGACTGGAGAGAATCATGGATGTCAAATATTTGTCATAAATAAATAGTAAGAACCTAAGAAAGGCCGGGTGCAGTGGCTCATGCCTGCTATCCCAGCACTTTGGAAGGCCGAGGAAGGCAGATCACCTGAAGTCAGGAGTTCAAGACCAGCCTGGCCAACATGGAGAAACCCTGTCTCTACTAAAAATACAAAATTAGCTGGGTGTGGTGGTGGGTGCCTGTAATCCCAGCTACTCAGGAGGCTGAGGCAGGAGAATTGCTTGAACCTGGGAAGCGGAGGTTGCAGTGAGCCAAGATCATGCCATTGCACTCCAGCCTGGCAAAAGAGACAGATTCTGTCACAAAACAAAACAAAACAAAAAACTAAAAAAAAAAAAAAAATTACTGCAAAATAAATACATCTATTTCTGCTAGAAACAGAAGTCTCACAGGCATTGCTTTTTCTATAAAATAGTTAATGAAATTTTGGAGCACCTTACATGAATTTGTATTAAAACATACTTAGGATGTGGTGCCCATTGTCCAGCGTGTGGTGCCACTTTTTTTGTGAGAAGGAGATTTCTCTGAATTCTTTAATTCTGAAGCAATATGTGTTCCTAAACAGATAATATGGAATATTATTGTGAATTATGTCCTTAATGATAAATTTAAGGGCATAGGAGAAATATTATCTGTATAGTTGACGTTGGTAAAAAGACTAGAGCACAACTTTCAACTTACTAACAACGTTTCTGAGGCAGTTAAGAATTTTGATTATCTTAATTCATGAAACATAAAACTTAAATTAACCTGAAAATTCAATGTACAGTGTTTGCCCTTGTCTGTTGTTCAAATCTCACTTTTTAAAGCCAGGCTCCTATCAGAAACAGAATAAAGTTAAAGCTCTTAATTAGAACCAGAGATGAAGACATGTTGGCTGCTAATTGGAGGAAAAACTATGTCCTTAAATCCAGAGAGGTTGACAGTCAAGATGAAAAGCTAGATTATTATACTCATTAGGCTGAAAAAAATAATCACCTCAGTGGCCCAAAGACAAGGTCTGAATTTAACATGAGAGGAAACTGGATCTATGCATCTGCTGTGTTGAGACCTCATAGTTTTATACCATAGAAATGGGCACGGTTGGTTTTCTGGAAGAGTTGCAAGTATAAGCTATTTGTATTTGTTCCTCTGCCTAGAATTGTGGGTGTCCACTGAGGCAGTCCATATTTGATGGATGACTGAGTCCTGATTTCTGAGAGTCAGCTGACTCTAGTGTTACTGATCTTATGGAAAAGTCAATCCAGTGAGAAGGTTTTGTGGGTTTCAAATACACATAGATCATAATCTAAATATATCCCAGTTTTTGTTTTATTTTACTTTTCAGCCAATCCTGAGGCATAAGAAACATTTTAATTCACTGCACATTCCAAAAGCCTTGCAGAAAGCCTTGCCATTTAAGAACAAGCCCAAGACCCAAGCAAACGCAGGCAAGGTGCTGAAGGACAGGCAGAGACCAACCATCATAAGCAAGCCTCATGAAAGGAAGGTCCTGTGGCCAATTGACTGCCATTTAGAGAGGAAAATAACACTCTTGGCAGCACACTTTGCATTTCTACTGTAACTCAGTTTTGATCAGGAGGGGATGAGACCAGAGTTATTCACGGCACTAGAACTATAGGTTAGAGGCAGGGCTGGAGTCTATTTCCAGTCCTTTGCTTGGCCGTGTTCTGCCCTGTGCATTTTAATGTGGAGTCATAGGCATGGCTGGGGAGCCCTTCCTCCTGGTTAGTGGCACACAGAGCCCATAGAATGATGAACAGAGGTGGTTTTGCGGTAAAGGTAAATGTGCTCACACCTGTATCTCCATGCCAACAATGATTTCCTAGCTCGGGATGCATTTTCAAGGCGTTAACATTCATTTGGATCCTGGATTGCCTCTATCTTGGATTCCATCAGCTGACATGCCTGGATGGGAGTGTGCGGTGTCTGTGAGAGTATTCTGATGCTCGCCAGGTTTTGTCCCTGTCAGATCCTTGCACTGCTGGATGCTCTGAGTACAGTGTGCAGTCAGAGGGTGCAGAAGGCCAAGAAGCAGCAGCACCTGCAGAATAAAGAGCATTTTAAAGCACTCCTCAAGCAGAAGGAGAAGCTGAAGCAGCAAGAGGACCTCAGAAGAAGCTCTTCTGAATTCAGGGTCAGAGGGAAAGAAGAAGCCAGAAATCCAGTCTGAAGAGGGCTGAGGAGCAATTGCAGTGAGCCTTTGGAATGGGAAGGCTGGCCATAGATCTGCAGAAATGGATGATTTCAAACACCACGGTGCTTGTGAATAACAAGTCAGGGGGCGAGAGCCCAAGAGATGTTCCTGTTGAACACATCATACAGACTGTGCCTTTGAGAGGAGAAATGAAGCCTGCAATTGCAGGACCCGGGTTCATTTTCAGCATCTGGAGCTGTCAAGATTTAAAGTGATGTAAACTATGGTTATGTGGATTCTCTTACTTTTTTCTGCCTGCCTCAGTTTAATTATTTTGTACTATAAAAATATAATTAAAACATTTTCCTGTTAGTTTTGGCTTAGTGGGTTTCATTAGGGGTGAATGTTAGTGGATTGTGGATAATTGTTTATCCTAGAAAAATACAATAAAATCATCACCTCAAAGCATATATACTTGGGAAGCTGAAAACTACAAAGTATTCTCAAGTCAATACATCACAGAAGGCATGATACCTATATAAAGAAACAACAATGAAAATCCCACAGGCAACACTTGTGCGATGCTGCTGAGGGACTACCAGAGAAAGTGGGACTCTAGGCTGTGCCTTCAGTGTGCACATATGAGAAATGAAGATGGAATGGATGTGTCACATTCTAATGCAATCTAAGAAAAGAGAAGAAAGCAACCATGTACATACAGAAAGCAAAATGAAGGAAATGATCCAATTTAAAGATAATTTGATGACTATAGGCCAGTTTTGCTTATCAACATTACAAACAATATTGAAAATAAATGTCAAAGCAAATGAAACCAAATAGATATTTGACACTGGGAGATACAAAATGAGAGCAGGCACATGGAACAATTGGAACCCTCCTAGCCCACTGCTAGGACTATAAATCAGAAAGGGCCATTATAAACACTTCTTAGCCAATGTTCTTGCATTCATGAATGGGAAGGATAAAGCTGGAGTTATCATACTACTTGACTTCAAAATGTACTAGGAAGCTGCAGTAACCAAATCTGCATGACCATGTCCTGAAAACAGACAAATAGATCAATGAAAGGGAATAGAGGACCCAGATATACATGCACAGATTTACAGCTAACTCATCTTTGACAAAGACACCAAGAAAATACATACAATGGGGAAACGTCATGCACAAGAAGGAGACTAGACTCCTATCTCTCCTCATACATGAAAATAAAATCAAATGGATTAAACACTTATGCTGAAGACCAGAAACCATGAAACTACTAGAATAAAAACATTGTGGAAACACTCCAAGACACTGGTCTAGGCAAAAGTTTTTGGTTTAAGACTTCAAAATCACAGGCGACCAAAGCAAAAACAAACAAATGAAATTCTGTCATCCTAAAAAGCTTTCAGCACAGCAAAAGAAACAACAAAGAAAGGAGACGACACACAGGAGAAACAATATTTTCAAACTCCCCACCCCTGAAGGGATTCATAACCAGAATATATAATAAGCTCAAACAACTCAATACCAAAAAACCTCCAGAAAACCAAAAAGAATCTGATTTAAAAATGAACAGAAGATCTGAATAAATATTTTTTGAGAGAAGACACATGGAACTACTGGAACTCTCTTAGCCCCTGCTAGAACTAGAATTCAGAACGGCCACTATGAACACCTCTCAGGCAATGTTCCTACATTCATGAATGAGAAAATACATCTAAACCAGAGAAGGCCTCAAGATAACCTCCAAGGTTCTGACAACCCTCACCGCCTCTGGCTCTTTTACCGGCTCCCTGGCCAGCAGCCTAGGCCTGGACCCCTCCCTCAGGGCCACAGGAGGTGAGAACCTTGATAGTGCACCCAACCTGCTCCCCGCCATGGGCAGCACATCCACAGGTAGCACCCCTAACCAGTCGCCCCACCCCCCGTGCCCTGGATAGCACCCCCAACCCACTCTATGCTGCAGGCATCAGGTGCCCCCAAGCGACCCCCCACCACGGGCAGTGCAGCCTCTGATAGTGCACCTACCCCACCACCTTTCTACCACCCTGGCCATGCTGCAGTCTCCGTCACAGCCAGCAACTGCAGTGAGGCGAGCCACGATGCCACAGGCTACAGCCTCCAGGGTGCGGCAGACGGTTCCTCCTCTTCCTCCTCTAAGCCAGGCACAGAGTAGCTGGGCTACAGCTGCAGAAGAGCCTGGAATGGTGGGAAGCCCCCTTAGCATCCTTCACATTCTGAAAATATGCAAATGAGGTTCCTGGACTACATGTTCTGATTGGGTGAGACAAAAACCTCTAGGCCTATGCCCCATGGTGGGGGACAGGTTAGGGATGCTACTGGGGGCTATACTGCCTGTGGCAGAGTGGGGGTGGGGGTGGGGGTTGGTTGGGGGGTGCTATTGGGGGCCAGACTGCCCCTGGCGGGGGGCTGGTTGGGGATACTATCTGGGGTTGCAGTACCCACAGCAGCTCATCGGGGAGTGGATTGGGTGCGATAACTTGGGCACAACTGCCCGAGGCAGATGTTGGGCTGGGGGCACTATTGGGGGCTATGAGGATTAAGGGCACTATCAGGGACTGCACTGCCAGTGGCGGGTGGCAGAGGCAGCAGTGACAGCAGTGGCCTCCAAGGCAGGGGCTGTTCTCCTCTCCCCAGACTCCAAACTCTAGAGGCTGACCTCGTTCTGCTGCTGCTGCTCGAAGCCAGTGGGGTGCATAGCATTTCCATGGGAATCCTGAGCATGGCAGGGCCCCCACACCTGCTGTGGGTCCAGGGCCTGTGCCCTCTTCCTCTGTGTTGCAGAGACAGCCTGGGATCTCTGGGCATGGAGTTGGGGGAATCACAAGGGGACAGGGCCCTGTGGGTGGAGGCATCAGGAATGGCAACCACACTTCGGTTTGGGGGTGGCTGGGTCTGAGTTTCTGCTGCTCCTGCTCCCCAAGGAGTGCAGCCTCAGTGGGCCCAGTGGTTCCTGTGGCTTGGGGAGCTGGGCACTATGGTGTCTCCAATCCCCACCCCAGGCCCCAGTGCCTGGCCAGCTTGGGCCAAAAGGAGAGGCTGGACTTCGGAGGGTGGGTGTGAGTGCCTTCGCTGAAACTGGCCCCTGCCACCCAGTGGACAGCATGACAAGGTGATGCTGTAACGCTACCACTTCCTGCAACCTGGTCTAGGTTTTTCTGGCTTTGCCCACACTGCTGCTTCCTACCAGGAGAAGGAGGATCCACCTGCTGGATATTGGAGGCTGGAGGCTGGAGCCTGTGGTCCTGCAGCTTGCCTCGCTGTGAGTTGGTGGTGGTGACAGAGACTGTAGCATGCCAGAGTGGTAGGAGGTGGCCAGCTGCAGCCAGGGCAGGGGCAGGGCTGTGGCAGTAGCCATGTGGTAGGAGCCTTGTAGGGAGGGCCGGTGCATTGAGGGTGACAGCAGTGGTGGTTGTATTGGCATCAGTGCCAGTGGTGGCAGCAGCAGCAAGTCTGGGGGCTGGGAAGGGGGAGTAGGAGCTTCAGGGTTCGGCTGGCCTGGCATAGGTAGGAAGCTGTGGTTGCTGCACCATGGGCCTCATTGGAGGTGCAGCCAGGGCAAGGAGGAGTCCTCCCCCTTCTCCTGGAGAATCTGGAGGGTGCCCTCCTCCTGCTGGTGCCTGAACCAGGCATGAGTGGAGCATTATCTCACTCTTAGCAAAATTTAAGGGGTGACAATTTAGGGGGTGTATCTTTTTTATTGTTTTTTGTTGATGGTCTTGGACTTTTTCAAATTTCATGAATCAGGAAGGGGAAAAAAGGTATGGCACCTGAGCCAGCCATGAGTGTAGCATTATCTCACTCTTAATGAAATTTAAGGGGTGTCTATCTTTTTGCTTGTTTTTTTGTTGATGGTCTTGGACTTTTTCAAATTTCATGAATCAGGAAGGGGAAAAAAGGTATCTTATAGGCCATTTGATTCCCACACCTGTTTTTCCTACTTTCTTCCAGTCTGTTTTTTCTTTTTCTCATCACCATCATCTAGTTCCTCTTCATTCGCTTATGCTCCTGCTTCTATTTCTTGTTTCTATACTTTCTCCTCCTCCTCCTCGTCTTTTGTTTTCTTTTTCCCAAGCAATGACCTTAACAAGCAACAAACCAAAACTGAGTTAAAAATAAACTACTCACCAGTGTGTTGTATTTTTAAAATATTGGTCCATTACCATGTTTTAGAGATGAGGAAAAAAATTAGTTGCATAATTATTTAGTTCCTTGAATAGCTATGCTTTCCTGTTAATGCATTGTAAGTTGTTATTCAAGGAATCAAAAAATGAAGCATCAAATAAAATATTGGTAGCAAACAGCCATTTCATCTCTCTCACATATTAGTCTGGAGATATGCAAGAGGCAGGGTGGGTAATAAGTTCCACTTTATGAGATCATTGAGTGAACCATATACCCTTCATTTTATTTCTCTGCCACCATTTTCAAGAGTATTGCCATCTGCATGAGCAAATCTGGTTCATCACCACATCTTTGCAACAAGAAAAGGAAGCGGAGGATTATGTATATAATTGTTTTAAGGCCAAGGTTAATAACCAAAAACAAGGCTTTAGTAACTGTTGTCTTTAAGAACCTGCAGTGTTGGGCCCTCTTTTATTCCTAGTGTTACGTATTATTACCTTCGGTATGAACTGTTTTTTTAAGGGATTTCTCTAGAAGTTTATGCATTTTATTGACTACTTTAAAGAAACAAGTAATCTATATTGTATCATTTCTTTCAAGACTACAGAAATTTATAAGGCCGGTAATTTTGACACTTTTAAATTATTTTAAGGTTATGACATGTAAATACTGTTGATATATGTACAAATATGCATAAGTATCAATAGATAGCTTATTTTATAGAGATAGTGTCTAAATTTTTGTCCAGAGTAGATTGGTTGCAGTTTCTTAGGTGTGTTTCTCAATACATTGCCTCAATGTTTTAAAGCATATAGAAATTTGAATACTGCTAAACCTCATTTAGTCCTTTGTTTATAGGTTGTTTGATATTACTAAAGACATCACAGCCCCTCTTGAGATTCAGAAATAATAAAACTTGAGATATATAGAGTTAGAATCCAACAAATTCAGAGGAAAATTGTTCAATTACGTAGCTGTAGAGCAGGAATGAAATCCAGGTTCTAAGCTCTAAGGGGGCCGTGAGCTACCATACAGGTGCCTCGGTGACTGGGCATAGAGTCAGCAGAATTACGGGATGGTTAAGAGTGAGCTGTGGAGCCTAACTCTATGTGAACATGAATTTTTAAACTGTATGGTGCCTCAGTTTATCCATCTTTACAATGGGGACAGTACTAAGTGTTTCTTTTTCTTCCCAGTTGACTGAATTATTTCCGTAGTAGGTCTTGTTGCCAATCTTTTTGCCCACATGAGAGGACCTAAGGTAATTTCTGACAGCCTGGGATGCTTTGGGAAAAACAGAAGGTGCCACAGACCCCATTTTGGGAGAAACCTCTGTTTTTCTCATGGAACCCCAAGAGCTGTAAACAGACAGGTCCCTCTCAAAATCTAAGGCTCTGCTCTGTTTTGCCTTGCTTTACCTGACCTTTTTGATTTGGGTGGGCATCAGAAATTAGTAGGGGAGAGACAGCTAAAGAAAGTTGTGGATGTGGGCTGGGTGCAGTGGCTCATGCCTGTAGTCCCAGCACTTTGGGAGGCCAAGGCAGGTGGATCACCTGAGGTCAGGAGTTCGAGACGAGCCTGGCCAACATGGCAAAACCCCATCTCTACTAAAAATACAAAAATTAGCTGGGCAAGGTGGTGGTTGGAAGAAGGAGAAAGAGAGAGGGAGGGGAGGTGGGGAGGGGAACAAACAGTTTTCCCAGATAGCTATACCCATTTACCCTGTTATCAACAATGTATGAGAGCTCCAGGGATCTCCATTGTCTATATTTGATATTTTCAGGTTTTTTCCCCCTTCATTTTGGCTATTCTGAGTGTGATGCCATAGCTTCTAGTGGTTTTAATTTGCATTTTTCTGAAGACTAATGAGGTTGAGCACCTTTCCATGTATTTATTGGGCAGCTGAGATACTATCTGTTTTGTGAAGTGCCTGTTCAAGTCTTTCACCCAATTTATTTCTACTGGGTAGGTTCACCTTTTTCTCATTGGTTTGTTAGTATTATGTTGCAAATACCTTTCACATCCTATTGGCCTCCCCAGCACTCCTTTAATGTTGTTTCTTGATGCCAGCTTCTTATTTTATGCTTAGTGCCTACATCCTATTTTAAACAATAAATGTTGAAGATAATTGTGCTTGAATTTAACAACCCCCCCCCAAAATGAAGTAAAATGGTAGAAACTGCTGAATTTCAGAAAAATATTTCCTCATCACAAAATATACTAGCGGTCCCAGGTACTTGGGAGGGTGAGGCATGAAGATCGCTTGAGCTCAGTAGTTCATGACCGGCCCGGGAAACATGGCAAGACCTTGTGTCTCCAAAAAAAAAAAAAAAAAAAAAAAATTAACCGAGCATGATGGCATGTACCTGTAGTCCCAGCTACTTGGGAGGCTGAGGCGGGATTGCTTGAGCCCAGAAGGTTGTGAGGCTGTAGTGAGCTATGATTGCACTGCTGCACTCCAGCCTTGGCGACAGAATGAGACCCCATGTCAAAACAACAAAAACAAGAAAAAAGAAAAAAAATATTAGTTTCTAAAATAACCTGCTAAAATTAAGGAAAGGGTTTATGAAAAATATTAATAAGTAGTAATGATTTTATGTGTTTCAATTACAGGCAGTATCTACTAACTCCTTGTTATGAATAAGGAAATTGACATTCTTACATTTCCTCTTCCCTCCTCTCCTCAGCCCCCTGAGTTTGCTAGCTTTCTCCTGTCAAGATTTACATTTTATTCTGAAACCATAATTTCTTCCATAGTGTAGCTTTAACTATTTGCTTACATGGAGTCATCTCTCTTTCCAGTCTTTTCCCCATGGCTTCTCCCTCACTTCATGTCTTATTTTGCTTCATCTCTTAGTTGGCCAGACTTCATTTTCAGCTACTTTTTTTCTTTTAGAGACAGGGTTTCTCTCTGTCACCGAGGCTGGAGTGCAATGGTGCAATCATAGCTCACTGCAGCTTTGAACTCCTGGACTCAAGGATCCTCCCACCTCAGCCTCCCAGTAAGCTCGACCACAGGCATGTGCCACCATGCCCAGCTAATTTTGTATTTTTACTTTTTGTAGAGACAGGATCTCACTATGTTCAACTACATTTTTAAAGGGCCCTGGGTGCTGTGTCCCTCTGTCTGATCTTGAAGAATGTTTGTCTATCACCGTTATACTCGAAGGACAGCTTGGCAAAGTGCAAAGTTCTCAGACCAGGCTCACAGGCAAGTTCTTCCTGGTATACTAACAGCACCACTTTCTGAATCGAATCCGCAGAGGCAGAGGGCAAACCCTTAGCAGAGATGGAAACTATGGCAACTGGCCAGGTGCGGTGGCTCATGCTTGTAATCCCAGCACTTTGGGAGGCTGAGGCAAGTGGATGGTCTGAGGTCAGGAGTTGGAGACCAGCCTGGCCAACATAGTGAAACCCCGTCTCTACTAAAAGTACAAAAATTAGCTGGGTGTGGTAGCAGGCGCCTGTAATCCCAGCTACTTGGGAGGCTGAGGCAGGAGAATCTCTTGAACCCAGGAGGCGGAGGTTGCAGTGAGCTGAGATCCCACCATTGCACTCCAGCCTGGGCAATAAGAGTGAAACTCTGTCTCAAAAAATAAGAAAAAAGCAAAAGACAAAGAAAAAAAGAAACCGTGGCAACCTCAGTTGTAGCCCAGGCCTCCTTCCTTCCTTTGCCTTTCTCGTCCTGCCACTCTGCTGAGGGTGGGTCTGTTTGACAACTGTGGAGCAGAACAACTCCAGGCGGCCCCGGCCCTAAAGCACACTCCTGTCCCCACCCCAGGGTGTGTCTGGGAGGGCCCAGAGAGCTGTTGTGAGGTTCCACCTCGAAATGGACTGTTTGGTTCCTGTAAGAACAGAGGGAGCACGTGGATCAGTGAGAGCACCATAGCCAGTGAGGAAGACTAGATCTATGCACCCGCGCTGTCCACACGTTCATTCCTTCAACAGACACCGGCATGCAAGGTGGCTCCTTGTAACATCCATCAGTCTTGCTCTGTGTGTGAAGCGCTCATGAGAAGCCTTTCCCAACCAGCTGGTAGGACAAGAGCCAGAGGGCCCCTGTGCCCTTCCCTCTTCCAGCCCCATACCCATGCGCTGGGAGAAGCCCTTGCTTTTTGCTGACTACCACGTCCACACCCTGGAAGGTGTGAGTGAGCCTGGGAGCCGGGCTCTCCGTTAGCACCTCCATCACCCTTTAAAGGGCAGCCTTTCCCAGTGCCCGCCTCCACTGTCACAACGGAAGTGCTCTCAGGCCCTCCAACTCAGTAAGTAATTTTGCAGAGTGCCCTGTAATTGTCCTGAATGCAGAAGCCAGATGTACCTGACAAGTGCAGACACATTCAGTGCACCCATCTGCGGGGCGGGCTGCTCAGTGTTGTTGAGCAAACTTTTTCCTAGTTCAGCACTGCCAGGTAGAAGGGCTGGCTTTGCCTGCACCCTGAGATGACTGAGGCAGAGCAGACACAGGGAAGCTGGCAAAGCACCTCGGGGCAGCCACCACAGGCTGGGAAACTTGCTGAAGGAGGGGTTGTGCACTGCCAGGGACAAGAAGTAGGTTTTTGTCTCCCTGAAATAAGGAGGCAAGCCAGATACTATCCACACAAGTGCTTTGCAAACTGACTCAGCATGCCAGATAGCACAGTGTGAATTTTGAAAAGTTTAGTCCTTCTGTGAGCTCTGCCACGCCCAGCATCAGAGGCTGCTCTGAGAATACGCTCTCAGACAATCTTCTTGAGAGAGGGTAATGGGTTTCTCTTTGGCGTCTGTCTATCCATCTAGCCATCATCTATGTCTAGATACGGCACCACTTTTGAAGGTAGACAAAGCCATCCTGGTGTGAGATTTGAATTTGAGAAAAAAATGTATTTTTTTTTCCGAAGCTGGAATGTCATGTCTGAGGTTTTCCACATTTGCCCCACACCTCACTAAATAACAACTTCTCCATGTTCAGAGGTTTGACACCCGATGGGCAGATGGGCCCTTGCTCCCTTTGTTTGGCTGGAGCCCTCTCATCAGCACCTCCTCCTGTCTCCTCCTGTGGGAGTTTACTTGGCATCACCTCCTCTGGGCACCTTTCCCTGCCTCCCAGGTAGAACTGGAAGCTCCTCCCCTCACTTTTGTCACCAGCCAGCCAGGAGTCAGTGGGTGCTCCCCACCCTTCAGACCTGGATAGGACCCATTCAGATCCCACCACCCAGCTTCTCAGACTGGAGTCAGTGTCCTGCCCGACGTTTCTCTGAATCTTGGGGGCAGGGGGCTTGTGTTCTCAAGGTCGCCTTTGTGCCAATTTTCAGCCTTGGTCAAGCTGTTCTTTGTCCCTATCCGTGACTTTTCCTTGACCTCTGCCCTGGCATGTACCCAACAGAGCCCCTTCTCTTTGATCACTGCTTCCATGGTAACAGTGAACAGAATTCTGCTGGGAGCCACAGAATGTTTACTGAAGCTGTATGGGTCGCCAGAGGTACTTTTAAAAGCAAAGCACTTAAAAATCCATATCACTCTTGAAAGTGGTCCTCCAGCCAGGCTTTCTCACAGCTGGGCCACCTGTGCACGTCCTGCCTTCTCTTCCCCTCTCTTTCAGTAACTCCAACCACCAATCCCTGTCTCTGACAACAGCTGTGCCCTCGTGAACCAAATTGTCGTGCTCCAGAAGTTTATCCAGATCTTTCCTAAATAAAGCCAAGGCCTTCCTGAGGAAGAACTCTGAGGTCAACTGTTGAGATGATACAGTTTTTTGTTTGTTTCTGTGTCTTACTCTAAACCAGGCTGGACTCCCGCTGAAGGCAGAGACCTCAACTTTGGATTTCTGTATCCCCGGTTCCTGGTAAGGGGATTTGTAGGCGCTCAAGAAGTCCAGCTGTCGCAAGAGTGAATGCCTGTGACCAGAGGGGACTGAAATGGGCATCAGGCAGTGCACCCGTGGTGGCTCCCGCAGCAGGGGGGTCGCACCCCACCGCCTGTTGCTAGGAGATGATGGGCTTCGGAAGGATGTGCAGTGTTGCATAGCAACACCTCCCCACTGTTCCATCACTCAGAATGGACAGCACCAAGCAATTCTTACAGCAAGAGTTTTTTGACCTATTTCAGCTAAAAGCAGGAAAGATCTTTCTGTCTCAGCTCAGATTATATAATTTTTTAAAGGATCACAAGAGCAAAAAATACGGAGGATCCCCAATATTCACACCCAAGAACTACTTTGTTGTTAGCAGGTTAACCTGTGTATCAGAGGGACATTAGGAGGATTGCCAAGAGTTCACAGCCTGCCTTCTGCTCCCTGCAGGGACCCTTCGCTTAGCTGTAGCTGGCTACCCACTGGGCCTGGGGTGCTCCCCACACCCCTCCTGCATGCTGGCTTGGCCCTACCAGGGATCGCAAAGCCCAGCTGGTCACCAAAGACAGAGTTGCTCTCTCAATGTGGCTGATGTTTTTCTAACCAGCTTAGCCCAGAAAGAACATTTGGATTCATTGCCCATCTGTAATGCAGAGAACCTTTGTATATACTTAAGTTCCTTGAAATATTTGCACTGAAAAAGGCACACATGAATTTAAGAGTCATAAATGGGACCAATTTCCCTGAACTGTGCCCAAGAATGTGCAGTGCATGCTCTGTGACTGTTTTTCCTTTCCTTCTGGTAACTACTAGCTTCCACATGGGAGAAGGTTCGCAGGCGGTGGGGTGTCCAGGCTGCACGAGTGGCTGAAGAAGAGCTCCCTGCTAGTCTCTGTGGGTACAGAGAAGGCCCTATGTGGCCGTAGAGCCCTTGGAAGCTCAGCCTGCTGAGAGCGGTGCTCACCAGGTTCCACTGAAGCTGAACAGCACTGGAGCTAGGAATGCAGGAAGGAGGCGCTGCCCACACCCTGAGCTCTCAGTCTGGCTGGGAAGCCGGCAGTAGCTGTGTCCTATAAAGGCACCTCGAACACTGGACAACACTGTAGCTCATGCTTGAATGAAGGTTCTCTAACAAGTGTGTTTCCTCCGGAAGGCACATCACAGCCTTCCTGCACTTACGAACAATTAGCTCTTCAGCACTCTGCCTGGGGACCACACTAAACAGCAAAATCACCACCCAAAAGCACAAAATGCAAAAAATGTGGCACTAAATAGACCAAGAAAAGACCCTGTGTGCAGAGAACAACAGGCAGAGCCTTGCCTTGTTTGACCGTGGCAGGGAACTGCATGTCAGGCAACTCACATTTTTCACAGCTTTGCACATGTCTGCAAATGAACACAGAAGCACCATGAGTACTCAGTTTTGGGGTTACAAATGCGTTTTAGAGAGTAGGTGAATTTGCAAATGTGGAATCCATGACTAATGTGGATCACTATATTATGTATGTATGTGTGTACATATATGGCATTGTCTATGAAAGTTGAACATGTACACACATACATTTCTGTGCATATGTGTGTATTTAAAAAGTAAAACTTAAATGCATTTACACCCACCGGCTCCAGGATAGATGAGGAGGCATGACCCTAAGGCTCTCCTCAGTGCTGCCTTTTCCAGCTGCCTGCAGTAATCTCTGGTTACTTGGCTTCAAGACTCCTTAGAGTAGAAATTTCCAAACCCCACATTGCCTCAATCAGACCATCCTTGCTTATATAGCAATTCCCAGGGCATCTTGTTACAAATGGGTCCTAACTCCATTCCTGACCTACTCAAACAGAATGCAAGGGAGGAAAGGCTGGAGCCTTGGAATGTGAATGTGTACTTAACACAGTTTACAAAGCTCACAATTCAAGTTTGAGAATCACTGTGAATAAGTTTCCAGCCAGCTGGAGAAATCAGTGGCTGACACTGTTTGACCCTGAGACAAGAGGCAAATCGCCAGTGTGGACCACCCTGCCCATCTTGTGAGCAGACGAAATCAGTCAAAAGTGTTGTATGCTTCGTGAAAGACAGCGGGCAGTTTCGTTTAAAGCTGGGTAACCTAGAGAGAAAAAATAAAAATAAAAATAAAATAAAAGAGGGCCGGGTGTGATGGCTCACACCTGTAATCCCAGCACTTTGGGAGGCTGAGGCAGGCAGATCACGAGGTCAGGAGATCGAGACCATCCTGGCTAACATGGTGAAACTGTCTCTACTAAAAATACAAAAAAAAAAAAAAAATTAGCCGGGCATGGTGGCGGGCACCTGTAGTCCCAGCTACTTGGGAGGCTGAGGCAGGAGAATGGTGTAAACCCCGGAGGCGGAGCTTGCAGTGAGCCAAGATCACGCCACTGCAAGAGATCACGCCACTGCACTCCAGCCTAGGCAACAGAGCGAGACTCTGTCTCAAAAAAAATAATAAAAAAAAAATTTAAAAAAAGATAATAAAATAAAATAAAATAAAAGAATTGTGTGTGCTTAATGAGAGGGAAAAAATAATTAAGCTGGAAACTCAGGAAAGGTTATGTAACATCCCTGTGTCTCATGTGTAAAGTGAAAGTAATAGTAGTTATCTCTTAAGGTTGTCAAAAATGTTAAAAATGTGTGTTGAGCAGCACTTCCCATGTGGGAATAGTTAACAACCACTTATTATTATCACCATCACCTGTTTTCCCCTGGCGCTGAGCTGACCCCCAGGGCAGGCTGTTTCCTCGTGCTCACTTTCTCAGCCACCGGAATCTCACCTTTTTTCAGACCTTTCCTGTTTCAGTCTGGATGTTTCTTTTTCAAGTGATTACTTTGCAAAAAATTGTATTTAATAGAGAAGTAGGACTGTGCACCCACCTGGATGGCTGCTATAAAAATGACAGCACCCAGTGTTGGCAAGGACGCAGAGCAAGTGGGGGCTTTGCTGCTGGAAATATAAATTCCACTTTGTCAAACTTGTTGACATTATCTATGAAAGTTAAACATTCACCCACACTGTGACCCAGCAATTCTCCTAAATTCATAGATACAGTCCCTGAAAGACATGTACAAGAATACGATTTGTAAAAATAAAAAACTAGAAGCAAACTAAATGTCCATCAACAGCAGAACTTGTATCCCCACAATGGTGGACAGTAAGCAGCTAGTGTGGACTAACTGCAGTCTTCTCGATGCGGAGGAATCCCATGAACACACGGTTAGGTGGGAGGAGACAGACACTAAAGAATGCATACTGGGTGGTTCAATTTATGTGAAGTTCAGAAAGAGGTAAAACTACTAATGTATGAAGTTAGGACTCCAGAGGAGGGTTTCTCAGAAGGGGCGCTCGAGACTGGAAAGGGGCGTCTAAGGATTTCCAGGTTGTGCTCAGCAATGTGCTGCTTATACGCATGCCTGTACCTTGTGAAAATTCTTATTTGTACACGTATTCAAGCACTTTGCTAAATTTACATTACATTTCAGTAAAAGTTCACATTAAAAAAGAAAGGCAGGATTATGAAGATATCTTTGGTTGGAGGTGGGGATAGATGTTTAAGATGGAGAGTAATGAAGTAGCATTGAAAAATAGAGGAGGAAACTTTTAGGTGAGTTTAAAAGAACATTTTACCTTTAATGATTTTTAAAAGGCTAAGCACAGAAACCCAAGAATTCAAAGAAAAGTGGCAATGAGTCCCACAGCACCGAGGCTGGAGAAGCATAAGGGGGAGGCAGGGCCCTGGGTGGTCTCAGGAGACAGCAGTGAGGCCAATAGAGGTCATCTGTGGGGTCCTGGCATCCCCTGGGAGGGCAACTGGCCCCAACATGTCCCCACAGCCTGATCTGTGTGTGTGCTCTTGCCCGGCATTCAGCCCACAGAGCTTCATGGAGCACTTACCATGGGCCAAGAGGCTCTTCCCGCTCAGCGGAGACCAAACTCCCTGTGGGACTGATCTACTGTGTTCTCTGGAGTAGAGAGGTGGCCTCTCTTCCAGCATCTCCCAGACTTGCCTGTGTGATGGCATCACTGAGGCACTTGCTGTAAACACGGGTTCCCAAGCCTGTTACCTGGAGGTTGTGATCTGGTTGGTCTGAGGTGGGGTCCAGGACCCCAGGCTCTTCTTTCAACCAGACTAGTTGAGGAAACAGTACTCTCATGCAAGGGGATGTTCTTTTGAAAAGAATAAACACATTACTGTAAATGGTGAGATAATGTTTTGAAAATAATCCAAGATATTGTCAAAATATAATTTCCTGTTGGGAAAAAGGAAAAGGGGGAGGGACCCTGACAGTGAGCCTGGCAGTAAAGTTGCTGGATAGAAACACAGGATGCCCAGGTAAATGTGAATCTCAGATACACAATGAATGTTTTAGTATAAGTATTTCCTAACTATTGCACGAGATGTACTTATAATAAATTTCTTGTTTATTTGAAATTCAGACATGGCTGGATACTCTGTATTTGCTAGATGGGGCTGCCTCTCCAGAAAGGGCGGAAAAGGCTTTGGAAATTTGCTCCAGCTGTCTGTGAGTGGTGAAGGGCCACAGGGAACTTCACCTGAAATATGGCTCCCTGGTATGGTATTTTGAATTAAAGGCCCTTAGGGATCAGCAGATGGTAGAAGACACTTTTTCCCTACCTACATGAAGACGGGTCAGACCTGCCAAGGAGAAAAATTGTTCCCCAAGTACCTCTGGCCCCGTCCCTTTGTTTTCATTAACTGAACTCATAGTAAGGTGTGATGGCTCATATCTGTAATCTTAACTGTTTGGGAGGTCGAGGCAGGAAGACTGCTTGAGGCCAGGATTTCCAGACCAACCCGGGCAACATGGCAGCTCCCATCTCTATTATTTATATATATGTATCAAAAAACCCAACCCATATCACAGGAAGGAAGACTGAAGACTGTCAACAAGCCTGGACATTTTGTCACAAAGCACTGTCCGCTCCCTGGCCCTGACTTTGTCACAGACCATTGTATGTTCTTCAAGCCCACTGAATTCCCTTAAAAATCATTTACCACCCCCGCTCAATCATCCACACTTCCCCATCTCCCTTTTCCCTAAGAAGGAGGGTGTATACTTTTCCTTTATTTGGAGACGGAGTCTTGCTCTGTTGCCCAGGCTGGAGTGCAGTGGCGTGATGTCGGCTCACTGCAACCTCTGCCTCCTGAGTTCAAGAAATTCTCCTGCCTCACCCTCCCAAGTAGCTACGATTACAGGTGCCTGCCACCAGGCCCAGCTAATTTTTGTATTTTTAGTGGAGACAGGGTTTCACCATATTGGCCAGGCTGGTCTCGAACTCCTGACCTCAGGTGGTCCGCCTGCCTCGGCCTCCCAAAGTGCTCGGATTATAAGCGTGAGCCACTGTGCCCAGCCTAGAAGTAGGGTATATAAGAATCTGTACACACTAGGATGTCAGGCTGTCACTGTGATTCTGCGGTGTGCACGGTGGTGATACATTTGCATGCCTTTTCTCTTATTAATCTGCCTTTTTGTGAGTTGATCCAGTGAACCTTCTGGGGGTGAAGAGGAAGTTTCCCAGCTGCAATGGCCATGGGCAGGGGGTCTTAAGTAGACTCTCAGGAGGCCAGACACAGAGTAAATACGACTTCCAATACATGGGCCAGTCACTTCCCATGTTCATGTTGGCTGGGGGCCTGGGCTTCTCTGGTCAGTGACCATGCGCCTGGCCGGCCGTACTGCTCCACCGAGCGCTGGACTCATAGTCTCCACTAAGCACACTCTCTGTCTGGCTGACCTTGCAGGACCCTTTGCCCAAATCACTTCCAGGAACCTCCTGCCCAGGCCCGGCACTCTCCACCCGACCTTTTGTGACTCCTCAGGGCACTGTTGCTTGGGGGTCCCTTTTTGACAATTCACTGTGTCTTTACTGGTATTGTGTGCCAACAGTTATTCATCATTTTCACTCTGAGTGGAGACTATTTCATATTTTTCTTTCATCTGGTTTAAAGTTTAATAATGCTTTTAGTTTCCCCCAAATATTATTAGAAGCAAAACCCTATTTTTTTTTTGACAGAGTCTCGCTCTCTCCCCCAGGCTGGAGTGCACTGGCACGATCTCGGCTCACTGCAACCTCCACCTCCCAGGCTCAAGCGATTCTCCTGCCTCAGCCTCCACAGTAGCTGGGATTACAGCCATGCACCATCATGCCTGGCTAATTTTTGTATTTTTAGTAGAAATGGGGTTTTACCATGTTGGCCAGGCTGGTTGCCAACTCCTGACCACAAATGATCCACCCGCCTTAGCCTCCCAAAGTGCTGGGATTACAGGCGTAAGCCACCACACCCGGTCTTACTTTTTTTTTTTTTTGAGGCAGCGTCTCCCTCTGTCGCCCAGGCTGGAGTGCAGTGGCATGATCTCAGCTCACTGCAACCTCCGCCTCCCAGGTTTAAGCCATTTTCTGCCTCAGTCTCCTGAGTAGTTGGGATTACAGGCATGTGCCACCACGGCCGGCTAATTTTTGTATTTTTAGTAGACATGAGGTTTCACCATCTTGTCCAGGCTGGTCTTGAACTCCTGACCTCGTAATCCACCTGCCTCGGTCTCCCAAAGTGCTGGGATTACAGGTGTGAGCCACTGCACCCGGGCTTTTTTTTTTTTTGAGATGGAACCTTGCTCTGTCGTCCAGGATGGAGTGCAGTGGCATGATCTTGGCTCACTGCAGCCTCTGTCTCCCGGGTTCCAGTGATTCTCCTGCCTCAGCCTCCTGAGTAGCTGGGATTACAGGTGCACACTACCACACCTGGCTACTTCTTGTATTTTTTAGTAGAGGCAGGGTTTCACCATGTTGGCCAGGCTGGACTTGAACTCCTGACCTCAGGTGATCCGCCCGCCTCGGCCTCCCTAAGTGCTGGGATTACAGGCAGAGCCACTGTGCCCAGCTGGCCTTACATATTTTTAATATTAAATTAAATTAAATTAATTAATTAATTAATTTTTTGAGATGGGAGTCTCGCTCTGTCACCCAGGCTGGAGTGCAGTGGCGCAATCTCAGCTCACTGCAGTCTGCATCTCCCAAGTTCCAGCGATTCTCCAGCCTCAGCCTCCCGAGTAGCTAGGATTACAGGCACCCACCATCATGCCTGGATAATTTTTGTATTTTTGTAGAGACAGGGTTTTACCTTGTTGGCCAGGCTGGTCTTGAACTCCTGACCTCAGATGATCCTCCTGCCTCAGCCTCCCAAAGTGCTGGGATTACAGGCATGAGCCACCGCGCCCAGCCCTCTTTCTTTTTTAATAGCTGCATACTGTTCCATTGTGCAGATGTGCACATGATCATTTAGCCAGGCCACCATTGATGAACATGTGGAACAAACAATGTCACAATGAATACGCTCATGAGTACATAGGTTCGCACTTACACCAGTATATCTAGGATAATTACTGAAGAATAGAATCCCTGAATCTAAGGGTACGTATGTATATTTCAAATTTTGGCCAATATTGTCAAATTGCCTTTGTAGAGGTTGTACCAGTTTACATACTCACAAGCAACATATGAAGTGTCATGCTTCTCACACCCTCAGAAACCTAGCGTGTGTTTTGATCTTGACGCAAAAGCTGTTTTCTGAACACTCATCCTGTGCACAGCATTCTGCTGGGTGCTGCAAGCATGTGGAAGGCTGTGATAGGAGCAGCCCTTGCCCCCTGCACGGCCTGGTGGACCTCCCCTGCTGGGCAGAGCAGCCCCATGAGATCAACAGCAATGTTCAAGTCAGTGAGGTTCACAGAGGGCATGTGGATTGGGGTTGCTGGTTTGCTGTGGTTCTGGTTCTGGTTTATTTTAAATGGCTGTCAGTTTGTGGGAAGGGTTATATGAAGGTCACAAAACAAAGGAGGAAATGGTTCAGATTCAGAGGGCAAGGGAGGGACAAGGACAGAGTGAGGACGAATGGTTTCTGGAGTCATCAGCTGCTGGAGAGTTGGGAAGAGCATGGAACAAAAGGAGGAGAGAGAGTTTTGGGTAAAACCCCCCCAAAAAACAAAATCTAAACCACGAGGGAAGATATATGGGTGTTTAAAAATGCCTGGAAAATTTCACAGAACAGTTATTTTTAGAGGGGCTTGTAGTTAATTTCATAAATTTTAGAATTTCCTTGTCTCCCAGACTCTGGTTTTCATATCTCAATACCTTTTTATTTTTAGTTTTTAGGTGGTTTCGCCATTTTGCTCAATCACATTGGTATCTTGGGGAGCACTGGCAGTGCTGTGGGGAGCTGGGAGAAAGGTGGGGAGGGCCCTGGGTTTGTGTTGAAGCAAGTTAAGCCCTGAGCCCGTGGCCACTGGAAGTTCTACGGGAGGCTGGACACTTCTTAGGTTAAACTGGAGCATCAAGCTCAAATCATGTTTAAGTCAATTGGTTTTAGTACTTTTTTTTTCTTTGAGACGGAGCCTTACTCTGCCGCCCAGGCTGGAGTGCAGTGGCACAATCTCGGCTCACTGCAACCTCTGCCTCCCGGGTTCACGCCATTCTCCTGCCTCAGCCTTTCGAGTAGCTGGGATTACAGGCGCCCGCCACCATGCCAGGCTAATTTTTGTATTTTTAGTATAGACGGGGTTTCACCATGTTGGTCAGTCTGATCTTGAACTCCTGACCTCGTGATTTGCCCGCCTCGGCCTCCCAACGTGCTGGGATTACAGGCGTAAGCCACAGCGTCCGGCTTCTTACTATTTTTTTTTAAGACAGAGTCTCATTCTATTATCCAGGTCGGACTGCAGTGACATGATCTCAGCTCACAGTAACCTCCACCTTCTGGGCTCAAGCAATCTTCCTGTCTCAGCCTCCTGAGTAGCTGGGACCAGATGTGTGTGCCACCATGCCCAGATAACTTACTGTATTTTTTGTAGAGATGGGGTTTCACCATGTTGCCCAGGCTGGTCTGGAAATCCTGAGCACAAGCGATCTGCCTCCCAAAGTGCTGGAATTACAGGCATGAGCCACTGTGCCTGGTCAGTTTCAGTACTTTCATTTAAACCATTGTAGATGTGATAAATGTACATAAAGTTGTTTTCATTCCTAATCCTAAAGTTGCTGGTTTGAACAGGAAAGAGCTTACATCCTAAATATGCCTATGTAAATAAAATAATGCTCATAGTCCCATAAATGTTTTATAAAAGATATTTGTCCTTTAAATACAGCCTCTTCCCCCGCATAGAGAACATCTGATTTTTTTTTCACTCACGAGGATTTTCTTTGTGTAGCTGCCATGAGCAGAGACATCTGGGTCTGTGTGCCTTGCCCGCCACTTGTAGGGCTCAATGCACTCAATTAAGTGGCTCATTCAGTTATTTATTTGTATCAACAAAGACTTTTATTTGGGGGTTATAATTAACAACGTCATGAGCTCCTGCATGCTGAGCCCTGTATCCTTTTGATAGTCCCCATTTGATTTTTGAGCACTTCTTATATTTTGGCTCCATAAGATGTTCAGGCCCATCTTGTATTTTCCCTGCCCCATCCCTAGAACCAGCTCCTCTCTGAGGAGCCCTGGTTTCTCTTCTTGGAGAATGGGCTCTAGAATGGGCTCTAGAATGAATTCATATCCACACCTGTGAGGCCAATCTCGCACCACAAGTTCAACCTAGCCTCATTTGTAACTTATTTCTCCAGCTGTGGGAAACCTGGCTCTCCTCGACCACAGTACATTTACTGTCTTCAACCTGAGTGTACACCTGCCCCTGTGAGGAGAAAATCCACACCTGCTCTGTAGCGACTCTGTACCATTCTTATGGTCCTGGCCTGATGGGATCCAGCCACAGAACTGCCTTCCAAAGTTCCTCAGGTCAGGGGATTTTTTTTTTTTTTTTTTTGAAACAGGGTCTGACTCTGTTGCTGAGGATGGAGTGCAGTGGTGCGATCATGGCTCACTGCAGCCTCAGACCTCCCGGACTCAGGTGATCCTTCCACCTCAGGCTCCTGAGTAGCTGGGACTACACACGTGCACCACCATGTCCAGTTAATTTTTCTGTATTTTTAACAGAGATGGGCTTTTCGCCATGTTGCCCAGGCTGGGTCAGGAGATTTTAATGATGACATGAACAAACCAGAAAACAGAAAAATAGTGATAGGAAAGGAGAGCCTGGGTGGGAGAGGGTGGTAAGACAGAAGGAAAATGACACCCCAGGGTCTTGGGACCAGCAATGCCTGGCTGGGAAACTGCTCCGCATGTGTGGCTGTGACCTGTCTTGTTGGAGTGTACGTTCTGTTTGGTTTTCAGTCCCGAGGAGTCACAGAGTTGCCTATTTCTCGGGGCAACAGCAGGAAAGGCCCTCCTGAGGCCTATGGTGCCCTGTGGATGAGATCTTGGGGTCCAGGCCTTGGCAACCCCTCCCTGGGACAAGCTGCTGTATAGACTGGGCCTCGTTCCTCAGAGGACATCCTCTGATGGCTTTGGCTCTGTGAAGGCTCTCCAGTGAACACTTGTCCTTCCTGGGCACACTCTCAGGAGCGCGACCCCTGCAGTCCCCTGACATGGGCAGCCTCCTGTGAGCTGAAAAGAGACTCTGTTGGAGCCCCTACTTTTCCTTTAGAATCAATGTAAAATTGCAGGACATGGCAGCTCACGCCTGTAATCCCAGCACTTTGGGAGGCCGAGGTGGGTGGATCACGAGGTCAAGAGATCAAGACCATCCTGGCCAACCAACGTGGTGAAACCTTGTCTCTACTAAAAATACAAAAATTAGCTGGGCGTAGTGGCGCACGCCTGTAGTCCCAGCTACTCAGGAGGCTGAGGCAGGAGAGTCTACTGAACCCGGCAGGCGGAGGTTGCAGTGAGCCGAGATTGTGCCACTGCACTCCAGCCTGGGTGACGGAGCGAGACTCTGTCTCAATAAAAAAAAAAAAAAAAAAAAAAAAAAGAATCAATGTAAAATTGTTTCCTCTTCCTCAATGCTGTCTATAGCTTCCTTTCCTGGCCTACATTTATTTTCCTTCCTTCCTTCCTTCCTTCCTTCCTTTCTTCCTTCCTTCCTTTTTTAAGACGGAGTTTCACTCGTCACCCAGGCGGAGTGCAATGGCATGATCTCGGCTCACTGCAACCTCTGCCTTCTGGGTTTAAGCGACTCTCCTGCCTCAGCCTCCCGAGTAGGTGGGATTACAGGCACCCAAGACCACGCCCAGCTAATTGTTGTACTTTTAGTAGAGGCGGGATTTCACCATATTGGCCAGGCTGATCTTGAACTCCTGACCTCAGGTGATCCACCCACCTCGGCCTCCCAAAGTGCTGAGATTACAGGCGTGAGCCACCGTGCCCGGCCTGGATGACATTTTCTAGGAACCTGTTACCTCTGCCTGAAAATCTGGTAGGCAGTTAGGAACAGCCCTGGGAGCTGCAGACAGGCTTTTGGAAAGACCCACAACAGCATGCCTGGGCAGCAGAGAGAGCTTGCCAAATAGGTGCACATAGGTTGGGGGACATGTGACATTCCATAGGCCTCCTAGATGGACCTTTGCAGCCTGAATTCTAACACCTTTTTTCAAATCCATTGAGGACAAATAACAGGGTTGAATGTACATTTAAACTGGGCAGCTTTATCCTATGCTAGCATCTGGGGTCAGCAGGCATAGAAGAGCAGAGAGGTCAGCAGGCAACAATTCCTGGTAAGATTTGCAAGGAGCTGTAGCATATTTTCAGTACCTGCTTCTCATTAGCAATGACAAAATCCAGCCAGGCCTTCAACTGAGATTTTTTTCCCGCTACATTCTGGTTCAGCAAACTCTAAAATTCCTTCTGCCAAACGCTCTCTTCCTTCCTTCCCCCCTCATCTCTGCTCAATTTCTAAAAGCATAGTCAAGCACTTAAAGGGAAATTTCATCCATATGGGTTGGATTATCTACACTTAACTCATAAATACTGCTCTTTTGTTAAGAGTTATTCCATTGCCAAGTGTCTCTGAACAACAAAATGTTTTTCCAAAAAAAAGTGATAACTGAACTCCAAAAATTAGTATCTGTGTTCACTCTCTCTCCTTACCTAAATTGTATTCGATTTAACCAGCATTTATGAAATTTCCTGAGCTGGATTATGTACCTATTGGGGGTATGCACGTACGGCACAAAGATCAAAGCTCTTTGGTGCTTGTTCTCTAGGAGTTATTGGTCCAGTGAGGGAAACAGCTACCCACCATGGTACTGTGAACCCTGAATGTATCTGAGACAGGTCTCAGCCAATTTAGGAAGTTTATTTTGCCAAAGTTAAGGATGCATGCCAGTGACACAGCCTCACGAGGTCCTGCTATGTGCCCAAGGTGGTCAGAGCACAGCTTGGTTTTATACATTTTAGGGAGACGGGAGACATCAATTAACATATGTAAGATGAACGTTGGTTCGGTCTGGAAAAGCGGGACAACTCGAAGCAAAGGCGGGACAACTCAAAGTTGTGGGAGCACTTCCAGGTCATAGGTAGATGAGAGACAAATGGTTGCATTCTTTTGAGTTTCTGATTAGCCTTTCCAAAGAAGGCAATCAGATATGCCTTTATCTCAGTGAGCAGAGGGATGACTTTGAATAGAATGGAAGGCAGGTTTGCCCTAAGCAGTTCCTAGCTTGACTTTCCCATTTAGCTTAGTGATTTAGGGGCCTCAAGATTTATTTTCCTTTCACAGTAGCCTTATTAATTACGTTCTTAGCATGCTCCTGGCACGTGTGACAAAGGAAGCCACCCAGGGGCAGAGGAATCCCAGAGTCCCTTGAGAATGAGCAAGTTGTTTAAGGCAGCACAGCCAGTGAGGGACGAGCCAGGCCGGCCTTCCAGACGTTCACCATCAGTAAGCTCCTGAGAAACACCTTGGGTATGGAAGGGGAATGCGGGGCAGGGCTGGGGGTGGGGTGTGTTGGGGGGTAGAATTCTGCTAAGCCTAGGCCTACCCCTTCCTGACTTTGTTTTTTCCCTTTGCCCCACCTTCTTCCTTCATGTACACTCAGTAACTAGGGAGTTCTGGACATTGACCTTGTGATTATCTCTTCTCAGCCTAGTCCTGGCTTTGTTTTGTGTTTCTCATGTCATTGATGGGGCACCTCCTAGATCAGGGACAGCCAGTTCTGCAGGTTTGACAATGTTCAACCATAAACACCAGAGCAATCAGCTCTGTCCTGCTGCAAGGCAGGTTCTTTACAAATGACAGAGCAAAGACCTTGGATCTCTCCTGGCACTGCAGAACTTGAGGCTAAAAATACGTAGGAATGATGGGAAGTGTTTACAATAGCCCTTGCCAGAAGCCTAGCAAGTGTGTTTAAAGAAAAATGGAAAAGTGCACTGATGTTCAAGTAACGCAACCAGGCCCCATCAGCTGTGGACTATTGGGAGAGAAATTTCTCTTAGATGACAGGTTTTTAGTGGATACCACATTAGCAATAGTGGTCTCGGTCTAAACGTGGGGACATGCGGACAGAGCAACCCAGAGCCACAGGTCGGTGATCAATCAGTGCTGCCAGGCATAAGGCTGGGTTGGACCGGGGCCTGGTGGGGCTGGTCTCTGAGCTCACTCAGGCCTGTTTCTAGGGCTCTGTTCTGAGCTGGATCCAAGCAGGAACTCCCAGGACTACCCTGCACTTGGCTAGGGCAGCTTAGCTTCAGGGGCCAGGCTAGGTCTAGAATGAATTTCCGAGAGTTCTGCCAGCCTCCAAAAAGGGGACTTGGGGGTACCTCAGGTGATCTCCTGGGTTGCAAGCTCTGGTTCCTTCTGCCCCCAGAAGGGGTAAGGAGGGGATAGGGAGGGACAAGCAACCAGAACACAAATCTATAGAGTAAAACAGAGCCTCTGTGGGGGCCCTGGACACATGCAGCCCTGTTTCCACCTCCAACTTTAGGCCCCCTGGAAAGTTCATGATCAGTTTTTTTGGTTTTTTTTTTGAGGCAGAGTCTTGCTCTGTCACCCAGGCTAGAGCGCAGTGGCACGATCTCGGCTCATTGCAAACTCCACCTCCCAGGTTCAAGCAATTCTCCTGCCTCAGCCTCCCGAGTAGCTGGGATTACAGGCGCCCGCCACCGTGCCCAGCTAATTTTTGTATTTTTTAGTAGAGACGAGGTTTCACCATCTTGGCCAGGCTGGTCTTGAACTCCCGACCTCATGATCCACCCGCCTCGGCCTCCTAAAGTGCTGGGATTACAGGCGTGAGCCACCATGCCCGGCCCATGATCAGTTTTCAATTTCTGCCTATCAAACCCAAATCCATCCCTTGCACATTTTAGGTTTTTGTGTTCTGAATCAGGAGTGGATAAAATGTGGCAGCAGAAAAAAGCCAGACACGAAAGGCCACATGGTACGTGATTCTATTTAGGGGAACTGTCTCTGATAGGCAAACACATAAAACAGAAGGCAGAGAGGGGGCTGCCTCAGGCTGGGGGCGGTGGGGAGGGCGCTGGGGTTACAGCAGAGGGGTGGCACATCTCCTTGGGGTAATAAAGTGTTCTAAAGTGGTTACGGTGGTGGCAGATGCACAACTCTGAGAACAGACTCTAAACCACTGAGTTGTTTACCTTAGGGGGTGGTTTTTATAGTATGCAAATTATATCTCAATAAAAATCAAATGTGAGAGCAGAACTGAGAGAAACAAAATCCAAGCTGAGAGGCCGTCTGCTTCTCTCCTTGTTAAGAAGGTCCTTGGGTTTTTGTTTGGTTTTGGCTCAGCTGGAGGCCGAGGCCGTGTGGGAGAAAGCGAGGAAGCCTGTGGGAGGGAGGCCCACTTCCCCACTGCGGCCCGGTGCCATTTCTCCTTTCCCTAAGTCAATCATTTGGTTTCCCAAGAAGCAGCTAAGTGGCTGCCTGCATAAATTCACCTCTGAAATTGCAGAGGGAAGGGCCCACATGCGCCTCGTTCCTCATCTTTTAACCGTCACTCATTCAACTTGTATTTCTTTTTTCTTTCTTTCTTTTTTTTTTTTTTTGAGATGAAGTCTTGCTCTTGTCCCCCAGGCTGGAGTGCAATGGTGCGATCTCGGCTCTCTGCAACCTCCACCTCCCGGGTTCAAGCGATTCTCGTGCCTCAGCCTCCTGAGTAGCTGGGATTACAGGCACCCGCCACGGTGTCAGACATATCTCATTATACCGTCTGCCCTTTTGGAATTCAGGCACAGCTTACCAGCATTAACATCAACACAGAGACCTTAAGACTGCTAGAGCAGACTCTTTAAGTCTGATAAGAAACATTTGCAGTCTATTCTCTCTGAAGCCTGCTACCTGAAGGCTTTATCTGCTTGATAAAATCTTGGTCTCCACAACCCCTTATTTTTATTTTTTTATTTTTTGAGAGGGAATCTCACTCTATCGCCCAGGCTGGAGTGCAGTGGCACGATCTCAGTTCACTGCAACCTCCTGGGTTCAAGTGATTCTTATGCCTCACCCTCCCGAGTAAGCTGGGATTGCAAGTGTGTGCCACCATGCCCAGCTGTTTTTTTCTATTTTTAGTAGAGACGGGGTTTCACTGTGTGGCCAGGCTGGCCTCAAGTGATCCACCCGCTTCGGCCTCCCAAAGTGCTGGTATTACAGGTGTGAGCCACCACACCCGGCCCACAACTCCTGGTGGCAGATAATTGAATCATGGGGTGGTTTCCCCCATACTGTTCTCGTGGTAGTGAGTAAGTCTCACAACATCTGATGATTTTATAAGGGGTTTCCCCTTTCACTTGACTCTTATTTCTCTCTCTTGCCTGCCACCACGTAAGACGTGACTTTCACCTTCTGCCATGATTGTGAGGCCTCTTCAGCCATGTGGAAATGTGAGTTCATTAAACCTCTTTTGGTTTATAAATTACCCATGTCAGGTATGTCTTTATCGGCAGCACGAAAGCAGAGTAATATACCAATGTTCATATTAAATATGTTGATTGATGTCTCATGTCTCCCTAAAATTTATAAAACCAAACTGTGTTCTGACCACCTTGGGCACATGTCTTTAAGACCTCCTGAGGCTGTGTCATGGGTGCCCATCTTCAACCTTGGCAAAATAACTGAGACCTGTCTCAGATATTCAGGGTCCACAGCAGGGTTGTCACAAACCTTTAATTTGTAAAAAATGTAATAGCTGCAAAGTGCAGTAAAGCAAAGCAAAACGAAATGAGGTATGCCTGTGTGTGTGCATGTGTGTGTCTACAAACATTGAGTATCTCTTATAATGTGGTTTGGGTCTGTGTCCCCACCAAATCTCATGTTGAATTGTAATCCCCAATGTTGGAGGTGGGGCCTGGTGGGAGGAGATTGGATCATGGGGGTGGATTTCTCATGAATGGCTTGGCACTATCCCCTTGGTAATTTCCTCAGGATAGTGAGTTCTCACTATGCTTGTTTAAAAGTGTGTGGCACCTCCCCCTTCACTCTCTTTGCTCCTGCTCTGGCAGTGTGACAGGTAAGCTTCTTCTTTGCCTTCTGCCATGACTGGAAGCTTCCTGAGCCCTCCCCAAAATCAGAAGCCTGCTATGGTTCCTCTACAGCCTGCAGAGCTGTGAGCCAACTAAACCTCTTTTTTTTTTTTTTTTGAGATGGAATCTCACTCTGTCATCAGGCTGGAATGCAGTGGCACAATCTCGGCTCACTGCAACCTCTACCTCCCAGGTTCAAGCGATTCTCCTGCCTGAACTGGTAAGCATAATGCAAATATTCCAAAATCCCAAAACAACACTTGTGGTCCCAGGCTTTTCAAATAAGGTATAATAGGCTGTTCTCACATTGCTATAAAGAAGTAACTGAGGAAATTTTCAGATTTTCCTAATCTGAAAATCCGAAATGTGAAGAGCTCCAATGAGCATTTCCTTTCAGCATCATGTTGGCATTCAAAAAGTTTTGGATTTTGGAGCATTTTGGATTTGGGATTTTCTAATTAGGGATACTCAATCTGTATGTATATATCCATAGGGATGTGTGTGTGTGTGTGTGTGTGTGTGTGTGTGTGTGTGTATCTCCAGATTTGGGAAGTTTTTGGCCATTATTTCTTCAAAGACTTTTCAGTCCCACTCTCGGTTTCCTTCTATGACTCCCCAGTAGAAATATTAGCTCTTTTGTTATTGTCATATGGGTTCCTGTTCCACCTCTTTCCCAGTCTGTTTTCTCCATTGCTCAGATGGGGTAAATTCTACTGATTTGTTCTCAGGATCTCTGATTCTATCTCCTCTCATTTCCATTATACTATTGAGCCCACTCAGAGAGTTTTAAAATTTCATTTCTTCTATTTTCTTGTTCCATCATTTCCATTTGAATCCTTTTTATAACCTCTCTTTCTTTGCAAAGAATTTTTTTTTCTTTTTGCTTAAGGGAATTCTTAATTGCTTGTTGAAACATTTCTATATTGGCTGCTTTAAAACCCTTCCAGATAATTCCAACATGAGATTCATCTTGGTGTTAATGTCTATTGACTTTTCTCATTCAGGTTGTGATTTTCCTGCTTCTTGGTTTGATGAATAATTTTCAACTCTACCCTGGATATTTTGGATACTAATTTTGAGACTCTGGATCCTCTGCAATCTCCTTGTGTTTACCCAGTAGTCCCTGCTGAGATGCAGCATGAAAGCTTATGATTGTGAATTCTGCTTCCCATGGGTCCTGTCAACACCATCTCAGCAAACATGGAACCAGCAGGTGCTACCGGTGGGGCTGGTGGTTCAGCTTGATTGATGCTGGACCCCACTGATACTACCTTGGTGGGAAAATCGGGGTATCACCTGCTTCTATCAGATAGGAGATAGATAGAAATTAATGATTTTTGCTTCAGCTATCAAATCTTTGCTCAGCTTTGCTGACACCACTACACGGAGAAATTGGAGCACTGGCACCTGCTTCCATGGGACAGAGGTATAGGGGGAAAGACCAGCTTCTTACTCAGTTTTGCTAAAACTGCTGGGGGCAGTTTTTCCATTAACTTTTAGCTGGAGTGTGGTAGAATTTGCCAAAAAGGTTTTTTTTGTTGTTAGGCCACAGTTTTCTCAGCACTTTAGTTAGGGAGGACAGGATTTGGGGGGAACTTCTCTTCCTTCTCCTTCAGCTCCTTTTCTTTTCTCTTCCCTCTCTTCCCCTCCTCCTCTCTCACTTTTTCTTTTTTTTTGAGATAGAGTCTCACTCTATTGCCCAGGCCACAGTGCAGTGGCCTGGTCTCAGCTCACTGCAACCTCCACCTCCCGGGTTCAAGTGATTCTCCTGCCTCAGCCTCCCAAGTAGCTGCGATTACAGGCACCTGCCACCATGCCTGGCTAATTTTTTGTATTGTTAGTAGAGATGGGGTTTCACCATGTTGGCCTGGCTGGTCTCAAACTCCTGACCTCGTGATCTGCCTGCCTCAGCCTCCCACTGTCCTGGGATTACAGGCATGAGCCACCATGCCCAACCAAGATAATAAAGACTTTCTCCCAGATTTTCTTCAGAAATTATATAGTTTTATATCTGATATTTAGGTCTATGATCTATTTCAAATTACTTTTTGTATATATGTGAAATAAGATTCCTTATGGATATCTGATTATTTCATCACCATTTGTTGAAAAGACTATATTTTGCCTATTGTGTCACCTTGGCATAATTGTCAGAGATGAAATATGTGGGTTCATTTCTGGAATCTGTTCTGTTCCGTTGATTTACATGCCTACTCTAATGCCATTCCTAAAGTCTTGACAACCTTAGCTTCTTGGTCTTAAAATTGGTTAGTATAATTCCTCCAACCATTGTTCTTTTTCAAACTTGGTTTGGCTATTTTAGGTATTTTACATTTTCATGCAAGCTTAAGTTTAAAAAAACCTGCTGAGATTTTATCGGAATTGTATTAAATCTATATACCAACTGGGGAGAATTGACATATTAACAGTAGCGAGTATTGTAATTCATGAACATGGTACACCTCTCCATTTATATAAATCTTTTTTTTTGAGACAGGGTCTCACTCTGTCACTCAGGCTGGAGTACAGTGGCATGATCACAGCTCACTGCAACCTCAAACTCCTGGGCTCAAGTGATCCTCCTACCTCAGTCTCCTGAGTAGCTGAGACCACAGGTGCGCACCACCATGCCCAGCTAATTTTTAAATTTTTTGTAGAGACAGGATCTTATTATGTTGTCCAGGCTGGTCCGGAAGTCCTGGACTCAAGCAATCCTCCTGCCTTGGCCTTCCAAAGTACTGGGGTTATAGGTGTGAGCCACCACACTTGCCCATTTATGTAAATTAAAAAAAAGTTTCTCTCAGTGTCTTGAAGTTTTCAATGTACAGGTTTGCACTTCTTTTGTTTGATTTATCCCTAGGCATTTCATATTTGTGTATGCTAATATAAAAGGCATTTCTTTGGCTGGGCGCAGTAGCTCATGCCTGTAATCCCAGCACTGTGGGAGGCCGAGGTGGGCAGATCACCTGAGGTTGGGAGTTCGAGACCAGCCTGACCAACATGGAGAAACCCTGTCTCTACTAAAAATACAAAAATTAGCATGGTGGCACATGCCTGTAATCCCAGCTACTTGGCAGGCTGAGGCAGGAGAATTGCTTGAACCTGGGAGGCAGAGGTTGCGGTGAGCCAAGATTGTGCCATTGCACCCCAGCCTGGGCAATAAGAGCAAAACTCTGTCTTAAAAAAAAAAAAAAAAGAGGCTTTTTTCCCCTGAATTTAAAATTCCAAAAGTTAGCTGCTAGTATATAGAACTACAATAGATTTTTGCATAAATATTTTGTATCCTGTCATTTTGCAAAATTCAAAAGTTTAAGTATCTTTTTTGTAACTTCTTTGGAATGGTTTATATAGACAATCATGCCATCTGCAAATTAGGGTATTTATTTCTTCTTTCTGATCTGTTTACCTTTTGTTTCTTTGTTTTGCTTTATTGTACTAGGTAGGACCTCCAGTAAAATGTTAATTAGAAGTGGTGAGAGAAAACATCCTTCCCTTATTCATTATCTTAGGAGGAAAGCATTTATTCTTTCATTATTATGATGTTAGTCTAAAGTTTTTTTTTTTTTTTTTTTGAGATGGACTCTCACTCTGTCATCCGGGCTGGAGTGCAGTGGCGCAATCTCGGCTCACTGCGACCTCCGCCTCCCAGGTTCAAGTGATTCTCCTGCCTCAGCCTCCCAAGTAGCTGGGATTACAGGCATGTGCCACCATGCCCAGCTAATTTTTGTATTTTTAGTAGAGACAGGGTTTTGCTATGTTGGCCAGGCTGGTCTCAAACTCCTGACCTCAGGTGATCCACCTGCCTCAGCCTCCTTGTGCTGGGATTACAGTCATGAGCCACTGCACCCAGCCTGTGCTTCACTTTAGATCTATTGCTGTGTCTATAAATTAACCCAGTTTTTTTTTTGCAGTGTTTAATCTGCTGTTAATCTCATCTAGTGTATTTGTTCATTTTAGACACTGTATCAAATGGTCCACTTAAGTCTTTTAAATTTAAACATTTCATTTCTCTTAGCCAGGTGTGGTGGCATGAGCCTGTAGTCCCAGCTACTCAGGAGGCTGAGGCAGGAGAATCACTTGAAACTGGGAGGTGGAGGTTGCAGTGAGCTGAGATCGCGCCACTGCACTCCAGCCTGGACGACAGAGTGAGACCCCATTTCAGAAAAAAAAAATACATAAATAAATAAATAAAAATAAAAATTGTATTTTTCTACTTATAATGTTTTTCTATAGCTCCTGAATATATTTATAATATTTAGAGTTACCCATTTTAAGGTTCTTGTATGCTCATTCCATCATCTCTGTCAATTCTTGATGTGTTTGTATTAATTGAGATTTTCCTCCTAGTTGTGGGTCACAATTTTTACCTTCTTTGCATGACAGCTTTTTTTTTTTTAAATTTAGTTGCTGTATTTGTGAATTTTACATTGTTACATGCTGGAGTTTTTTTGCATTCTTTTAAAGAGCATTAATTAGCTGGGCGTGGTGGCACGCACTTGTAGTCCCAGCTACTTGGGAGGCTGAGGCTGAGGCTGGAGAATCTCTTGAACCCGGGAGGCAGAGGTTGCAGTGAGCCAAGATTGCGCCAGCCTGGGCAACACAGTGAGACTCCGTCTCAAAAAGAAAGAAAGAGCATTGTACTTTGTTTGGCAAGCAGTTAAATTCCCTGCAGATATTTTTGTGGGTTGGTTGGAGAGGTTTGTTTGAGTGGGTGTAAGGCGGCCTTTGTTCTAGAGCCACTTTAACCCCAGTTGTAAGGTGTGCCTCTTCTGAGGACTCTGTCCCAGGTTGTGAAGCCTGCTTACCTGCCTATGTGGGTTCTGGCAGTCTTGTCACCTACTGCTCTCTGGCGATTCTTTCTCATGCCTGTGGAATGTCATTCCATGCATGCACTAGTCAGTTCTCAAAGGATCAAGGGCACGCCTCTGCAGAGCTCCAAACGCCCTTTCTTTGCGCATTTTCTTTAGTACTCTGCTCTGTGTATTCTAGTTGTCTTGGCCTCTTCATTCTACAGTTGACTCGTGAACAATGCGGGGGCTAGGGGGACTGACCCCCACCCGCCTCCCTGTGCAGTCAAAAATCCACATATAACTTTTGATTTCCTCCAAACTTAACTAGTGTAGCCTGTTATTGACCAAAAGCCTTACCAATGACCAGAACAGTCAGTTAATGCATATTTGGTGTGTCATATGTGTTTTATACTGTAGTCTCACAATAGAGTAAGCTAGAGAAAAGAGTGTTCTAAGAAAATCATAAGGAAGAGAAAATATATTTATTATTTATTAAGCGGAAGCAGATCATCATAAAGGTCTTCATCCTCATTATCTTCACATTACATAGGCTGAGAAGGAGGAGGAGGAGGGGTTGGTTGCGTTGTCTCAAGGGTGGCAGAGGCCGAAGAAAATCCTTGTATATGTGGCATGCACAGCTCAAACCCATATTGTTCAGGGGTCAACTGTTAGCTGTGCAGTGATTTTCTCTCAGCTTCTCGGCTCAGTGAGACCTCGGTTGGGGACCAGCGGAGGGGAGGGCTCTTCAGCTTCTCGCCCTGTGCTGCAGCCCAGACTTCGCCTCCAGGAAGTAAGCCAAGGCAATCATAGGGCTTATCTGGTTTGTTTCTCTTCTCTCAGGATTTGCTTCCTTTGCTTCCTTGCACTGCCTGTTGCTCAGTCTCTGAAAATAGCACTCATTTATTTTGTTTAAGTTTTTATGGCAGGAAGATAGTTCCTGTAGCAGATTATCTTCCATGGGTGGAGGCTGACATTCTGGATAATTTTTTAATTGTTACTTTGATATTGTTCTCCCCATTTAAAAAGTTCTTGCCAAAAAGAAATCTTAAGTCCATTTATAGTTAAGTAGTGTGTAGTGTCCGGAATGTTTTCAAATACATTCAAGGTCAGAGTAAAAACATTAATGATCATACTTGTGTGGACCCAGAAAATCTGAGACAGGTCTCAGTTAATTTAGAAAGTTTTATTTTGCCAAGGTCGAGAATGTGCGCCTGTGATACAGCCTCAGGAAGTCCTGATGACGTACCTAAGGTGGTTGGGGCACAGCTTGATTTTATACATTTTAGGGAGATGTGAGACATCGATATATATAAGAAGTAGATTGGTTCGGTCTGGAAATGTGGACAACTGCAAGCGAAGGCAGGAGGACTGGAAGGAAGCGGGGAGGGCGCTTCCAGGTCACAGATAGACAAAACAGTTGCATTCTTTTGAGTGTCTGATTAGCCTTTCCAAAGGAGGCAATCAGATATGCATTTATATCAGTGAGCAGAGGGATAACTTTGAATAGAACGGGAGGCAGGTTTTCCCTAAGCAGTCCTCAGCTTGAATTTTCCTTTTAGCTTAGTGATTTTGGGGGTCCAAGATATTTTCCTTTCACATTTGCAAACAAATGTGAATACTTGGCAGTCTTATGGGAGATGCTGGTAAACCTTGTGGAGCTCGTGCAAACACAAAACTTCTAATGAAGACATGGCAAGCAGAGAAGATAAGGAAAGACTCAACAGATCCGAGGAGTCAATGTCATTAGAGGGCTGATGTGGTGACTTCTCCCCCGAAGGACATGGCCTAGCAACAGGTGGGAAGGTGATGTGGGAGGAAAGCGGGGAGTTTAGGGAAAGGCAAGGGCAAAAGAGCGTTTGTGAATGACACAAACTTTAGAAACTACAAAGGAGGGAGGTTCAGCCTCACAGCCTCTTGTGGCTGAGGGAAAGCAGTGGAGCTGAAGATGCAGGAGACGCGTTCACAGGAGATGGGCTCCAGGCTCAGCCTTGCCGCTTGCTTTACAGAAGGAGAGACTGGGAAGATCTGTCCCCTTGTGCAGAGGCAGCATGCAAGCACACGAGCCCAAACCCCATGAGGAGCTCCTGCTGCAACTGGGGGCAGTTTCTTCATAAAAGGCAAGTCGGAAAAAAACACATTATTTTCTCTCATAGGGATTTTCCCTTCGAACCTTGTTAACCCAGAATATCTAAGACAGGTCTCAGTCAATTTAGAAAGTTTATTTTGCCAGGGTTGGGGACGTGCCTGTGATATGGCCTCAGGATGTGCCCAAGGTGGTCGGGGGTACAGTTTGCTTTTATACGTTTTAGAGATACATGAGACATCAATCAGTATGTGTAAGCTGTACAGTGGTTTGGCCTGGTAAGTCAGGAAGTGGGGGGCCTCCAGGTCAGAAGTAGACAAGAGACAAAAGGTTGCATTCCTTTGAGTCCTTGATCAGCCTTCCACTGAATACGCAATTTAGTCTGGCTCAGTGAATCTGCATTTTTACATAAACAATAGGGCAGAAGAAGCAATCAGATACGCATGTGTCTCGGGTGAGCCTTAAAGGGATGACTTCTAGAGTTCTGTCCGCTCTTTGTCCACAAGGAATTTCCTGTGGGCAAATTGTGAGGGAGGTATCTTTGTAGCTATCTTACTCAGGAATAAAACGGAGGCAGGTTTTCCTGACATAGTTCCCAGCTTGACTTTTCTCTTGGCTTAGTGACTTTGGGGTCCTGAGATTTATTTTCCTTTCACAACCTTTACTTGAGTAAAAGTTTCTCCTTTAGGAACCACAAAGGCCAGTCAGTCCCTGAGCTTCTGATTCTTTTGTCTCCTTAGTGACTATACTTGTGTGCTGTTTCACCACACACCTTTGAATCCCTTTAAATTCTGCTGAGGTACAGTAAACAATCACCTACCTACATGGTTTGACCTGAGGGATCCCCAGAAGAGTGGTCTTCTGAAATACTGCTGCCATGTGTTTGCCTCAATGCCAGGAGTCCCTCTGTGTGGTGCCTCCAGGCAGTGGCATGGGATGTGGCAAGCTGGCCACCCAGCAGCCCCACGTGAGTGTGACTTGGTGTGTTAGCTTCCAGTCCTCATGACAGTGACAGAGACCAGGCCATGGAGGAATGGGAAAAGAGTGGAACTTGGGATGTGGAAAGCCCTCTAGAGAGAACAAACTTGGAGGGTTAAAAAACCCCAGTGGTAGAGGGCATTAAAGCAGGAGATCAGAAAGAGGAGATGAAGAGACTACAAAACCAAACTCTGCCCATACCATTGCTTGTGTCAGGTTGGGATCAGTGGCTCATGCTTAGTCACTGCTTTGCATTCGTACATCTTCTGTCCAACCTATGTTCCATGGCTGACCTGCCACCCACCACCTGAACTCTGGTCTGAAGGCGTCCTGCAGCAAGCCAGAGCGTGTTCCATGTCACCTGATTGTGCAGACATGGTCTGGGCACCACCCTGTCTACCTTCTGTACTCCACAAAGGGATAACAAACCACCAACCACACAGTAAGACATACCCTTGTACTCAGAGAGAATTTATTTTGGAGCGTTCCTTCTATTCTGACCTTAGCTTTCTGTACTTCCTGTCCTCTGCAACATCGGAGGGTTTGTATTGATGGGAGTTTTGAAAGTGCTAGGCTGACGGTCACAGCCAGTTTATTTCCCCACATCTTTCCTTCTCACAGCCGCATTCTTTGGGTTCTGAATCAGTCTTTTTTTTTTTTTAATTGCAACTACGTCATAGGTATATTGGTTTTTCCTGGAAACAGAGGTGGGGCTGCTTAGGTGATGATGACCTGTTCATTCCCAGACCTCAGCTCCGGTATGAGTATGTCTCACTGAATCCCAACCCACACCCTACATCCTAACCTCATAATAGCATGATAATTATATTACAAAAATAGCAAACAAGGACCATCAAATTTGGGGGTGGGGGCTAGGAGAGGAATGTTCAAAAAGATTTGTCATTCTGAGTTACAGGGTTTCCGAATTAACAAAAAATAACCACTTCAGAGCTAAAGTAATAGGAAAAATAAATACATATTAACCAAACAACATTAGCACTAATTAAGGTCCAAATGTTTAAAATAATTGGCTGGACAGGAAACTGCTGGGCTCCCAGGCATTTACCAAGCACTGAGATTCGCCCGCTGTTGTTATTAATCACTGAGCTTTGAATTGCAAGCATTTTATATTGCATTCTGCCACTGAGCTGTGTTGTGCAACTCTAATCGAATAGCACTGTGTCTTTGGAGCCACATCTGTTGCCTAACATGGTATGTTCACATTCACTCAGACACTGCATAAATTAAAAAACCACGTTTTTATTTTCTGTATTTTATTTATTTATTCTTGAGATGGAGTCTCGCTCTGTCGCCCAGGCTGGAGTGCAATGGCACTATCTCGGCTCACTGCAACCTCTGCCTCCTGGGTTCAAGCAGTTCTCCTGCCTCATCCTTCTGAGTAGCTGGGATTACAGGCACGTGCCACCACGCCCAACTAATTTTTGTATTTTTAGTAGAGATGAGGTTTCACCATGTTGGTCAGGCTGGTCTCAAACTCCTGACCTCAGGTGATCCGCCCGCCTCGGCCTCCAAAAGTACTGGGATTACACGCGTGAGCCACCACGCCCTGCCTATTTTCTGTATTTTAATTTTACTTCACCTTGTAGTTTGTTTTTCCAGCTGAGCCTTCCTCCTTTTATCTAACACACACTGTCAGAATTATATTCCTAAAACACCACTTTGCAAACGTCCTCCCTCTGCCCAAAAGTGGAGGTTGTCAATTACCTGTTGATGAGGTCCACACCGCGTAAATTGGCTCTTGTCATGGAGAACTGGTGGACACCATGAGTAGCAGTGCTGTAAAATGGCCTGGAGCTGCCAATCACTTCTCCCACTGCCAATCACTTCTCACACTGAGGGAGACTACCTAGGCTGAGGGTGGTGGGTCAAATTAAATGACCTCTCTGCCCAGAGTTTTATTGGCCCTGGGGTTGAAACTTGAAACTATCAGGTCAGTCAGATGATCCCTCCCCCACATCTGGAAGTGGGCTGAGAAACCCCTTTTTAGTGAGCCTTGAACAGAGCTGCTCAGCAGCTTTACCTGCTCCCTGTTTCCCCCTGAGCTTTGCACAGCACAGAGAACTGCTCTAGAAAGGAAAAAATAAAGCATGGGCCAGGCATGGTGGCTCATGCCTGTAATCCTAACACTGGGAGGCCGAGGTGGAAGGATCACTTGAGCCAAGGAGTTTGAGACCAGCCAGGGCAACACGGCAAAACCTCATTTCTACAAAACATTTAAAAACCTTAGCTGGGTGTGGTGGCACGCGCCTATGGTCCCAGCTTCTTGGGAAGGCTGAGGTGGGAGGTTGAGGCTGCAGTGAGCTATGATCACACCACTGCACTCCAGCCTGGGCAACAGAGAGAGACCCTGTCTCAAAAAAATAACAAATAAAAATTAAAAAATTAAAGTAAGCCAGGCGTGGTGGCTCAGGCCTGTAATCCCAGCACTTTAGGAGGCCGAGGCAGGTGGATCACCTGAGGTCAGGAGTTCGAGAACAGCCTGACTAACGTGGCGAAACCTCGTCTCTACTAAAAAATACAAAAATTAGCTGGGCGTGGTGGCAGGCACCTGTAATCCCAGCTACTCGGGAGGCTGAGGCAGAAGAATCACTTGAACCTGGGAGGTGGAGGTTGCAGTGGGCCGAGATTGTGCCATTGCACTCCAGCCTGGGTGACAGGAACGAAACTTCATCTCAAAAAGAAATTAAAGCAGGCATGTATAAAGAGCATCAAAGACTCAATAAGAGAAACAGCAGCAATTCAGTGTAAGTCAGAATCGTACAGGATGCTCAAACCCCTTTAGGAATTACAAAATGAAGCAATGAGAAATCACTTTTTGGCCAATGATATTGGCAAATTAAAAACAAAATGGAGGCCATTGCACTCCAGCCTGGTCAACAGGGCAAGACTCCCTCTCAAAATAAATAAATAAATAAATAAATAAATAAATAAATAAATAAAAATGGGGCCAGGTGCAGTGGCTCATGCCTGTAATCCCACCACTTTGGGAGGCTGAGGCGGGCGGATCCCCTGAGTTCGGGAGTTCTAGACCAGCCTGACCAATATGGAGAAACCCCATCTCTACTAAAAATATAAAAATTAGCTCGGTGTGGTGGTGCATGTCTGTAATCCCAGCTACCCGGGAAGGCTGAGACAGTAGAATTGCTTGAACCCGGGAAGTGGAGATTTCAGTGAGCTGAGATCACACCATTGCACTCCAGCCTGGGCAACAAGAGCAAAACTCTGTCACACACACACAAAAAACAAAAAAACCAAAGTGGAATATATGCAGCGAGGGTGGGTGGATAGGCAGGAAGATGCTTAGTTAGACGCAAATAGCATGGGGCTTCCTAGTGGCTTTCTTACCATCTTCAGGAGTGGCGTTAAAGCTTGCTCTGGCTCAGTCCCTGTGTGCATCCATGAGGTCATAGTTCCATGAGGTTCCATCCAGCTCAAGCTCTGTGGCCGGGCCTGAGCCCCAGGGCGTTGTGTGGAGCCACTCCAGAGCCAGGACTCAGGCAGAACCATCCCTGGGCCTCAGGCAGAGCCATTCTGGTTCAGTGCAGTGAACTCCAAAATACGAACTTGGGGGTGGGAGTTCAGGTCTCAGTCCCCAAGGAGCTCTTGGACTCTTACAAGAATGGAGCCACCGCCTCCACAGCTCTGCCAACCCAGGTTTTAGGAAATGGTTATCTAATGGACATCTCAAATCCAAACTTCTAAGGTGGAAATCTTGATCTCAGCCCCCCACAAAAAATAACAGTTTCCACCTGCACCTTTACCAGAGATGGGGCAGGTAAAGGTATCCCTAGTTGCTCCAGAGACAAACCAGTGACCAGAAGCTTGGTGTCATCTGGGTTCCTCTTTCTTAGATTCATGCCCCACCTATTAGAATATTCTTCCAAATGCATTCAAAATCCAGCCTCTTCTCATGACCGACACCTGGTGGGAGCTGCTACCACCTCTCACCTGGGCTAGGCTGGGGCTTCCTGTCTGTTCTTCTGCCCCTGTCCCCAGTCTATTCTCAGAGCAGCAGACCAGGAGCTCCTTGTGTGATGTAAATTATGCTGTGCCACCCCCTGCTCACACCGGCATTGCTGCCCATTTCACGCAGATGCGGAGCCAAAGTCTTATCGGGAAAGAAGTAAAGAAAGGCCACGTGACTTCTCCAGTGTCACTTCCACTTCAGCCCACTGGCCCTGCCAGTCCTTGGAGAGGCCAGGCTCAGCCCTGCCCTAGGGCCTCTGCACTGGTCTTTCCCTCTGCCCAAGATGCCCTTTGCTCAGAAGTCTATGTGGCTACGTCCTTACCTCCTTTAAGGCTTTGTTCAAGTCTTCCTACTGATGCCTGCCCTGACCACTGCCCTCCCCAAGGCCTCCAGTCCCCTGAAACCTGCTCTGCCCTCTCCCATGGCACCAATTCCCTCTGATAGCCCATATAATTCTGTTATTTATTATGGGCATTGTCTGTCCCCCACTTCTTTGACTTATGAAGACAAAGGTCATTCTTTTGTCCACTGAGGGGTTCTGAGCACTAGAAATGATGCTTGGTGCACAGTAGGCACTCAATAAGTATTTGTCTGATAAGCGAATGAATGAATGAATGAGTGAATGAGCAGTGGCTATCAGGTTACTTCAGATACAAGGATGGAGCACCCAGGGGTTCTTCACAAAGATGGGGTGCCCAGCGGGTTGCCCCTCACTTTCCACAGCAGGAAGCCTGGCCCTGCATTGATGCGAGTCCCCTAGAGGTGCCCAGTTTCAGTTCCACCGAGGGAGGTGTGCCACCAGGGCCAAGTAATGCCATCACAGACATTGAGTTGGAGAGGGAAGACCCACCAGCTGCTCACAGTACAACTGCCAGGAGAGAGAGGGCTGGAGGGACGAAAGGAGATATTACATCTTACTCTATTTTATTTTGAATTGCTGGGATTTTAGCATTTAACAAATATTACTTTTTTGATAAAATAATTCACAATTTATTTATATAAACAATTTTAACTTCAGATCTACTGCCTAGTAACCCCCTTGCAGGAAATTGATGTTTACTCTAACCAGTGACATGTTTTGCAGTGCTTTCTTAAGGTGAAATTCACATTTCAAACCCTTTAGAGCCTGTAGCACAACTGCTGACAAAAAGAACCCAACTGGCTCTTTTCTTGCCTTCTATCCTCTGTGACTGGCATCTGCTTCCACTTAGATTTGACATAGCACCATTGCTTCCCCAACTCATCCTCAAGAAACCCAGGGGAAGCAGTGCTAAGATTATGGGCTTATTGGAAAGCAATCTACCCTGATTATACCCTTAGCCAGGCTGACATTCAGCTATAAATACCCACGTTGCCAAATGGATTATAAAACACCACTACAATTCTGTATTCATAGGTACCTTGCTGCAGCTTCTAAGCCCTCCAGATTCCTCCACCACCCGCCCTGCCCTCCCTATCCTCCCATGACCCAGCCACTGAAGGGAGAACAGGGCCCAGCAGGGATGGCTTTTAGGACAGCATCCGCCTGTTCTGACGGGTCAGCGCCCATGCCGGGCTGGTTGTTCGATAGTTTGAATAGCCCTCTGCCCATTTAACCTCCCTTTTCTTCTAATGTTCAGAGCTCTTTAGTCTCATACCTTTTCTCTCTTTCAACCACACCACTTCAAAGTGTTGAATAAATACCTAAATGTTTAGATGTAAATAAAAAAATGCAGAACTTCTTGTTTGAACCTCTCAGATAAGCTCTCCTTGGCTGTATTGCAAGGCCCAAAGCCTGCCCTGTGGAAAGTGGCATAGAGGGTGTGGCCTGGACCACAGGTGCCAGCACCTCAGCAGTGCAAGTGCCATCCTGTACTGAGGGAACATTGGTCTGGGCTTAGAGAAACCTACTTGGCATCAGTTTTCCTTTGTACCTCTAAAGCAAGACCCCAGGTCAGGCACAGTAGCTCACACCTGTAATCCAAAAACAGTCGGAGGCTGAGACGGGAGCATCACTTGAGCCTAGGAGTTCGAGACCAACCTGGGCAACATGGCAAAACCCCATCTCTACAAAAAATCAAAAATTTTTTTAGATGAAGAAAATTAGAACATTTTAGCTGGGCATGGTGGCACACGCCTGTAGTCCCAGCTACTTGAGCCTGGGAGGTTGAGGCTGCAGTGAGCTATGATCACACCACTGCACTCCAACCTGGGCAACAGAGCAAGATCCTGTCTCTAAAAAAACAAAATAAGGCCGAGTGTGGTGGCTCACACATGTAATCCCAGCACTTTAGAAGGCAGAGGTGGGCGAATCTCTTGAGTCCAGGAGTTCAAGAGCAGCCCGGGCAACATGGCGAAACCCCATCTCTACAAAAAGTAAAAAAATTAGCTGGCGTGGTGGTGCATGCCTGTAGTTCCAGCTACTTGGGAGGCTGAAGGTTGCAGTGAGCCTGGGAGGCAAAGGTTGTAGTGAGCCAAGATTGTGCCACTGTACTCCATCCTGAGCAACAGAGTGAGACCCTGTCTCAAAATAAATAAATTAATTAATTAAGTTTAAAAATAACAAAACAAGACTGGGCATGGTGGTTCACTGCTGTGATCCCAGCACCTTGGGAGGCTGAGGCAGGTGATCACCTGAGGTCAGGGGTTCGAGACCAGCCTGGCCAACATGATGAAACCCTGTCTCTACTAAAAATACAAAAATAAGCTGGATATGGTGGTGGGCACCTGTAATCCCAGCTACTTGGGAGGCTGAGGCAGGGAGAATCGCTTGAACCCGGGAGGCAGGGGTTGCAGTGAGCTGAGATTGTGCAGTTGCACTCCAGCCTGGGCAACAGAGCAAGGCTCCCTCTCAAAAATAAATAAATAAGTAAATAAATAATAAAAAATAAAAATGGGGCCAGGTGCAGTGGGTCACGCCTATAATCCCAACATTTTGGGAGGCCAAGGTGGGTGGATCACCTGAGGTCAGGAGTTCAAGACCAGCCTGACCAACATGGAGAAACCCTGTCTCTACTAAAAATATAAAAAAAATTAGCCAGGCATGGGGGTGCATGCCTGTAATTCCAGCTACTCGGGAGGCTGAGGCAGGAGAATTGCTTGAACCCGGAAGGCAGAGGTTGCAGTGGGCTGAGATCGCACCATTGCGCTCCAGCCTGGGCAACAAGAGCGAAACTGTGTCTCAAAAATAAAATAAAATAAAATAAAATAAAATAAAATAAAATAAAATAAAATAAAATAAAATAATAAAAATAACAAAACAAAACAAAACTTTAGCTTTGCTGCCTGCTCCTGGGAAGCAAGCAGCTGCTGCCACCATGCAGTGTGGGGTTTGGAGTCTGATGCCCCACTCTGAGAGCCAGTGCCAGGGCTTTGCAATCCTGCTGCCCCTCACTCTGTCACCCTAGACAGACCACTGAGCCTGGCTGCACTGCAATTCCTTATCTAGAGGTGGAAATCATCACAGCACCTACCTTGTAGGGTTGTAAAGATGAAACAAGGTAATGCATGCGATGCCCTTGGCACTGTGCCTGGCACAAGGGAAGGGCTCATAAAAGCCCTCAGCTCTAGCACATTATCATTTACATATGGAGGGAAGGTCTTTGATCATATTTAAAACAAGTACTTGTATAATAAGAGTGGGCAAATTAGAGAAACAAAATGATTTTAAAAGTGATTTACTCGCTGGGCACGGTGGCTCACGCTTGTAATCCCAGCACTTTGGGAGGCTGAGGAGGGCAGATCACCTGAGGTCCAGAGTTTGAGTCCAGCCTGACCTACATGGTGAAACCCCATCTCTATTAAAAATACAAAATTAGCCAGGGGTGGTGGTGCATGCCTGTAATCCCAACTACTTAGGAGGCTGAGACAGGAGAATTGCTTGAACCTGGGAGATGGAGGTTGCAGTAAGCTGAGATCGTGCCACTGCACTCCTGCCTGGGTGACAGAGCAAGACTCCGTCTCAAAAAAAAAAAAAAGCCAGGTGTGGTCGCTCATGCATGTAATCCCAGCACTTTGGGAGGCCGAGACGGGTGGATCACTTGAGGTCAGGAGTTCGAGAGCAGTCTGGCCAACGCGGTGAAAACCCATCTCTACTAAAAATTCAAAAATTAGCCAGGGGTGGTGGCACACACCTGTAGTCCCAGCTACTCGGGAGGCTGAGGTGGGAGAATTGCTTCAACCCAGGAGGCGGAGGTTGCAGTGAGCCGAGATAACGCCATTGCACTCCAGCCTAGGCAACAGAGCGAGATTCTATCTCAAAAAAAAAAAAAAGTGATTTACTCTATCAGTTATATGTGGATTCCGGCCCCCATTGCCTATTTCTAACATGAATTTGTGTGAAATTGTGGCTTTAAAATGAAATTTGGAGACACTCAAAAGTATACCTGGGCCAAGCCTAGTGTTGGCACAAGGTGGGGCTGAAGGCTCACCTCTGCGAGGTGCCAAAGCCTCAAGGACACCAGAAGCAGTGGCCATGTGTCCAGACCCCACCACCAAGGCCCTGGCCCACAAGGTCCTAGGGGGCAGCCATGGCTTTGGAGAGCCTTCCAGGTGCATCTGGTGAGTTCTACCTTCAACTACCATCAGCAGAAAGCACAGAGTCAGGGAGAAGTGAGCAGAGCATGGGAAGCAGGGAGTGAGGGAGGGGTGAGAGGAGACCTGGGGAAGGATGGGCTGAACCCCCCGGGCACTTTAGCTGTGTCAAGTCAGCAGCTTTGGCATAGAAAATGGGATGGTTGATGATTCCTGAGACAGCAAGATGTGTTCATAATAGGAAGGGGATTCAGCTCTGCTAAGGTGGCAAGGTAGGCAGTTTATGGGACATTCTCTCAGGTGGAGATGCCTGTACCCTGCACTGAGGCCTCCTCCCTATGCCCTCTCTCTGCTTGCCCACATCCAGTCCCAGGGCTTCAAATGCTGTCTGTAAGCTGGTGACACATTTGCGTAGGTCTGCTGAGTTCCAGCTTCCTATCTGCCCCTGGGGACCTGATATCTCCTCAGGGACATCTGAAAGGCAGCGCAACCTTGACATGGCCAAGTGAGAACTTCAGCCGCCCCGGCAAGTCCCCTGCAACTGTCTTCAGCAGCTCCGTCCCTATGCCCAGTAACTTAGGCCAGCATTCTCTGCCCTTCTTGAGCCCACTTCTCCTCACACCCTATAAACGTCACCATTTCCAAACCCCTCACGCCCAGCCATTCCTACCATTGCCAGGGGTGGGATGCAGCAGACCACCCTGCCCCTCCCCTGGGACCCTGCAGTGGCTCCTCACTAGCCTCCCACACCTGCCCTTGCCCCCATAGCTTCTCTGCACAGCAGCCAGAAGAGTCTTACAAAGTCAAATAAGCCACTCTCTTGTTTCACAAGCCTCCAGTGGCTTTCACTCTTGATAAACCCCCAAATCCTTGCCTACACGGTTCTGAGGCTTGCAGGACCAGCTTACCATCATCTCTGTGCCCCCTCCTTCTACGCTTTGATGCCCACTGGCTATGCAGAAGCCTGAGGAAGCCTCGCTGGCCTGGCCTGCCCTCCAACAAGCTGTGCACCAGCCTGTCCTGGCCTCTGCCTGAAATGCTGTCCTGGAGACCCCTCAGCCTGCCTCCTCCTTGCTCAAATCACACAATTATGAGGGGCCTTTCCACACTCAGAGTGAAGCAGCCCCCTTTGTCTCGGTCTATTTTCTCTTCTGCATGGCACTTAGCACCTGAAAGTGTCCGTTGTGTGTTTATCATCTGTTGAGCCCACTTCAGTGCAAGCTCTTAATGGCTGCCTGCAGTCTTGGCTGCTGCTCGCTTCTCCCTGCCCTCCCACTCACCACTAGGCCATGTTCCTCAGGGCAAGAGTTTACAATGCAGTGCATCCTGCCTGGCTCCTTCCCTGTCATCGGGGCTGATGCAGCCAGCTGGTCCAGAGCTCGGGAAGAGGATGTTTTGCAACACCACGCTCCATTTTGGTTTTGAACAAATTGCTATTGACTGCTGGATTTTTCTTTCCTCTTCAAATGAAAGATTTCATGTCCAGGTAGGCTGTTAAAACAGGCCTCCTATAAATCCCTTCCCCAGTGAGCTCAGGGCTGCCCTGGCCGGCTGTGTCAAGTGACAGGCCTGGAATGGAGAGAACCAGGGTCAGTGGTCAGATGGATCCTGCCGGCCCTGCCTGACTCTGGTCACTCATTCTCAGGCTGACACCAGAGCCTTGCCCTCTCCAGGCCCTGTGTGTCCTGCACCCTCACTCTCAGGGCTATGTAGAACTTTCATGGGTCCTGGGCATTTTTGCCTTCCTGGGCCTTTTCCACTATAAAAAATTATTTATTTTATTTTATTTTTTTGAGATTGAGTCTTGCTCTGTCACCCAGGCTGGAGTACAATAGCACGATCTCTGCTCACAGCAACCTCTGCCTCCTGGGTTCAAGCGATTCTCCTGCCTCCGCCTCCCAAGTAGCTGGGATTACAGGCGTGTGCCACAAGGCCCTGCTAATTTTTTGTATTTTTAGTAGAGACAGGGGTTTCACCATGTTGGCCAGGATGGTCTTGAACTCCTGACCTCGTGATCTGCCCACCTCGGCCTCTCAAAGTGCTGGGATTACAGGTGTGAGCCACCAAGTCTGGCTTTAAAAATTATATTTTACAATGATATTGGCATAAAGGCAAATATAATCTAGGCCGATTCATGATTACATACTCATTATATCTACTCATTTTTCTTCTGATTTTAAAAGAAATGAAAATGAAAGTCATATTCACAGGCCCCTAAAGCAAGTCTCATGGGTCCTGTGCTGTGCGCCAGAGCGAGAGTGAGTGAGAGTGGGCTCTGCTTCGCTCCCCTGCATGGCCCTGTATTGGGGGGATGGTACCTGAGACAAGGAGAAAACTTCTGTTTGACGGAATATGAAAAAAATCCAACTTGAGGGTACACTGAGGGGAGGGCCAGCCCAGCCCTGCTTTAAACTTCAGCAGCCTTCCTCCACCTGGGTCTCTTGAAACCCTCCCTCCTCTTGCACTGGCCACCTGACATTTCACATTCAGACCGCTTTTCCTCCAGAGCAGGGTTCCTGGAAGCATGGTGCAGACCCACTTCGTGGAGGAGAGATGGTGAACTGCAAATTCTGAGTCCTACCCAGTTACGAATCTCCAGGACAGGTTCAGGGTTCTTCATCATTAATAAGCCCTCCTGGTAAGGCTTAGGGCCACTGAAGTTTGAGAAAAGCTCCCTGAAGTCTAAATACAAACATCACTTCATCCCCCACAAAGGACAGCCTTGATTAGGAGGTAGAAGCCAAGCAGGAGCAGATGGACTAGAGGGGCCAGCAAGGGCTGAGTGTCAGCTCCAGAACGTGCCTCTGAGCTGAGTGACAAGGAAACCCATACAGCCTCTCAGCGCTCCAGCTTCTTCAGCTAGAAATTGGGAATAACAGCACCTACTTCACTGGGTTGGAAATCAATTGGGACCATGAATTTGTGTTTGGTAAGCTGTGAGAATGTTAGGTACTAGCTCTGCAGAAGTGGTCGTGGTCTTGGGGTTCTTGGCCTGCTGGGGTCCCTGATCCTTGTGCCCAGAGAGTCCATGAGATCAGGATAAAAGCACTCAACAGCTAGGAATGAAAGAAAACTTCCTCAGGCCATTAAAGGGCATCTGCAAAGAGCCCACAGCTAACATCATGATTGAAAGCTCTCAATGAATGATTGATCGAATGATCGAAAGCTTTCCTCCTAAGATCACTCTGTTTTTGCTACTCTTACACTCAACACAATACTTCCAACACCACATGTGTGGGTTTTCCCCATACAGCAATTCTCCAGGGGACACCAGCTGGATATCCTATAATTTAACTCAGTTCTGACACTATCTACCTGGAGTTGGAGTCAGATCCCACAGGTTAAGGGCTCAGGCCCGTAGGACTGCCCCCACTTCAGACGCCAATCATAAGTAGTAGATTACCCACAACTACATGGAGGTTCTTTTTTATTTTTTCTTTTTGAGATAGGGTCTTGCTCTGTCACCCAGGTTAGAGTACAGTGGCATGATCTCAGCTAACTGCAACCTCTACCTCTGGGGCTCAAGTGATCCTCCTACCTTACCTCAGCCTCTTGAACAGCTGGACCAATAGGCACGTTGCATTACACCTGGCTAATTTGTGTGTGTGTGTGTGTGTGTGTGTTTTTCTCTTTTTTAAAAGTTTTTATTTTATTTTATTTTTTTGAGACGGAGTCTCGCTCTGTCGCCAGGCTGGAGTGCAGTGGTGTGATATTGGCTCACTGCAACCTCTTCCTCCCAGGTTCTAGTGATTCTCCTGCCTTAGCCTCCTGAGTAGCTGGGACTACAGGCATGCACCACCACGCCTGGCTAATTTTTGTATTTTTAGTAGAGATGGGGTTTCACCATATTGGCCAGGATGGTCTTGTTCTCTTGACCTCGTAATCTGCCTACCTTGGCCGCCTAAAGTGCTGGAATTACAGACGTGAGCCACTGTGCCCGAGCTTTATTTTATTTTTATTTTTTATTTTTTTTGAGACAAGGTCTCTCTGTATTGCCCAGGCTGGAGTGCAGTGGTGCCATTGGCTCACTGCAACCTCTACCTCCCAGGTTCAAGTGAGTCTCCTGCCTCATCCTTTGAGTAGTTGGAGTTACAGGTGTGTGCCACCACCACCAGGCTAATTATTGTAGTTTTAGCAGAGACAGGTTTTCACCATGTTGACCAGACTGGTCTCAAACTCCTGACCTCAGGTGATCCACCTGCCTTGGCCTCCCAAAGTGCTGGGATTACAGGTGTGAGCCACCACGCCCGGGCTTGTGCTATTTTTAAACATTTAATTTTATGATAAATCCCATAGTAGGTTTTTTTTGGGGGGGTGGGGGTGGGGGCGGGGCGTGGAGTTTCGCTCTTGTTGCCCAGGCTGGAGTGCAATAGTGTGATCGGCTCATTGCAATCTCTGCCTTCTGGGTTCAAGTGATTCTCCTTCTTCAGCCTCCCAGGTAGCTGGGATTACAGGCATATGCTACCACACCCAGCTAATTTTGTATTTTTAGTAGAGACGGGGTTTCACCATGTTTGTCAAGCTGGTCTCGAACTCCTGACCTGAGGTGATCCACCCACCTCGGCCTCCCAAAGTGCTGGGATAACAGGCATGAGCCACAATGCCCAGCCTATAGTACTTTTTGTATTTTTTGTAGAGACTGGATTTCATCATGTTGCCCAGGCTGGTCTCAAACTCCTGGACTCAAGCAATCTGCCTGCCTCAAGCTCCCAAAGTGCTCTCACCATGCCTGGCCTCCTTTTCAGGTTTGATTAATTTGCTAGAGTGGCTCACAGAACTCAGGGAGACACTTAGGCTCACTTAGGCTATTGTAAAGGACGTTACAAAGGATACAAGAACAGCCAGATGAAGAGGTGCACCAGGCAAGGTGTGAGGAAAGGGCATGGAGCTTCCCTGCCCTCTCCTGGAAGCCACTCTCCCAGCACCTCCACATGTTCAGCAACTCAGAAGCTCTCTGAATTCTGTTCCTTTGGGTTTTTATGTAGGCTTCATTACCCAGGCATGATTGATTAGATCACTGGCCATTGGGGGTCAGCTCAACCTTCAGCTCTTCCTCCTTCCCTGGAGGATCAGTTTCAGAAATGAAAGTTCCAACCCTCTAATCATCTGGTTCACCTGGCAGCCAGCCCCCATCCTGAGGCTACCCAGGGGCCCCAGCCATTTGAGCTATGTGCCAGGAAACAGGGAGGAAGATGAAATATATATATTTATTATGAATCACAATATCATAATCACAAGATAAATATGTCCATTCTTGCCACTTCTATTCAACATTGTCCTGGAGTTTCTAACTAGGGCAAGTAGTGTAAACCAAAATGTGTCTGAGACAGGTCTCAATTTAGAAGTTCATTTTGCCAAAGTTAAGGACGCGCCCAGGAGAAAGGTACACCTTTCCCCAAAGATGATTTTGAGGTCTTCAATATTTAAAGGGGAAAAGTGGGCTGGAGAAAGGAGAGGGTCGCATGACTGAATCCACATGTTACAAGAGAAAGGGAGTAGGTAGGGGAATAGTCAATTATGTATTTGTCTGGCACTCAGTAAATTAGCACTTTATTTTTTTTAATTTTATTTACTTATTATTTTATTTTTTTTAAAAAAAATTTATTTATTTTTTGAGATGGATCTTGCTCTGTTGCCCAGGCTAGAGTGCAGTGGTGCAATCTGAGCTCACTGCAACCTCTGCCTCCCGGGTTCAAGCAATTCTCCTGCCTTAGCCTCCTGAGTAGCTGGGATTATAGGTGCCTGCCATCGCACCTGGCTAATTTTTGTATATTTAGTAGAGACCGGGTTTCACCATCTTGGCCAGGCTGGTCTCAAACTCCTGACCTCGTGATCCACCCGCCTCGGCCTCCCAAAGTGCTGGGATTACAGGCGTGAGCCACCGCACCCAGCCTTATTTTATTTTTTGAGACAGGGTCTCACTCTAGTTGCCCAGGCTGAAGTGCAGTGGTGCAATTTCTGCTTACTGCAGCCTCCACCTCCCAGGCTCAGGTGATTCTCCTACCTCAGCTTCCTGAGTAGCTGGGACTACAGGCACGCACCACCATGCCTGGCTAATGTTTTGCACTTTTAGTAGAGACAAGAGTTTTGCTATGTTGCCTAGGCTGATGTCAAACTCCTGGACTCAAGCAATCTGCCCACCTCTGCCTTCCAAAGTGTTGGAATTACAGGCATGAGCCACCGCGCCCAGCCTAATCAGCACTTTACATAAGATAAGGTGAACATAGAGTAGCTACTTGTAGAGATATTTAACCTTTTATCTGCAGCTATCTGCTTAGGAGCAAAAGGAAAGGCAACTTCTCGCAGGACTCAGCTTTCAGCTTAATTTTTTTCTTTTGGCAGAGTGACTTGAGGTCCCAAATTTTATTTTCCTTTCACACTAGACAAGAAAAAGAAGTAAAAGGCATCCCAGTGAAAAAGTAAGAGATAAAATTTGTCTGTATTCACAGATGACATGATCTTATATACAGAAAATCCTAAGAAATTCACTAAAAAATTATTTGGACCAATAAATGAGTTCAGCAAGGCTGCAGGATAGAAGATCAATATATAAAAATCAAATGTATTTCAATATGCTTGCAAACAACAATCCAAAAATGAAAATTAAAAACAAACCAAAAAAAAAAAAAAAAAAACCCAGTTCCACGGGGTGCGGTGGCTCACGCCTGTAATCCCAGCACTTTGGGAGGCCGAGGCGGGTGGATCACTTGAGGTCAGGAGTTTGAGACCAGCCTGGCCAACATTGTGAAATCCCGTCTCAACTAAAAATACAAAAATTTGCTGGGCATGGCGGTGGACGCCTGTAATCCCAGCTACTCAGGAGGCTGAGGCAGGAGAATCGCTTGAACCCGGGAGGCAGAGGTGGCAGTGAGCTGAGATCTTACCATTGCATTCCAGCCTGGGCAACAAGAGCAAAACTCCATCTCAAAAAACAAAAACAACAAAACAACAACAACAACAACAAAACAGTTCCTAGGCCAGGCACAGTGGCTCACACCTGTAATCTCAGCATTTTGGGAGTCCAAGGCGGGTAGATCAATTGAGGCCAGGAGTTCAAGACCAGCTTGGCCAACATGGTGAAACCCCATCTCTACTTAAAATACAAAAATTAGCTGGGTGTGGTAGCAGGTGCCTGTAGTCCCAGCTTCTCAGGAGGCTGAGGCAGGAGAATCGCTTGAACCCGGGAGGCAGAGGTTGCAGTGAGCCGAGATCACACCATTGCACTCCAGCCTGGGCAACAGAGTAAAAGTCTGTCTCAAGAAAACAAAAACAAAAACACAAAACCATTTCCATTTGTGATAACATTAAAAGGAATAAATTACCTAAACATAAATTTAACAAAATGAGCAAAACTTATACTTTGAGAACTGCAAAACTGACAGAAATTTAAAAAGATCAAAAAAAGTGGAAAATAATAGGCATTGGCAGGAATGCAGAGAAACTGGAACCCTCACATATTGCTGGTGGAAATGTAAAATGATGCGGCCACTTTGGAAGAGAGTCTGGTGGTTCCTCAAATAATTAAACAGAGTTACAATCTGGCCCAGCACTTCTCTGAAGGTATGAACCCAAGAGACATAAAAGCATATGACCACCTAAAAATTTGTACACAAATGTTTATAGTAGCATTTTCCATAATAACCAACAAGTGGAAATAACCTGTCCATCAACTGATGAATGGATAAAGAAAATGTGGTATATCCATACAATGGCGTATTACTCAGCCATAAAAAGGAATGAAGTACTAATACATGCTACAACATGGATGAACTTAGAAACATTATGTGAAGTGAAAGAAGCCAGTCACAAAAGACCATATATTATAGGATTACATTTATACAAAAGTCCAGAATAGGCAAATCTGTAGAGTAGATTTGTAGTTGCTCAGGGTTGGGAATGGGAGGTAGAGAGATGGATCAAGGTACAGGAGGATGACAGCTAACAAGTACCAGGTTTCTTTTTGAAGTGGTGAAACCATTCCAACATTGACTATGGTGACTGTTGCCACATCAACCCTGTGACTTAAAAACAATTTAATTACGGCCAGGCGCAGTGGCTCACGCCTGTAATCTCAGCACTTTGGGAGGTCGAGGCAGGCAGATCATGAGGTCAGGAGATCAAGACCATCCTGGCCAACATGGTGAGGAGATTGAGACCATCCTGGCCAACATGGTGAAACCCCGTCTCTACTAAAAGTACAAAAATTAGCTTGGCATGGTGGCACATGCCTGTAATCCCAGCTACTCGTGAGGCTGAGGCAGGAGAATTGCTTGAACCAGGGAGTCAGAGGTTGCAGTGAGCTGAGATTGTGCCACTGCATTCCAGCCTGGCAACAGAGTGAGACTCCATCTAAAAAAAAAAAAAAAAAAAAAGAAACAAAAACAAAAAGCAATTTAATTACATGCCTGAGTGGGTAAATTGTGTTGTATGTGAATTATATCTTTTTTTTTTTTTTTTGAGATGGAGTTTTCCTGTTGTTGCCCAGGCTGGAGTGCAATGGCATGATCTGGGCTCACCGCAACCTCCGCCTCCCAGGTTCAAGTGATTCTCCTGCCTCAGCCTCCTGAGTAGCTGGGATTACAGGCATGCACCACCACACCCGGCTAATTTTTTTTGTATTTTTAGTAGAGATGGGGTTTCTTCATGTTGATCAGGCTGGTCTCAAACTCCCAGCCTCAGATGATCCTCCCACCTTGGCCTCCCAAAGTGCTGGGATTACAGGTGTGAGCCACCGCACCTGGCTGTGATATATCTTTTTTTTTTTTTTTTGAGGTGGAATCTTGCTCTGTCGCCAGGCTGGAGTGCAATGGTGGGATCCCCGCTCACTGCAACCTCTGGCTCCCCGGTTCAAGCAATTCTCCTGCCTCAGCCTCCTGAGCAACTGGGACTACAGGTGTGCGCCACTACACCCAGCTTATTTTTGTATTTTTAGTAGAGATGGGGTTTCACCGTGTTGGCCAGGATGGTCTCGATCTCTTGATCTCGTGATCCGCTAGCCTCGGCCTCCCAAAGTACTGGGATGACAGGTGCTAGCCACCACGCCTGGCCCATGAATTATATCTTAATAAAGCCGTTAAAAAAATTGGAAGGACTGGGGAGAGTCCATAGATACCTTAGATCAACAAGGGGTCTGCTTAGAAGGCCTTTTCATAAGCATCGACCAAGATGATTCCTCTGGGCATCATGAATTTCCAGGCTTGGCCACAGTGATGATTATTCTTTAAGCAAAAATTCATTTATTTCTCTTCCTTGACCAACATTTATGTAGATTGAAATTTGATGTCAAGCCTCAAGCTGGGAGTAACAGGAGGAAGTGAGCCTCTGGAAACTGCTGTTCTACCGAGGACTCGTGATCGGCTGCACCTGGCTAGATTCTGGACTATCACTGCCCTTACCAGCCAGCTTCGGCCAGCTAAAGTCAGCTGCTCTTTGTGGTTGACATAAATTTCATTTGACATTTCTACTGACTTCAGAAACTTTTGCCAATAGAACATGTGATGGGGAGACCAGTATGAAATACTGAACCTCCTCCTGCACGCCTCCACGCCCTTGTGTAACCTTCTGATCATTATATATATATACACACACATATATATCAATCTTTATACACACACACATACACTCACACACACACACACATATATATATATACAGTCCCTTCAGTGACACAGCATCACCGTGACAGCCACTATAGCAGCACTTGCAACCTATCAGTGGTTCTTAATTCTGGCTACATCTTAGAATCACCTAAGGAGCTTTAAAAAAAATGGCAACGTGTGGGCTCCATCCCAGACAAATTGAAACCAAATCTCTTTCACAGGTAAGACCTGAGTATCAGAGCCTTTTAAAAGCCCTAGAGGTGATTCTTATGCACCATGTGGGGCTGAGAATCACTGTTACCAGGCAGGCAGTGAGGTAATGCAGTTCCCCTACTGAAGTGCAGGTCTGTAAGAACTTGGTGTGCCAAATGTAAATTCTCAAGGCAGGGATCCAGGCACTAAATAATGCCATCATTGTTTACAGTTCTGATGGGACCTAATCCATCATTTCATCCAATCTCCTTAGTTTTCACATGTGTAAATAACTCCAAAGATGTGAGTTGCCAAGGTTACCTGATTTGCTCTTCTCCCCAGAAGATCTGAGAGCCCCTTCAGGCTGGGACCTCACAGCAGGGCACTGCTTTCTGGCAAAAGCCCTCCCTCTCCTGATTGTCACTGGCCCAGCTTCAGGGGAAGGCGGCCCTTCTAGCACAATGCCAGATGTGGGCACCTTTCTAGCTAGGCCTCTCCTCACCCAGCTCAGCAGCCTTGCTCACCTGAGATGAATGCCTATCAAGTCACAGATGCCACCAAGAGGGCTGGTGCAGCATCACTAAGATCACACAGAATGTGCCGCTGTGATCAGGATGTGAGCTGCCCCAAAACAAGATGGGGCAACTGCATTTCTGGAACTGCCAGAAATATTAATTCATATCATTACTACAAGTTCCTTCTTGAAGACTTCTGAGTAGACACTGGTTAGTATTTACAAGGACATTAAAAACCTCCCTCGGAACACGAACTTTCTTTTGTGTACACGCTGCGGCTTTCTTCCTTTGCACCCTCTCCCAAGGAAGCAAAGCCAGACATGTTTCCTCAGCAGCTAAATGCTGTTATACCAGAAATTCCACACTGCGCCACAGGCTGATGGAACACAGGACGTGTGATTTGTTTCCAAAGTGGCAGACTCATAAAAGCTAAGCCTGTGCAGAAACACGCTGGGCATGCATAAAAAATAATGAGATCAGGGATGCCTCCGCAGGCAGGTATCAGAGCAGAGACAGAATCAGAATTGCTGTGCTGGAATTCGCTCAGAAGGTGCCTTTTACTAGTCCATTTAAGGCCCAAAGATAAAAAAAACAGCATTGATCTCCAAGGCCGCACAGCTAGAGGCAGAAGCAGGATGAGGCCATCAGAAAGGGTGGTGGCTGTTTCGGTCTTCCAATTCAGTGTTTTCCTCACAAATATCAATCCACCGCTTTTTAACTTTCCCATTTCTTTCAGTATTTTATTTTATATATGAATATGTTACCCTCAGCCCTAGGTGCTGGAGGCCCGCTAGTGTCTGCCAGTCAGAGGGAACACCATAGCCCCATGGGTGCAGCTGGCAAGGTGGCCCTACAACGAGGGGTCTCCTGAGCGAGCAGCCACCTTGCCCCAATTCCCACCAGCCTGCCCGTGGGCCACGCCTCTCTAGGTGGGCTCTGGGTGGTCTCCACGGAGCCCACTTGTCCTCAAGAATCCTGTGCAGCCAGCTGGCTCATTTAGGGATTTAGGCAACACATTTGCTTCAGTGGGAACACAAGGAAGTCCTATTTTCAAAGTCAAATAGCCTACAGAGCTTTAGTGAGGCATGTGTGTGTGTATGTGGAGTGGGGTGGAGAGGAGGATGGCAGGCTAAGAGGCCATCCAGGTTAAAATCGATTTTAGAGTTGGCTGAGCTGAGAAGGTTGCAACCATCCTGTCAGCACCAGGTCCTGGGGCCCTGCGGACTTGTTTGTCGGCATCCTGGAGCATAGCCCAGAGAACTTGTTGAAGAGCATCTTGATGCTGCTTGCAGGACACCTCCCCTTTCATAGAGGAGTTAATCTACACTAAGACCTGCTGGCCACAGGCCAGACACGGAAAGAGGCAGAGCCTGGCACTGCTCCGGCTCAGTGTGAACATGCTCATAGCTGGAAGGGAGGGTTCATAGCCCACAGCTCTCTAGTGTTTGTCAAACCCTCTCCCATCTCTGTACTGTTCCCAAGGATAGCACATTCCCCATTGGTCCTTCTCTTTTGTTTCAATTTTTATTTCAAGATCCAAGTTACATGTGCAGGATGTGCAGGTTTGTTACATAGATAAACGTGTGCCATGGTGGTTTGCTGCAGAGATCAACCCATCACCTAGGTGTTAAGCCCAGCATCCATTAGCCATTCTTCTGATGCTCTCCCTTCCCTCACCCTCCCCACGACAGGCCTCAATGTGTGTTGTTCCCCACCATGTGTCCTTCTGTTTTCATTGTTCAGCTCCCACTTATAAGTGAGAACATGTGTTTTGTTTTCTGTTCCTGCATTAGTTTGCTGAAGATAATGGCTTCCAAATCCATCTATGTCCCTGCAAAGGACATGATCTTGTTCCTTTTTATGGCTGCATAGTACTCCATGGTGTATATGTACCACATTTTCTATCATTGATGGGTATTTGGGTTGATTCCATGTCTTTGCTATTGTGAATAGTGCTGTAGTGAACATACAGTCATGTATCTTTATAATGGAATGATTTATATTCCATTGCGTCTATACCCAGTAATGGGATTGCTGGTTCATACGGTATTTCTGCTTCTAGATCTTTGAGGAATCATCACACTGTCTTCTCCAATGTTTGAATTAATTTACACTCCCACTAACAGTTTAAAAGTGTTCTTTCTCCACAACCTCACCAGCATCTGTTGTTATTATTGGCATTCTTTTTTTTCTTTTTCTACTTTTTTGAGACAGAATCTCACTCTGTCACCCAGGCTGGAGTGCAGTGGTATGATCTTGGCTCACTGCAATCTCTGCCTCCTGGGTTCAAGCTGTTCTACTGCCTCAGCCTCCTGAGTGGCTGGGACTACAGGTGTGTGCCACACGCCCGGCTAATTTTTGTGTTTTTAGTAGAGACGTTTCACCCTATGTTGGCCAGGCTGGTCTCAAACTCCTGACCTCAAGTGATCCACCAGCTTTGGCCCCCCAAAGTGCTGGGATTACAGGTATGAGCTACCACACCTGGCCAATAATTGCCATTCTGACTGGAATAAGATGGTATCTCATTGTGGTTTCAATTTACATTTCTATAATGATCAGTGATGTTGAGCTTTTTTTCATATATTTGTTGGCTGCATGAATGTCTTCTTTTGAGAAGTATCTGTTTATATCCTTTGCCTACTTTTTAATGGGGTTTTTTTTCCTGTAAATTTGTTTAAGTTCCCTGTAGACTCTGGACATTAGACCTTTGTCAGATGGATAGACTGCAAAACTTTTCTCCCATTCTGTATAGGTTGTCTGTTCACTCTGCTAATAGTTTCTTTTACTGTGTAGAAGCTCTTTAGTTTAATTAGATCCCATTTGTCAATTTTTGCTTTTGTTGCAATTGCTTTTGGCGTTTTCATTATGAAATCTTTGCCCATGCCTATGCCCTGAATGGTATTGCCTAGATTTTCTTCTAGCATTTTTATAGTTTTGGGTTTTACATTTAAGTCTTTAATCCATCTTGTGTTAATTTTTGTGTAAGGTGTAACAAAGGGGCCCAGTTTCAATTTTCTGCTTATGGCTAGCTGGTTTTCCCAGCACCATTTATTAACTAGGGAATCCTTCCCCCATTGCTTGTTTTTGTCAGGTTTGTCAAAGATCAGATGGTTGTAGGTGTGCAGTCTTATTTCTGAGTTCTCTATTTTGTTCCATTGGTCTATGTGTCTGTTTTTGTACCAGCACCATGCTGTTTTGGTTACTATAGCCTTGTAGTATAGTTCGAAGTCAGGTAGCATGATGCCTCCAGCTTTGTTCTTTTTGCTTAGGATTGTCTTGGCTTCTCAGGCTCCTTTTTGGTTCCATATGAATCTTAAAATATATTTTTCTAATTCTGTGAAGAATGTCAATGGTAGTTTAATGGGAATAGCATTGCATCTATAAATTACTTTGGGCAGCATGGCCATTTTCACGATATTGATTTTTCCTACCTATGAGCATGGAATGTTTTTCCATTTGTTTGTGTTCTCTCTGATTTCCTTGAGCAGTGGTTCTTGAAGAGGTCCTTCACCTCCATCAATCCTTCTCTTATTGGACACAGTTATTTCAACATGGAAGGGGGACAGGTAGGTGGTGGGCACACTCCTCAGAACACTGTTGGAGTTGGCTGGGTCTTAGGTGAGTTTTAAAAGCCAAACCCCAAGGGTGCGCCTTGTACCCCACCACTGAGCTTACCCTGGGTCCTGCAGTGAGCTGGCAAGGCACCTGCAGTGAGATAAAACCTTGAAACTCAAATTGCCGGTTTTCTCGCCAGCTTTTGCACCCCTCCTCCCAGAAGCTTCAGGAAGCCAGCCTGCCTCCAGGGAAGTCAGGACTTTGTGGCAGGACTACAAAGATAACAGAAGAGGGAATGTATGGTCTTTACTTCTGAGACTCCAAAAGTAGGGAGGGCACGGAGGTATGCCAGGCCAGGGGCAGTCGGGTCTGGGCACCCTACCCCCAAAGGGGTTCTTGGACTAGGGTAAGCGAAAGCAGTGTTAGGCCTCCCCTTGGGGGAGGTGAGGCAAACCTGAGTCAAACAAGGTGGGAGAACAGGGTGATCAGAGGCTGCTGGCACCTTGGTGGCAGTGCTTACTCACTCATGGGCTCCCTCTGTAACTACTTGCTGAGTGGCCACCGTGTGCCAGGCTGCTCTAGATACTGGGGATTCTGCAGTGACAGAACAGACCAAAGCCCCTGCTCCCCTCAGAACACATCCCAGGTGGGAGGATGACAGTGAACACAGGGGTGACTTCGCCCTCCCCTCCCTCTTGGTTGTTCCTCACTTGCAGGAGGAGGTCCTCCCACCTGAGCCCAGATACCTCTTGGGGCCCAAGTGTACTCCTGGATGCCTGAGAGCTCCACATCCACTCCACAGGGTGAGGGTCTTGATGCCAGAAAGTGGAGGGGGTGGAAGAGAAGGAGCTAGTGCCTGGTCACGATGGCCTGGACAGGGGAGAAACCCATGGTGCTTGGGTATCAATAACCACCTTATCCAAATTGCACTTCACCATGGTGCCATGGACTTTCATTAGTGGGGAGATGAACTCCCTCCCTGTAGGCTGGCATTTCTTGCTGCTCTCATGCCATCCTGGGGCTCTGTGGGAAGTAGTGGTATTTTTAACTGGGACCATGTTCAGGACCTCTATCACCTCATTTTGTCAGTCTTCTTGCTGAGGACTCTCGGGAGAAAAGTCACTGTTACGGTGCCAGAAATGGTACTTTTTCTGAATGCTGCTTTGAGTTTCATATTTTTATACTGCAAGTTACAAAACTGAGGTTGTATCTTTTTTCTTTTTTTTCTTTTTTGAGACGGAGTCTTGCTCTGTCACCCAGGCTGGAGTGCAGTGGTGTGATCTTGGCTCACTGCAACCTCTGCCTCCCGGGTTCAAGTGACTCTCTTGTCTCAGCCTCCTGAGTAGCTAGGATGCCAGGCATGTGCCACCACACCTGGCTAATTTTTGTATTTTTAGTAGAGAGAGAGTTTCACCACATTGGTCAGGCTGGTCTCAAACTCCTGACCGCAGGTGATCCACCCGCCTTGGCCTCCCAAAGTGCTGGGATTACATGTGTGAGCCACTGCTCCCAGCTGAGGCTGGTTTTTGTTTTTGCTTTTGGTGTGTGTGTGTGTGTGTGTGTGTGTGTGTGTGTGTGTGTTTGTGTTTTCCACCTGCAGAACGGAGGTGGCCGGGTGCAGTGGCTCATGCCTGTAATCCCAGCACTTTGGGAGGCTGACGCAGGCGGATCACTTGAGGTCAGAAATTCGAGACCAGCCCGGCCAACATAGCAAAACCCTGTCTCTACTAAAAATACAAGAGTAGCGGGGTGTGGTGGCTTGCACGCCGGTAGTCCCAGCTACTTGGGAAGCTGAGGCAAGAGAATCGCTTGAACTCTGGAGGCGGAGGTTGCAGTGAGCCAGGATCGCACCACTGCACTCCAGCCTGGTGACAGAGCCAGATCCTATCTCAATAAAAACCCCCCAAAAAACAAAAAACAAACGAACAAACAAACAAAACAAAACTGGAGGTGATGATGCCCCCTCCAGGATCCCTTTGTGAAGGGTGAAGATTATACAGGCAGGGTCCGTGTCGCAGAGGAGACCGTTTCCAAGGAGGCTGTGTGATCATTAACCACTTTCGTTACTAGGCTACTAACAAGCTGCATGATCCTGGTCAGCTTCCTAACCTCACCAATCCTGCTAACCAAGGAGTCTTCGAGTTTTTTTAGTTTTTGCGTTTTACATTTTCCCAAAGTCCTGTGGCTAGGAGGGGCTGAAACAGGGCTAAATGTGCAAGTGCTCTGGAGAGTGGGGAGCCACACCCTCCGGCCCACCGCAGGAAATCCACCCACTGAGAGGGAATGTGGTCGGGGATAGGCTTGGAGAACCTTTGGGGCCTCCCAGGAGATCCCAGTGGACAGAGGCAGGGAGGTGCCCTCACACTGGCTGCATGCCACTACATGACATGCCCTGTTAATCAATTACCTCAGGAGATGGTGCTTGGCTCCTGCCAACCTCAGAGCTGCATGCTGAGACTGAATGAGAACTGGCTAGATGGAAGCCCTAACTTCAGGGGGCTACAGTTGGAGGCGCGTGGGGGTCAGGCACCATGTACTGCCCTGGTGCTTCCTAAACCACAAGCACTGTGCATCACCTTCACGGTTTCTGCTCTGATACCTAAACTGGTAGTTTCTAATACCTCCCTCGAAATCAACTCACATCTTTCACTATGACAAGAAAACAAGCAATGTTCTAATACGTTAAGAAAACACTTAAATATTAAAACAACAACGAACTGTTTACCTATGGGGTAGTCTACCCCATATCTTACTTGATAAACACCAGAGATACAAATAACCTGTGGGAAACGATGAACTTTTTGAAGGGATGCTCACCACAGTTCCATGAGATAGGTTTTATCTTTCCTATTTTTCAGATGGGAAAATGAAGGTCAAGATTTGAAGTCTTACTTAAGGTCACCTAGCTAGTAGTGGGTGGAGCTGGGACTCCAAGCCGAGTCCGTATCCTGGAAGTCTGTGTCCTTTTCACTACATGTACCTGCTCAATGGATCCTTTATTCCTGAAAACCTATTTTACATAGCACACCTGCACATGGGGTGAGATGACTGATTTGCCCTCTCACAAACTCCCAACACAACCGGAGGCTCAGGTCCAGCGAGTCAGTGATGGCCACCCCTCTACAGAGAGCACATCTGATGATGCCCTGGGGCACAGAGGGCATCCAGTGCTCAGAGTGGCCTCATGCTAACTGAAGGCTTAGTTTTTAACATCTCTGGACTCTTCGAGGCAGAATAATTAATCCAGATGCCTGCTTACCCAGGGCTTCCCTTTGGCCATGGCACTAAGAATGACCTCTTAAAAATACCTACAGTATGTTTTTATGAGAAATATTAACTTCTAAAGATGTCTACAATGTCTACAACAGTATGTCCCAGCCCACATGCTCCCTAGAACCTTGCCACTTCCTTATCAAGAGGCAAAGTCTATGCTCCTTCCCCTTGAAAGAGGGCAAAACTTTGTGCTCTGTAGACCAAGAGGTTACTGAGGAATTGACACTGACTTCCAAGGCCAAGCCATGAACCTACCATGCGAGTATGTCTTACTCTTTAGTGATGCTTGCTCTTGGAACCCAGCCACCATGCTGTGAGGAAGCCCAATAGCCTGTAGAGAGGCTCGCATGGAGAAAAAATAAGGCCCTTGTCACACAACCTCTGCCTTGCCTCAGAAGCCAGCAGCAACTTGTTAGCTATGTATGTAAGCCATCTCTAAAGTGGCTTCTTCAGGCCCAGTCAAGTTCCCCCAGATGACACAGCAAGTGGCAGAGATGAGCTGTCCTCACTAAGCCTTGCCCAAACTGAAGATTCATTAGCAAAATAGATGATCGTTGTCATTCTAAGTTAGTATGTTGTGGGGTAACTTGTTAATCAGCAATAGGTAACTGACACGGATACTACTAAATACAGTAAATAATACTATTTTTTATTTTTAAAAAATTTATTTTTTTTTATTTTTTGAGATGGAGTCTCGCTCTGTTGCCCAGGCTAGAGTACAGTGGCACGATCTTGGCTCACAGCAACCTCCGCCTCCTGGGTTCAAGCGATTCTCCTGCCTTAGCCTCCCGAGTAGCAGGGATTACAGGTGCCCGCCACCGCACCTGGCTAATTTTTGTATTTTTAGTAAAGAGGGGTTTCACCATCTTGGTCAGGCTGGTCTCGAACTCCTGACCTTATGATCCACCTGCCTTGGCCTCCCAAAGTGCTGGATTACAGGCATGAGCCACTGTGCCCGGCAATGCTAGATTTTAAAGAATATATATACAGTGGTGTGCTAGTAAAGGTTTGGTTCTCTAGATCGAAAAGGAAAAAAGCCCCGATTACTGATTTCTGTGGTGTAAATGCTCCCATCATAGCTGATTTCAAGCTTTCAGTGGTTTAACAGTCAGCTTGCTAAATTCCTGAGAATTTAACATTCGGTACCATCTGGCTCAAGCACACCACTGTATGTGTAGTAAAAGGATTAAAAAATGCAGGGCAGACAAAATCCCCAAATGGCTGGAGAGCATTCAGCTGTTACTAGCCTTTTTGGACACAGCATAGATTTAACAGCTCTGCCATGTGAAGATAGCTGCTGACATTGCAAGAGGGAGGAGCACACTGCCCTGGGACTCCCAGTCCAGCAAAGCCAGTGCTGGAAGGCCACAACTTTCCAACTTATTTTTTCATCTCTGACCAGCAGACGTTCCTTCACGTAGGAGAAAGGAACTCTATTTTGTAGATGGGTTGAAAACATCAATATAAAAGATATTTACTTCTGGTTCCAAATGGCACACACCCAAACATGTTTTCATGACAAAACAATTTCTCTAATTCTATTTGTATTTTTCTCATTTAAAAAATACAAAGCTGGCTGGGAGCAGTGGTTCATGCCTGTAACCCCAGCACTTTGGGAGGCTGAGGCGGGCAGATAACTTGAGGTCAGGAATTCGAGCCCAGCCTGGCCAACATGGCGAAACCCCATCTCTACTAAAAATACAAAAATTAGCTGGGTGTGGTCACTAATCCCAGCTGTAATCCCAGCTACACGGGAGGTTGAGGCAGAAAAATCGCTTGAACCTGGGAAGTGGAGGTTGCAGTGAGCCGAAATCACGCCACTACACTTCATCCTGGGCGACAGAGTGAGACTCTGTCTCAATTAAAAACAAAAACAAAAACAAAACACTATTGGAGATGTGGTAAAGGTAACTGAAGACCAGAAAGGAAAACTCCCAGGTGTCCTGGCTGAAGGAAGGAGGGAAGTGCAGTGCGGTGGTATATTAGTCTGTTTTCACACTGCTATAAAGAACTTCCCTGAGACTGGGTAATTTATAAAGGAAAGAGGTTTAATTGACTCATAGTTCCACATGGCTGGGGATGCCTCAGGAAACTGACAATCATGGTGAAAGGGGAAGCAGGCACCTTCTTTACAAGGCGGCAGGAGAGAGCATGTGAAGGAGGAACTGTCAAACATGTATAAAACCATCAGATCTTGCCAGAACTCACTCAGTATCAGGAGAACGGCATGGGGGAACCGCCCCCATGATCCAATCACCTTTCTCCCTCAACACGTGGGGATTACAGGTCCCTCCCTCAACACATGGGGATTACAATTTGAGAAGAGATTTGGGTGGGGACACAGAGCCAAACCACATCAGGTAGATTGTGAGGTTGACACCTAAGCCCTGGCCAGGAACATGTTATATCACTTTGAGGAAAGGTTCAGAGAAAGAGACACCTTATTGTCCATCACATGGGCTTTGAAAAGCTGTTTCTTTGGATGGTTTGAATAAACCTCTTGCTGATCTGCTTGTGCTTTCTAAGAGGTGTTCCTCTAAAGATGTAAGAATAAAAAGTGAGTTTACTCCAAAGAGCATCCAGTTGACTTGGTCCCCTTTGAGGCTACTTCAGAAAGAAGAATGACTAGCTTCAGCCCTTCCTCCAGTGTCTCCATGACCACAGAGGAAGGGATGTGTAAGACGGAAAACTGGATGACTTGTAAAAGTTAACAGAAGTGAAGCAGAGACAGAGAGAAGTAAAATGCATTCAAGAGGTATTCAGTTTGGGGACTGCCTTAGTTCAGCCTGCTATAACAAAGTACCATAGATTGGGTGACTCATAAATAACATATATTTCTCACATTTCTAGAGGCTAGAAGTCTGAGATCAAGATGCCAGCATGGTCTAGTTCTGGTGACAGTCCTCTTCTGGGTTGCAGACAGCTGACTTCATGTGTCCTCACATAGTGGAAAAGTTGAGGGATCTCTCTGGGGTCTCTCTCTCTCTTTTTTTTTTTTTTTTTTTTTTTTTTTTTGAGACAGAGTTTCACTCTTGTTGCCCAGGCTGGAGTGCAGTGGCGCAATCTCAGCTCACCACAACATCTGCCTCCCAGGTTCAAGCGATTCTCCTGCCTCAGCCTCCCAAGTAGCTGGGTTTACAGGCATGCACCACCATGCCCAGCTAATTTTGTATTTTTAGTAGAGACAGGGTTTCTCCATGTTGGTCAGGCTGCTCTTGAACTCCCAATGTCAGGTGATCTGTCCGCCTTGGGCTCCCAAATTGCTGGGATTACAGGTGTGAGCCACCGCGCCCGGCCAAGGGGCCTCTTTTATAAGGGCAGTAATCCTTACCACTTTATTACCTCCCTAAATGCCCCACCTTCTAACATCTTCACCTGGGGTTTAGGATTTCAACATATGAGTTTTTGGGGACACATTCAGTTTATTTGCAGCAACCAAAGGAGAAATTAAAAATTAGTGTAAAATTTAAACTTTTGTGTATCGGGAGTTGGTCCAATAGTAGGAGAATTAGTTGGAGTAAATATTGGAAGATGACCCAATATTTGAAACATCTTCCAATGGATTCCATGTGTCCAATTCAAATAGCTCAATTTTTAGTTTTTTAATTTTTTTTTTTCTTTTGAGATGGAGTCTCACTCTGTTGCCCAGGCTGGAGTGCAGTGGCGTGATCTCAGCTGGCTGCTACCTCCGCCTCCCAGGTTCAAGCAATTCTCTTGCCTCAGCCTCCAGAGTAGCTGGGACTACAGGTGTGCACCACCACGCCTGGCTAATTTTTGTATTTTTAGTAGAGACAGGGTTTCACCATATTGGCCAGGCTGATCTCGAACTCCTGACCTTGTGATCCGCACTCCTTGGCCTCCCAAAGTGCTGGGATTATAGTCGTGAGCCACTGCGCGCGGCCACCAGACTGGTCTTGAACTCCTGACCTCAGGTGATCCCCCCAGCCTCGGCCTCCCAAAGTGCTGGGATTACAGGCAGGAGCCACTGCGTCTGGCCTGTTTCATTTCTTAAGCTGGAGGGTTTGATACTTAAGTATTTTTCTTCTTTCTCTTTTTCTTTTTTTTTTTGGCGAGGAGGGCAGGGTCTCACTCTGTCACCCAGGCTGGAGTGCAGTGGCACCATCATGACTCACCACAGCCTCCACCTCCCAGGGCTCAGGTGATCCTCCCACCTTGGCTTCCCAAGTAGCTGGGACTACAGGCTCACACCACCATGCCCAGTTAACTTTATTTATGTATTTATTTTTTGTAGAGACAGGGTTTTGCCATGTTGCCCAGGCTGGTCTCAAACTCCTGGGCTCAAGAGATTCACCCGCCTCAGCTTCCCAAAGTGTTGGGATTATAGGCGTGAACTAGCATGCCTGGCCATAAGTGTATATACTATTCTTTATTCCCTTTTGAATGCTGTGAGTAAAGTATTAATTAATTGCAGGCCTAGATCCTGGACAGACCTAGGCCACCTTCTCACAACACTGTTTGCTTGAAAATGTATCAAGTTTATTGTGGAAAAATGTACGTTGGGAACTGGTCACCTGCTTTGTTTACTGTGAAGCCCTTGGTCTGTGGGACTGTTCCTGCCCTGGGAATGCGCACAAGCCTGGAGCCTCCATCACAAGGAGAATATAAAAGACTCGTGGGAAACCAAGGCAGGGACTTCCCTCTTTCAGTATGAACCACATACACCTTCATCTTTTTTTTTTTTTTTTGAGACAGAGTCTTGCTCTGTCCCCCAGGCTGGAGTGCAATGGTGTAGTCTCGGCTTACTGCAACCTCCGCCTCCCAGGTTCAAGTGACTCCTGCTTCAGCCTCTCGAGTAGCTGGGACTATAGGCACATGCCACTGCACCTGGCTAATTTTTATTAGAGAACCGGGTTTCATCATGTTGGCCAGGCTGGTCTTGAACTCCTGACCTCGTGATCCGCCCGCCTTGGTTTATGTAGGTTTATGCAGGCAATCTTGGAAACAATGGCAACAAGACTGAATTGGAACAGACTTTTGGCTACTGTGGACCACTCTGAAGTGTGTGGGTTGCTAGAAACCCTCCTGGCTTTGCTTTTGTTGAATTTGAAGATCCCCGAGATGCAGCAGGTGTGGTCTGAGAACTAGATGGAAGAACACTATGTGGCCCCTGTGTAGGAGAGGAACTGTCAAACGGTGAAAAAAGAAGTAGAAATCATGGCCCACCTCCCTCTTGGGGTCATCGTCCTTGAGATGATTATTGTAGGAGGGGTCTTCCACCTCGTCGCAGACCTCCAAGAAGGAGAAACTTGTCTTGTAGCCGGAGCAGGTCCCTTTCTGGAGTTAGGAGAAGAGAGAGATCGCTGTCTCGGGAGAGAAATCACAAGCCACCTGATCCTTCTCTAGGTTTCGTAGCCCATCTAGGTCAAATGAAAAAAAAAAAAAAAAGCTGACTCCATCTGCTACTATAAGGATTATTCACAATCGAATGGAATTTTACCATGGAATGCAAAGATGTTTCAACAGAAGAAAATCAATCAATGTAGTACATCACATTATTTGAACAAAAGAAAAAAATCACATTATCATCTCAATTGACATGGAAAAAGCATTTGAGGAAATAACACCCTTTCATAATAAATACTCTCAGCAAATTAGGAACAGAGGGAAAATTTCTCAACATGATAGAGTGTGTTTCTGGAAAACTTACAGCTAACATTATATTCAATGGTAAAAGACTGAATGAGTTCCCCTTAAGACAAGGGACAAGAAAAAGATTCCCACTGCTATTTGACACTGAATTGAAAGTTCTAGCCAGACAAGAAAAGTCGTGGTGGCTCGCACCTGTAATCCCAGCACTTTGTGAGGCCAAGGTGGTTGGATCCTTTGAACTCAGGAGTTTGAGACCAGCCTGAGCAACATAGTGACACCTTGTCTCTACAAAAAATACACGAAAAAACAAAAAATCAAAAACAAAACTGAGCACGGTGGCATGAACCTGTAGTTCCAGTTACCCAGGAGGCTGAGGTGGGAGGATTGCTTGAACCCGAGAAACCGAGGTTGCAGTGAGCCAAGATTGCACCACTGTACTCCAGCCTAGACAACAGAGCCAGATCCTGATAAAAAAAAAAAAAAAATGTCGGCCGGGCGCAGTGTCTCATGCCTGTAATCCCAGCATTTTGGGAGGCCGACGTGGGCCGCGGGCGGATCACCTGAGGTCAGGAGTTCAAGACCAGCCTGGCCAATATGGCGAAAACCCGTCTCTACAAAAAATGCAAAAATTAGTCTGGCATGATGTCGGGTGCCTGTAATCCCAGCTACTTGGGAGGCTGAGGCGGGAGAATTGCTTGAATCTGGGAGGTGGAGGTTCCAGTAAGCTGAGATCATGCCATTGCACTCCAGCCAGGGTGACAGAGAAAGACTCCACCTCAAAAAAAAAAAAAAATCCAAATATAAAGGAATAGGTGAAACTATTTCTATTTATAGATGATATAATCCTTTGTATACAAAACCCCAGAGAATCCACAAGAAAGCTCAGAGCTAATAAATGAATTCAGCAAAGTTGCAGTGTACAAAATCAACACACAAAAACAAATTTTCTATACACCAGAAGGAAATTAAGAAATTCCATTTACAATAGCATCTAAAAAATTAAATACTTAGAAATAAATCTAACTGAAGAGGTGAAAGATTAATACACTGACAACTATAAAAGATAAAAACTACAAAAAAATTAAAAAGATCAAAGTAATTGAAAATACATTCTGTGTTTGTGGATAGGAAGACTTACCACTGTTAAGATGTCAATACTACTGAAAGTGATCAGCAAATTCAATAAAATCTCTTCTAAAATTCTACAGTCTTTTTTTTTTCCCACAAATGGGGAAGCAGATCCTCAAATTTACATAAAATTGAAAGTGACCCTGAATTGCCAAAAGAATCTTTATAAGGAAGAATAGAGTTGGAAGACTCACACTTTCTGATTTCAAAACTTACTACAAAGCTACAGTAATTAAAACAGAATAGCATTGGCATAAGGACAGACATATCCAATGAACTAGAATAGAGACTCAGAAAAAGGTCTCATGTATATGGTCAATGGATTCTTTCTTTCTTTTTTATTTTTAATTGTCACATAATGATTGCACATGTTTATGGGGTACAGTGTGATATTTTGATACATGTATACAAAGTTTGATGCTCAAATCAGGGTAATTATCATATCCATCACCTCAAACATTTATAATTTCTTTGTGGTAGGAACATTAAAAATCTTCTGTTCTAGCTATTAAAAATATACAATAAATTATTGTTAACTATAGTCACACTACAATGTTATAGAGCATTAGAACGTTTTCCTTCTATCCAGCTATAATTTTTTGTCCATTAACTAACCTCCCACTATTCTTCCCACCTCCCTGCCTTTCCTAGCCCTTAATAACCACTATTCTACTCTTTACTTCTATGAGCTCAACTTTTTAATCTTCCACATATAAGTGAGAACATGTGGTATTTATCTTTCTGTGCCTGGCTTATTTCAGTTAACATAAAATCCTCTAGGTTCATTCACGTTGTTGTAAATGAGAGAATTTTATTTTTTATGGCTGAATAGTATTCTACTGTGGTTATAGACCACATTTTATTTATCCATTAATTTGTTGGTGAGCACTTAGGTTGATATCATATCTTGGCCATTATGCATAGTGTGGCAATAAACACAGTAATGCAGATCTCTCTCTCTCTCTCTCTTTTTCTTTTTTAGTAGCCATGTGTTAGCCATTTTAATAGAAAATGTGATCAAAACTTGATTACAAGAGTTCAAAAAGAGAAAAACCAGTGAGTTTCAATTTTATTACAAGTTTTTAAATCTGGGACTAGTTAAAAAAAATTTTTTTTTAACTTAAATGCTAACTTCAGCCCAGGGTTTTTTCACAATCAAACTAAAAATTACTTACTACATGAGAAAATCAATGCAACAAACAAGTAAATTTTGTAAACTCAAGCCACAAACTTATAGTTAATAATCACAGTAAGAGACATTGCCAAAGAGCAACTGATGCCTCAGTGAAGTTTGAAACTCTGCCTTCAGTGAAGGCAGAGAAGAAATATGCAAGCAATTCCGCTTCAGAGAAATTTGCACAGAAATGGAAAATACTAGAACCTTTAACACAAGTGAAATTGCAAAGCCTCAACATGTTCAACTCAGTCCACAGAGCACCAAATGTTAAATTGGAGCCAAGGTAGGATTAAACATTGAATTTCCAGCTATGCAACTAGCAGAGCACAATTTCACGTGTGGAAACCATCTGCAGGCAAGTTCTTTTAAAAACATGAATTTCATACACCGTAAATTCTAAAACACACACTTCTGCATTATTGTTCGAATTTCGGAAGGGCACCACAAAGCATCAGGGTCTTTCAAAGTCACGGCAACAATTGTATCTTTTTTCCCAGCCTCGGTAGCCCCCTTCTGTGGTTCTCTAGCCTCTGCACGCACTGCAGCACATCACTGTTTGTAGAATAACTTCTGACATTAAATCCAGTCGTGGCCCAAGTTGCATGAGGCAGCTATTTCCCAGGCACCTTCCATTTCTTTGGCATGGGAGGCTTCTCAGCCACTTCTTCAGGCCCCACTCAGGACGCCACATCTGGAAGCACTATTCCTCCAGCTCCCTCTGCTGGAGACCAAAGTGACAGATTGTTGCAAAGACTTGTAGAAACACATTACTTACACATTAATTTTTGTACACATTTAGTTAATTTAGAACCTGGGACTTTTACAATCGATTCCCCAAACCCCTTTATGGAGAGTGACGGACTACGCAGCAACGCCGAAGCAGCACAGTTTCTCTCTCTAGGAGGAAGAGGATTAGTAGACGTGATTGTGCCTCGAGAGAAATTTGTACTAAAAAAAATCAAAGTAAGACGAATGGCCCAGAAACCCGCGTTTTATTGACACTGTCATTTTCCCAGAGAATCTTAGAAAGATGTCACGTTTTGTTTTAATGAATGAGAGGAGCCCACTTGTATCCCTGAATCATTCTTTGGGAAAAGCAATAGAAATGATTGACAGTTAAATTTTTAAAAATAAAATGGTCACTCCCTTCAGCCCACACCTCCACACCCTCAAGTGCCTGCCCAATGGCTGTCAGTTCCGTCAAGTCACCTTCTCCTACTCTAGTACTACCACAAGAATTGACATTTTCAAGCTGAAAAAAAAAAAGAAGTCATGTTACAAATAAGTGAGTGGAGGCCCAAAGGAAGCCCTTTGACTATGATTTCCAATTTTCTCTTCAATCAATACTGCAGAGATACAAGGATAAACCACCATTTTGGTTCCCAAGTTTTATTCAAGAACTCATACAAAATATTCCAGACAAACGAAATTTAATCCTCGTCTTCCTCCTCTTCTTCGTCCTGGTTAATTTGGAAGGAACGTAATTTGTAACTCTCTTTGCTGTTAGCAACTATGCACAACCAATCACGAAGATTATTCTTCTTCAAATATTTTTTGGTGAGATATTTCAAATACCTTTTGGAAAAATGCACCTTGGATGTCACGGTGATCTTGCTCTTGCTCCTTTTGACGGTCACCACCCCTTCGCCAAGGTTCCCAGCTTTTCCGTTCACTTTGATCCTTTCTTGCAAAAACTGCTCAAAATTGGCAGCATCCACGATTCCATCTTCTATGGGGTGGGTGCAACCAAGAGTGAACTTCAGAACCTGCTTTTTTTTTTGCCCGCCTTCTCCACAAGCTTTCTCGCGGGCACCATGGCAGTAGTGGAGGCAGAAAGCCAGATATCTCTTTAACGTACTGATTTTCTTTTCTTTGGATGTATATCCAGTGATGGGATTGCTGGATCATATGGTAGTTTAATTTTTAGTTTTTTGAGGAACCTCCATACTGTTTTCCACAGTCGCTGTACTAATTTACATATCCACCAACAGTGTAAAAGAATTCCCTTTAATCTGCATCCTCTCCAGTATTTGTTATTTTTTTGTGTTTTTGGTAATAGCTATCTTAACTGGGGTGAAATGAAGTCTCATTGCAGTTTAGATTTGCATTTCCCTGATGGTTAGTGATATTAAGCATTTTTTCTTATACTTGTTGGCCATTTGTAGATCTTTTGAGAAATGTCTACTTAGATCATTTGCCCATTTAAAAACATTGGGTTATTTGTTGTTGTGTTTTATTTGCTGTTATTTGAGTTCTTTGTTTATTCTGGATATTAATCCCTTGTCAAATGAGTAGTTTGTAAACAGTTTCTCCCATTCTGCAAGTTGACTCTTTACTCTGTTGATTGTTTCCTTTGCTGTGCAGAGGTTTTTTAGTTTGATATAATCCCATTTGTCTATTTTTGTTTTGTTGCCTGTGTTTTTGTGGTCTCATCTGTAAAATCTTTGCCCAGCTCAATGACCTAAGCATTTTCCTTATGTTTTCTTCCAGTAGTTTTGTAGTTTTGCATTTAAGTTTGTAATCCATTTTGAGTTTATTTTTGTATATGGTGAGAGATAGGGGTCTAGTTTTATTCTTCTGCATATGGATATCCAGTTTTCTCAGTACCATTTATTTATTGTTTTTTTATTTATTTTGAGATGGAGTTTCGCTCTTGTTGCCCAGGCTGGAGTGCAATGGCGCGATCTCAGCTCACCGCAACCTCTGCCTCCCAGGTTCAAGTGATTCTCCTGCCTCAGCCTCCCGAGTAGCTGGGATTACAGGCATGTGCCACCATGCTAATTTTTGTATTTTTAGTAGAGACAGGGTTTCTCCCTGTTGGTCAGGCTGGTCTCGAACTCCCAACCTCAGGTGATCTGCCCACCTCAGCCTCCGAAAGTGCTGGGATTACAGGTGTGAGTCACTGCGCCCAGCCTATTCATTGTATTTCTGTGGTATCACTTGTAATGTTGTCTCCTTTTTCACTTCTGATTTTATTTATTTGGGTTTTCTGTCTCTTTTTGTTTGTTGATAGTTTCCTTTGCTGGGTAGAAGCTTTTTAACTTGATGTGATCACATTTGTCCATTTTTGCTCTGGTTGTCTGTGCTTATGGCATATTACTCAAGAAATTTTTGAGTAATGTCATGTCCAATGCCCTGGAGAGTTTGCCCAGTGTTTTCTTGTAGCAGTTTCATAGTTTAAGGTCTTAAATTTAAGTCTTTAATCTATTTTGGTTTAATTTTTGTTTAAGGTGAGAGATAGGAATCAAGTTTCATTCTTTTGCATATAGATATCCAGCTTTTCCAGCACCATTTATTGAAGAAACTGTTTTCTCCCCAATGCGTGTTCTTGGCACTTCTGTCGAAAATGAGTTCACTGTAGGCATGTAGATTTGTTTCTGGGTTTTCTGTTCTGTTCCATTGGTCTATGTACATGGTTTTATCCAGTACTATGCTGTTTTGGTTACTATAGCTCTGTACAGGTAATGTAATTCCTCCAGTTTTGTTCTTTTTGCTTAGGATAGCTTTGGTAATTCTGGGTCTTTTGTGATTTCATATGAATTTTATGATTGTTTTTTCTATTTATGTGAAGAATGTCTTTGGTATTTTGATAGGGATTGCATTGAACCTGTAGATTGCTTTGGGTAGTATGGACATTTTAACAATATTAATTCTTCTAATCCATAAATGTGGAATATCTTTCCATTTTTTGTGTGTCCTCTTCAATTTCTTGCATGAGTTTTCATTGTAGAGATCACTTCTTTGGTTAATTCCTAGGCATTTAATTTTATGTGTGGCTATTGCGAATGGGATTACTTTTTTAATTTCTTTTTTCAAATTATTTACTGCTGCCATATAGAAATGCTACTGATTTTTGTTTTTTGATCTCATATCCTACAAATTTACTGGATTTGTTTGTCAGTTCTATTAGATTTTTGGTGGAGTCTTAAGGTTTTTCCAAATATGAGATCATATCACCTGCAAACAAGGATAATTTTACGTCTTCCTTTCCAATTTTGATGTCCTTTATCTTTTTGTCTTGATTGCTCTAGCTAAGACTTCCAATACTATGTTAAATAACAGTGGTAAAACTGGGCATCCTTGTCATCTTCCAGATTTAAGATAAAAGGCTTTTAGTTTTTCCTTATACAGTACAATACTAGCTGTGAGTCTGTCATATATGGCTTTTATTACCTTGAGGTATGTTTCTTCTATACCCAGTTTTTTTTTTTTGTTATAAAATGTAATTTTATTTTATGTTACTCTGTTACTCTGCTGTTACATGGGGCATAACATTTTCTTTTCTTTTCTTTTTTATTTTGAGATGGAGTCTCACTCTGTCGCCAGGCTGGAGTGCAGTGGCATGATCTCGGCTCACTGCAATCTCTGCCTTCTGAGTTCAAGCGATTCTCCTGCCTCAGCCTCCCAAGTAGCTCCGGGACTACAGGCGCAGGCCACCATGCCCAGCTAATTTCTGTATTTTTAGTAGAGACAGGGTTTCACCATGTTGGCCAGGATGGTCTCAATCTCTTGACCTCATGATCCGCCTGCCTCGGCCTCCCAAAGTGCTGTGATTACAGGCGTGAGCCACTGCGCCCGGCCAAGAAGACACAACAGTCTTTAATGTGTATTTGAGTAACAACAAAGCATCAAAATATAACTGCAAGTGGAAGTAGATGAATCAATTATAACATGTGGAGGCTTCAACACCCCTCTCAGAAATGAACAGATTCAGCAGGCATAAAATCATAGGGATATAGTTAAACTTAACAGAACCATCAATTACATGAATCTAATTGACATCTAGAGACTACTTCATCCAAGAGCAGGTTACATATTCTCCAGCTCACATGAAATATTCCCCAAGGTAGACCACATTCTGGGCCATAAAACACACTTCCACAAGTATAAAAGAATAGAAAAAGTAGAAATCATACAAAGCATGTAACATTTTCATTAAAGATATTAGTAAAATTGATAAACCTTTAGTCAGGCTAATCAAGAAAAAAGAATAAAGACACAAATTACTAATATTAGAATAAAAGAAGAGTGATCAATATTGACCCCAGGGATGTTTAAATGAAATTTAAAGAGTAATAAAGGAATATTTTAAACAACTCTATGCCTATAAATTGGATAACCTAGGTAAAATGGACTAATTTATTGAAAGAATCATGCAAGGATGATCTGAGAAGGTCTACATCTGTTTTAAAAATTGAATCCCTAATTAATAACCTTCCAGAACAGAAAGTACCAGGTGCAGTTGGTGTCACTGTTAAATTCTATCAAATATTTAAGAAAAAATTGTACCAATTCTCCATAGTCTCGTCCAGAAAATAGAAGCAGGAAACACTTCCTAACTCATTCTATGAGGCCAACATTACCGTAATACCAAAAACAGATAAAGGCATTACATGAAAAGATAACAACAAACTAATATCTTTCATGAATATAGAAGTAAAAATCCTCAACAAAATGGTAGTAACTCAAGCCTAACAAAGTTAAAAGAAGAAATATACACCATGACCAAGTGGGACTTATTCCAGATATGCAAGCCTGTGTTAACATTTGGAAATCAGTTAATCTAACCAATTATGTCAACAGAATAACAATAAAAGTCATGATTATATGAATAGATGCAGAAAAGATACTTGACAAAATTCAGTACCCATTTATGATAGTTGTCAGCAAATCAGGATTAGGGGAGAACATGGTCAACTTGGTAAAAAGCATCTATAAAAACCCTAAAGATGGTCGGGCTCGGTGCCCCACGCCTGTAATCCCAGCATTTCAGGAGGCCGAGGCCGGCAGATCACTTGAGGTCAGGAGCTCAAGACCAGCCTGGCCAACGTGGCAAAACCCCATCTCTACTAAAACTACAAAAAATTAGCTAGGAGTAGTGGTGGGCACCTGTAATCCCAACTACTTGGGAGGCTGAGGCTGGAGAGTCACTTGAACCCAGGAGGCAGAGGTTGCAGTGAGCTGAGATCACGCCACTGCACTCCAGCCTGGGCGACAGAGAAAACTCTGTCTCAAAAAACTAAAAAATAAAAAACTCTAAAGCTATCATCATACTTGATGAGAGACTAGACGCTTTCACCCTAAGATTAGAACAAAGGAAATGTATCCCCTCTCCCCACTACTATTCAGCATTGTATTGGAAGTTTTAGCTAGAAGAATAAGATAAGAAGAGGAAGTAAAGGTGTATTGATTAACAAAAGCAAAACACTTGTCTCTTTACAGATGACATGATTGTCTATGTAGAAAATCCCAGAGTCTTGACAAAAGTACTTCTGGAACTGTTAAGTGATTACAGTAAGGATGCAGATTACAAGGTTATATACAAAAGTCAATTGCTTTCTATATACCACCAATGAACAATTGGAATTTAAAATTTAAAACACAATTCCACAAAAAGGAAGTACTTAAAAATCTTAAAAAATATACAAGATATAGGCCAGGGGAGGTGGCTCACACCTGTAATCCCAGCACTTTGGGAGGCCGGGATGGGCGGATCACCTGAGGTCAGGAATTTGAGACCAGCCTGGCCAACATGGTGAAATCCCGTCTCTACGAAAAATAGAAAATTAGCCGGGCATGGTGGCAGGTGCCTGTAATCCCAGCTATTTGCGAGGCTGAGGCACAAGAATTGCTTGTACCTGGGAGGCGGAGGTTGCAGTGAGCCGAGACCGTGCCATTGCACTCCAGCCTGGGTGACAAGAGGGAAACTCCTTCTCAAAAAAACAAAAACAAAAACAAACAAACAAACAAACAAACAAACTATATATGTATGAATGATATATATGGGGAAGACTACAAAACTCTGATAAAAAAATAAAGATTTGAATAAATAGAGAAGTATTCCATGTTCATGAATAGGAAGATCCAATATTGTTAGGATGTCAGTTATTCCCAACTTAATCTGTAGATCCAATACAATCCTAATAAAAATCTCAGCAAGTTGTTTTGTGGAATTAACAAATTGATTCTAAAGTTTATATAAAGAGGCAAAAGACCCAGAATAGTCAACATGGTATTAAAGGAGAATGAAGTCAGAGTACTGACACCATCTGATTTCAAGACTTACTCACTTATCTCACTTATAAGTGAGAACATAACGCTAGAACAATCAGGACAATGTGGTATTAGCAGAAGATTAAATGAACAGTCAATGGAATAGAATTGAAAGCCCAAAAATAGATGCCAACAGGTATAGTCAACTGATATTTGCAAAGGAGCAAAGACAATTTAATACAAAAATAAATGATGCTGAAATGATTGGACATCTACATTAAAAAAAATCTAGCCAGGCATGGTGGCTCACACCTGTAATCCCAATGCTTTGGGAGGCGGAGATGGGAGAATCACTTGAGCTCAGGAGGTCAAGAGCAGCCTGTGCAACATAGAGAGACCCCCTGTCTACAAAAAATTTAAAAATTAGCTGAGTGTGGTGGCTAGTGCCTGTAGTCTCAGCTACTTGGGAAGCTGAGGTGGGAGGATGGCTTGAACCTGGGAGGCCGATGCTGCAGTAAGCCACGATGGCATCACTGCACTACAGCCTGGGTGGCAGAGCAAGACCCCATCTCAAAAAATAATAAAAATCTAGACATAGACCTTACACCTTTCACAAAAATTAACTCAAAATGTATCAATGACTTCAATGTAAAATGCAAAATGATAAAACTTTAAAAATATAACATAGAAGAAAATCTAGGTAATCATGGGTTTGGCTGACTTTTTAGGTATGAAACCAAAAGCAATATCCATAAAAGAAAAATCGACAGTTGGACTTTGCTAAAAATAACAATTGCTGTTCTGTGAAAGATACTATTAAGAGAATGAGAAGACAAGCCACAGGTTGAAAGAAAATATTTGCAAAGATATATCTGATAAAGGACTGTTATCCAAAATATACAAAGAACTCTTTTTTTCTATTTTTCTTTTTGCAACTTTTAGTTTTGATTCAGTGGATATTTGTGCAGATTTGCTACCTGGGTATATTGTGTGATGCTGATGTTTGGGGTATGAACGATCCTGTCACTCAGGTGTCAAGCATAGTACCCAATAGTTAGTTTTTCAACCCTTGCCACCTCCCATCCTCCTCATTTACTAGTCCCCAGTGTCTATTGCCATCTTTACGTCCATGAGTACCCAGTGTTTAGCTCCCACTTACAAGTGAGAACATGTGGCAGTAGATTTTCTGTTCCTGGGTTTATTCACTTAGGATGATGGACTGCAGCTGCATCCATGCTGTTACAGAGCATAGGATTTTGTTCCTTTTTATGGCTGCATAGTATTCCATGGTATATCTGTACCATGTATTCTTTATCAAATCCACCATTGATGGGCACCTAAGTTGATTCTATGTCTTTGCTTTTGTGAATAGTGCTGTGATGAACATGTGAGTGCAAGTGTCTTTTTGGTAGAACAATTTTTCTTTTGGATATATATCCAATAATGGGATTTCTGGGTTGAATGGTAGTTCTAAGTTCTTTGAGAAATCTCCAAACTGCTTTCCACAGTGGCTGAGCTAATTTACATTCCCAACAATACTGTATAAGCATTCTCTTTTCTCTGCAGTCTTGTCAGCATCTGTTGTTTTTTGACTTTGTAATAATAGCCATTCTTACTAGCGTGAGATGTTTTCTCATTGTGGTTTTGATTTGCATTTCTTTGATGAATTAGTGATGTTGAGCATCTTTTCATATATTTCTTAGGCACTTATATGTTTTCTTTTGAGAAATTTTTTTTTTTTTTGCTTGTTGATTTGTTTACATTCCTTATAGATTCTGGATGTAGACCTTTGTCAGACGTGTAGTTTGCGAATAGTTTCTCCCATTCTGTGGCTGTTTACTCCAAATTATACAAAGAATTCTTAATAGCCAATAATAATAAAATAAATGATCTAATTAACAAGTAAGAGATCTGAATAGATATCTCACCAAAGTAGATATACAAATGGCAAATAATTAATTGTATGAAAAGATGCTCAACATCATATGTCACCAGGGAACTGGAAATTAAAACAACAATTACATATCACTAAACACCGATTAGAATGGCTAAAATCCAGAACACTGATAACATCGAATGCTGGTGAGAATGTGGAGCAACAGGAATTCTCACTCATTGCTGGTGGAAAAGCAAAGCAGCACCATTACTTTGGAAGACTTTGGCTGTTTCTTACAAAACTAAACATACTCTTACTATACAATCTACTAATCAAGCTCTTTGATATTTATCCAAAGAAGTTGTAAATTTATGTCCCCACCAAAAATGCACATGAGTGCGTATAGCAGCTTTATTCACAATTGTCTCAAACTGGAAGCAGTAGGTGAATGGATAAACAATCTGTGGTATATCTATATCATGGAATATTATTCAGCAATAAAAGGATGTGAACTATATATATTTTTTCCGTTTTGTTTGTTTGTTTTTGTTTTTGTTTTTTGAGACAAGGTCTGGTTCTATTGCCCGGGCTGGAGTGTGGTGGTGTGATCTTGGCTCACTGCAATCTTTGCCTCCCAGGCTGAAGTTTTTCTCCCACCTCAGCCTCCCAAGTACCTGGTACTACAGGCATGTACTATTATGCCCAGTTAATTTTTTAAAATTTTTTATAGAGGTAGGATTTTGCCATGTTGCCCAGGCTGGTCTTAAACTTGTGAGCTCAAGTGATCTGCTCACCTCAGCCTCCCAAAGTGCTGAGGTTACAAGCATGAGCCACCACGCTGTCCAGGACATGAACTGTTAAGCCATGCAAAATCATGGAGAAACTTTAAATGTATGTTGCAAGGTGAAGGAAGCCTGTCAGAAAAGGCTACACACTGTAAGATTCCAACCATTTGGCATTCTGGAAAAGGCAAAACTATAGAGACAGTAAAATGATCAGTAGTTGGTGGGGGATGGGAGCCAGGAATAAATAGGTGGAGCACAGCAGATTTTTAGGGCAGTAAAACTATTTTTTATGATTCTGTGATGATGGACATATGCCATTGTGCATTTGTCAGAAGCCCTAGAAGTACAAAACATAAAGGCATAGCCCGGCGGGGGATGGTGGCTCACGCCTTTAATCCCAGCACTTTGGGAGGCTGAGGCGGGTGGATCACCTGAGGTCAGGAGTTCAAGACCAGCCTGGGCAACATGGTGAATCCCCATCTCTGCAAAAATACAAAAATTAGCCAGGCATGGTGGTGTGTGCCTGTAATCCCAGCTACTCGGGAAGCTGAGGCGGGAGAATCGCTTGAATCCGGGAGGCAAAGGTTGCAGTCAGCCTAGATTGCACCATTGCACTCAAGCATGGGCAATAGAGTAAGATTCCATCTAAAAAAAAAAAAAAGGTAGTCCTAATTAAAATTAAGGATTCAGTGAATAATAATGCATCATTATTGGTTAATCAGTTGTAGCAAATGTACTACAGTGAAGTTAATGATAGAGGAAACTGGAAGAGGGGAGATGAGGAGAAAGTGGGGGAGGAAGTAAAGGAGACACTGTATTTTCTGCTTGGTTTTTCTGTAAAACCAAGCTCTAAACATAGTGTATTAGTTTTTAAAAAGGTAATGAAATGCTTGAAAAAAAGGTAAAGATATTGAGAAAAAGTTCTGGCTTCAATAGTTGAGTAATGAGCACAGCACATTTGATTGACAATTCTGAAATCTACATTAAACATACCAGCTAATTAGTTTCTATTACATTCCAATAAATGTATAAAGAATTAGAACAAATGAACTAATTTTCCAAAACTCTCCTGTAAACATGTAGAAAGATCTAAAGAGATACTAAATCAAACCACTGTTATAGGTGGTGACACTGTATTTGGAAAATGTTTATAAATGTGCCAATCCAAAATTATAAAAAAGTCATTTCGACTTCTAGGAATGGCAAGGTATTTGTGAAATCTCGCATAGACTTAAGTGATGTTTCCACAAATATTCTTCATTTTTTTTTTTTGTTATACACAACAGATGATGCTATGGTTTAGATGTTGGCCCCTGAACCTCATGTTAAAATTTAATACCCAGTGTTGGAGGTGGGGCCTAATGGGAGGTGTTTGGATCATGGGGTTGGCTCCCTCATGAGTAGGTTAATGCCCTCCCTGGCGGGGGATTTATGAGTGAATTCTTGCTCTGTTAGTTCCCATGAGAGCTGGTTGTTAAAGGAGCCTGGTACCTCCTCCTCTCTCTCTTGCTTCCTCTCTCGCCATGCGATTTCTGCATGCCAACTCCCCTTTGTCTTTCTCCATGAGTGGAGGCAGCCAGAGGCCCTCACCACATGCCCAATCTTTCAGCCAACAGAATTGTGAGCCAAATAAATCATTTTTCTTTATAAACTATCTAGTCTCAGGTATTCTTTTATGGCAACCCAGATGGGCTGAGACAGATGATATCCATTCTTAGTAACATAGCGCAAATAATATATCTATATGCCTTTCTTATCCTTGATTTCTTTATATATGAAACATGATTCATATAGCACCATGATCTTCCCAATATTACTGAACATTTATTAAGAAAATATTCATTATCTTATCAGCATATGAGGTAATAAAAAATACCAGCTTTAGTAGTTAAGTGAATCTAATAGGTACAAAAATGAATATTTTATTACACTGAGCAAGATCCCCAGATTTAGAAAACAGACATTTATGACTATAAAATAATTATGACTAGACATAATCTAAATTCGTTTTGAGGTATAAAATTAGTTTTCCTTTCAAAATGATTCAAATCAACGACTCTAAAAAATGTTTTTTTAAATATGCCTGATGTTCAAGGACGACTTTGCCCTATAAGATCATTAACAGGCTTAACGCCTGTAATCCCAGCACTTTGCGGGGCCGAGGTGGGCAGATCTCCTGAGGTCAGGAGTTCGAGCCTGGCCAGCCTGGTGAAATCCCGTCTCTACTAAAAATATAAAATTAGCTGGGCGTGATGGTGGGTGCCTGTAATTCCAGTTACTCCGGAGGCTGAGGCAGGAGAACTGGGGTGGCGGAGGTTGCAGTGAGCCAAGATTGCGCCATTGCACTTGATTGAGCCTGGGCAAAAAGAGCAAAACCCTGTCTCAAAAAAAAAAAAATCATTAATAATACCTACACACTAAACTTTTGGTTCAGTTTGGTAGTAATTTGAATGTACTGTCTAAGGTAAACTAATTTTTGTTCCTGTCATTCTCAACCCAGTTGTTTAACATCAAGGTTAGAATGCCATGGTCTTGCATTTCCATCAAACTACTTCTTACAGGGTCCTAAATTTCCATTAAACTTAAGTTGAAGGAGATTGTCGGAAAAAAATATTAAGCTAAAGGAATTTTAAATTTTTTAACATTTATACCTTTTTTTTTTTTTTTTTTTTTTTTGAGGCGGAGTCTCGCTCTGTCGCCAGGCTGGAGTGCAATGGCGTGATCTTGGCTCACTGCAACCTCCACCTCTCGGGTTCAAGCAATTCTCCTGCCTCAGCCTCCTGAGTAGCTGGGACTACAGGCACACATCATCACACCCAGCTAATTTTTCTATTTTTAACAGAGACGGGGTTTCACCACATTGGCCAGGTGATCCACCCACCTCAGCCTCCCGAAGCGTTGGGATTACAGGCGTGAGCCACCGCACCTGGCCTAACATTTATACCTCTTTAAGAGGATCTGTCTCACAAATTCTTATCCTCTAAGTCTAAGCCAAATAAACAACACTAACCAATATACTTTCAGTGGACTGATTACAAGTTACCTTTCCATGGAAAATAAAACATTTTGGTTTTTCATTTTCTAGGTGTAAAAATTGCTTAGCCCGCCTTACCTTTAAAAGAGTATTTATATTGTAACCCCCAGTACTATTGCATAACTCTTCAATTTTCTGTACAACAGAGAATGAGACACAATTAGAATTCTATATTCCCCATTTAAAAAACTGGCTTAGGCCGGGCGCAGTGGCTCACGCCTGTAATCCCAGCAGTTTGGGAGGCCGAGGCGGGCGGATTACCTGAGGTCAGGCGTTCAAAACCAGCCTGGCCAACATGGCAAAACCCCATCTCTACGAAAAACACAAAAATTAGCTGGGCGTGGTGGCATATGCCTCTAATCCCAGCTACTCGGGAGACTGAGGCAGGAGAATCGCTTGAACCCAGGAGGCGGAGGTTGCAGTGAGCCAAGATTGTGCCACTGCATTCTGGCCTGGGTGACAGAGAGAGACTCCATCTCAATAAATAAATAAATAAATAAATAAATAAATAAATAAAGACTAGCTTAAAATAAACATGTATAAAAAATGAATTTACCCTTAGTAATAGAAAGGAAACCATATACTGCCTGAAATATCCCTACAATTTAGCATTTGTGAAACCTTTAGCATTTTATTCATATGTCTATGAATTGCATTATGACTTCTCTTTACTACACAACTCAGATGATTTGTTCCAAAGAAGTATAGAAACCTAACTTTGGAATGAACACCCAGCTGAGTTTCTTTCAGTGGAGAGCAGAGAGAGGTATATTTGGTATGACCAGCGTTCAGAGCAACTGAATCGAACCTCCACGGTGGAAACACTGATACTCTTGCTAGCTGATGTGTGCGGCTTCATCGGAGGATGAGTGTGTCTTTAGTGTCAGCTGAAACAGGGAAGATCACTTTGTTAAAGTTATCAAGTATTTGCAAGAAATACTTTCCAGTGATGGTAAAAGCCATGTGTATTGTCCTGAAAAGTCTCTAAGATGCTTTAATATAAGGTAATAAACCCATAGACAAATAGAGGAGTAGAGGCATCCTTTAAGAACTGTTCTGAGGCGGGCGCAGTGGCTCACACCTGTAATCCCGGCACTTTGGGAGGCTGAGGTGGGTGGATCACCTGAGGTCAGGAGTTTGAGACCAGTCTGGCCTTGTCAGGCATGGTGAAACATGGCAAAACACTGTCTCTACTAAAAATACAAAAAATTAGTTGGGCATGGTGGCAGGCACCTATAATCCCAGCTACTTGAAAGGCTGAGGCAGGAGAATTGCTTGAAGCCAGAAGGCAGAGGTTACAGTGAGCTGAGATCATGCCACTGCACTCCAGCCTGGGTGACAGAGTGAGACTCCATCTAAAAAAAAAAAAAGAAAACAAAAAACACTTCTAATAGGTGCAAGATTAGAAAGTTTGAGAAATAATTACAATTATTATTTAATATGATACAATTGTTTTTAAGAAATTTAGCCTAATGAATGTTAGGGTTGGATGGAACTTGACTTGATTTTTAACTACTGACAAGGTCACATAATGTGGTATGTTTTATGGACAACACATATGCTTTGCTGAATATATATTTCTTCCCTTAACAATAAAACCTGTTTCATAGCATGTCACACCATTTGTTAGCTTATCTCCAGAAAAAACTGATGTCATACAAGAGTCCCTTTAAAACCTGTTTGGATAATAATGAGTATTACAGTCATTCAAAACTTAATTAAAATGACAAACTCAAATATATGAAAAGTTCTCAATGCCAGCTCACTTCTTTTCTGAGCCTCTAAAGCATTTTATAGATTTATGAATTTTGAATTTTCAGTATGATAGATGTTTGACTGTGTTTAAATCATATATAGCCAGAAATGTACAATTCTCTAAAGTACATCACAGGCTGGTGGTGTTGAAGATGTGCTAAGTTAACACTGTGACAACATGAAAGGCTGCTGTGAACTGAATTCTGGTCACAGCACAAGAGTAGTGCATACAAGCACAACCATAGGAGATTGTGTGGGTCAAGGATACTTTTGCTGAGTTCATAGAAAATAGAGGAAACATCTAGGTGTTCTGGGTTATGCTAATGGTTGAAAACAGCAGCAGGGAGCTTTGTAACCCCCAAGCTTAACATATCTGGGCCTGAGATTCCTCACAACTGAATGAGGTTGAACTAAATGGTTGATTCTCACCTAGCTACCCTGCCCTTCTCTCTTGTCCACATGAGGCTATTGTAAAAATTTGATAAGATCAAGGACTTCGCATGGTAGCTGGCATCTACTTAGTGCTGAACAGGTAAAAAGAATCACTACTATAATAATAATAATAATAATAATAATAATAATTTTTTTTTTTCGAGTCAGAGTCTTGTTCTGTCACCCAGGCTGGAGTGCACTGGCGTGATCTCGTCTCACTGCAACCTCCACCTCCCGAATTCAAGTGATTCTTCTGCCTCAGCCTACTGAGTAGCTGGGATTACAGGCGTGCACCACTATGCCCTACTAATTTTGGTACTTTTAGTAGAGACGGGGTTTCACCATGTTAGCCAGGCTTGTCTCGAACTCCTGACCTCGTGATCTGCCCTCCTCGGCCTCCCAAAGTGCTGGGATTATTGGAGTGAGCCACTGCACCCGGCCCCACTACTATAATTATTAACCCTATTTATAAAACCAAATTAATCTACCTTAGGTGTCAGTCAGGTCCCTACATTGGGATTGTTTAGGAACAGGCTGGATGATCCTTTGTTGACAAGGATTTAGTAACTGGTTAAAACTAGGACTAGGATCCAGGGAACAGGGCAGAGGAGTCTAGATACCTCTGTTAGTTCTATTTATGTGAAACAAATGACTGGAAACCTCAAATTACCAATTGATTTATGTTGAGTGTTAGGAATGTCTCTCAGACTTCCTTCATTTCTGACCCATAGACTCTCTTCAAAAGGACTCTTCTAATTAGACAAAATATACCTCTTGATTATATCACAGTCAGAATACTATAGACCTTAAATATATCTGCAACCACCCCCCACCCCTGCCACCTCCAGCATTGCCATGTAAGGTTATCTAATTAGGGAAAAGACATCCCAATATATTCAGAAGTCCAGGCCCCCCTCAATGGGAGGAGATTGTACAGGAGTGGACTCCAGGGGACAGAATCTGGGGGGCTGTCTTAGAATTGTGTCTACTAAAATAGCCTTTCAGTCCCCTTCCAACTTAGAAAGTTGGAGGTTCTAATTTACAAGGAGGAGCAGCTCAAGGTTTATCAGAAAGAACTGGGAGAGATGAGAGTGAAACAACAGGAACTGAGCTCCCGCTGTTCAGCAGAGAGAGTGCTCTGTATGCTTCAGCTGATCTGATTCTCACAAGAATTGGTAGCACCCTCATGAGGAGGCGTGAGCTTCCCAGGACAACACACCCACATCTTCATTGCATTTCCTCTCCTCTGTGGCTGTGATGCTCTCGATACTAAACCTCACCGCCTCATTTGCCCCATCAGTGCCTTGCCTGTGCAGCCCTCTTCCTTCTTTCTGCTCCTACTGCCCTTCATCCCCCGCCACCAGTCCATCCTTGCCCCAGTACGGCTGGGGACACTCACCCGCATACTGCATGCTCCTGCGGCGTCTCCTTCTGCCTGTTTCCTCCCTCCTAGCCTCCTCTCCCTGCCCTCTCCTGCTTGTCAAGGTGAGGAATAACCATGGCAGTGTAGGTGGGAAAGTATGAACAGGTTTGACATTTTAAAGGAGGAATTATATTAACATCAGACTTCATTCATAAATTATGCATTATTTATCCATGTTCATATAAATATTTGCCATGTGTATGAACACATAATACTAATATAATGGTTAAGATGCATAATTTTGTGTCTCTCAGTTCATTTTCAGTCATTTTCTGATGGATCCAAATTTCTACTAATAAAATTATGTTTAGAGCTGCATAAAAAGCTAGAAACTGACCAACATATGGTATTTTTCAGCAACTTTGGCTGCATATGTATTGAAAAGTATCAATCTATTGAAAAGTATTTAATCTGTAACCTCATCACTTATTACTTGTCACAAAATTTTGCATTCAATAACCCAAATAATATCACAATTCCTATTTTTATCTTACTTTTAAAAATTGAGTCACATGGCAAAATTCTGAGTTCTTAAATGAATTGTGGGCTAAAGGGTTCTTTTTAGAAATTTTTTAATTTTATTTTTGTGGGCATGTAGTAGGTACATATTCATGGAGTATGTGAGATGTTTTGATTCAGGCATGCCCTGCATAATAATCACATCAGGGTAAATGGGGTATCCATCCCCTCAAGCATTTATACTTTTTTTGCATTACAAACAACCCAATTATACTTTTTTAGTTATTCTAAAATGTACAATACATCACTGTTGACTATAGTCACTCTGTTATGCTATCAAATACTAGATATTATTCATTCTATCTAACTATATTTTTGTACCCATTAATCACCCCTATTTCCCCTCACCCTCCACTTCCCTTTCCAGCCTCTGGTCACCATCCTTCTGCTCTCTGTCTCCATGAATTCAGTTGTTTTGATTTTTAGCTCCCACAAATAAGTGAGAATATGGGAAATTTGTTTTTCTGTGCCTGGTTTATTTCACTTAACACTATGACCTCGAGTTCCATCCATGTTGTTGTAAATGACAGGATCCCATTCCTTTTTTACAGCTGAATAGTACTCCGTAGGGTATATGCACCACATTTTCTTGATGCATTTGTCTGTTGATGGATACTTGGGCTGCTTCCAAATCTTGGCTATTGTGAATACTGCTGCAATAAACATGGGAGTGCAGATATCCCTTCAATACACTGATTTTCTTTCTTTTAGGTATATACCTAGCAGTGGGGTTGCTGGATCATTTGGTAGTTCTATTTTTCATTTTCTGAGAAACCCCCCAAACTGTTCTCCATAGTGGTTGAACTAATTTACATTCCCACCAACAGTGAACATGGATTCTCTTTTCTCCATATTGTTGCCAGTATTTGTTATTGGTTGTCTTTTGCATAAAAGCCATTCCAACTAAGGTGGGATGATATCTCATTGTAGTTTTGATTTGCATTTCTCTGCTGACTGATGATGTTGAGCACCTTTTTATATGCCTGTTTGCCATTTATATGTCTTCTTTGGAGAAATGTCTACTCAGAATTTTTGTCCATTTTTTAATCACATTATTCGATTTTTTTCCTATAGAGTTGTTTGAGCTCCTTATGTATTCTAGTTATTAATCCATTGTCAGATGAGCAGTTTGCAAATATTTTCTCCCATTCTGTGGGTTGTCTCTTTACTTGTTGATTGTTTCCTTTGCTGTGTATAAGCTTTTAAACAAGTGACCCATTTGTCCATTTTTGCTTTGGTTGCCCATGCCTGTGGGGTATTACTCAAAAAATCTTTATCTAGGCCAATGTCCTGGAGGGTTTCCCCAATGTTTTTGTGGAGTAGTTTCATAGTTTGAGGACTTGGATTTAAGTCTTTAACCCATTTTGATTTGATTTTTGTATGTGGCAAGAGACAGGGGTCTAGTTTCATTCTTCTGCCTTTGCATACCCAGTTTTCCCAGCACCATTTATTGAAGAGCCCATCCTTTCCCCAATGTCTGTTCTCGGCACTTTGTTAAAACTGAGTTCACTGCAGGAGTATGGGTTTGTTTCTGGATCCTCTGTTCTGTTCCGTTGGTCTATGTGTCTGTTTTTATGCCAGTACAATGCTGTTTTGATTACTATAGCTCTGTAGTATAATTTGAAGTCAGGTAATGTGATTCTTCCAGTTTTGTTCTTTTTGTTTAGGATAGCTTTGGCTATTCTGGGTCTTGTGTGGTTCCATGAAAATTTTAGGATTTTTTTTCTATGTCTGTGAATGTCTTCGGTATTTTGTTAGGGATTGCATTGAACCTGTAGATTGCTTTGAGTAGTATGGACGTTTTAACAATATTGACTCTTCCAATCCATGAACATGGAATATCTTTCCATTTCTTTGTGTCCTCTTCAATTCTTTCAACAGTGTTTCACAGTTTTCATTGTAGAGATCATTCATTTCTTTGGTTAAGTTTATTTCTAGATATTTTATTTTATTTGTAGCTATTGTAGATGGGATTATTTCCTTGATTTCTTTTTCAGATTGTTTACTGTTGGCATATAGAAATGCTACTGATTTTTGTATGTTAATTTTGTATTCTGCAACTTTACTGAATTTATCAGTTCTAATAGTTTTTTGGTGGAGTCTTTAGGTTTTTCCAAATTTAAGATCATGTCATATATAAGAATAATTTGACTTCTTCCTTTCCAATTTGGATGCCATTTATTTCTTTCTTTTGTCTGATTGCTCTAGCTAGGACTTCCTAAAGGGTTCTTGATAGAGTTTTTTCCTGGTTTGAGTTTTCTGATGAATTCCAGCAGATAGTTTTTCCACTTTGACTTTAGGATTAGTATTGCCCCGCTGTGAGAACTGTAATACTGACTGAGGAATGAGTGATCACTGGGCCCTGTCCCTCATTAGTTACACTGAAATTGTTCTGTACTACGTGAATCCTTGTGTGTCCTACAAGAGTTGCTCTGTGAGTAAAGGGTTTCTTTCTTTTTTTTTTTTTTTTTTTGTAAAGGGTTTCTTATGTTTATTTCACTTCCTTCTCCAGTATACATTATCTGATGTTCCCCTATTCCATTTTAACCACACCAGGGGTATATGGAAATCCAATTCTGACACTAACTATCAAGAGTTAGCATCAGACTTCACATATTTAAAGGCTCATTCCCACAAAGCTGTTCTTAAGATTTCAGATGCTAGGCACACCTTGGTGGGGGGGGGCCCAAGCCACTTGTACTTCTACACAACTGGCTATAAAATCAGAGGTTTTCATTTGATTTCCCCTCAGATTCAATAATTCACTGAAATAACTCATAGAGCTCAAGAGTAAGCAATAATTATGATTACAGGTTTATTATAAAACATACAACTTGGTAACAACTACATGAAGGGATGTATAGGGTGAGGTCTAGAGGGAATGCAGAGCTGTGTGCCCTCTCCCCATGGAGTCACTGCTGGTTACCCTCCTGGTCAGCAAAGTGTTCACCAACCTAGAAGCTCCCCTGAACCTCAGTGTCTAGAGAGCTTTCTGAGGTTTCATTATGTAGGCTTGGTTGATTAAATCATTGACCACATAATCAAACTCAATCTCCTGCTCCTCCCACCCCCAGGTTGGGCTGGGTCAAAGTATCAACCCTGTAATTGCATAGTTGATCTTTCTGGTGACCTGTCCCCATCCTGAAGCTATCTAGGGGCTCATCACAGTCACCTCACTAGCATCTCTAAGACACTGCTGTCACTCAGAAAACTCCAAGGGTTTTTGAAGCTCACCTGGATTTGGGCTCTGGAGAAATCCTTCCTTCCCTCCACAGCATTGCTTCTTGCTTCAACTGGGAAATCATGAATGACTTGCAGAGCTGATGCTCTCTGGGCAAAGTTGCATGGATTTTGAATTCTGTGTGAGAACTGTGTGTGATCTTCAGATCTAAGGCAGGCTCCCAACAAGACAAGGCGAGCATGGAAGGGCACCCGGGGAAGAGCACCTTGAACACCAAGGACATTGAGGGCCCTTCCCTGGAGCAGGAAGGAAAACCCCTGACACCAAGCCCCTGAGTCTCAGCAGCAGTGAAGATTTAAATGTTTCCACAGTGGGTTGTGGAATTTATTCTCATAATTAATGCAATAAAATTAAGATCCATTGGAACAATCTAGGTTCTATTTGGAAAAGAAAATGGCTATATTTTTATTACTATGGTCTCAAACCCTAGCTTAGTGCTTAAAACAGTATTGTCACTTAGTAAAAAATTTAATCCATTTATTTATTCAAAAAAATAGTCATTGAGTTCCCAGCACTGTTCTCAATGTTGGAGATGGAGTAGTAATAAAGACACAAAACTGTGGTCAGGAAGACGTGTTCTAGTGGTTGATAAACTAGATTTAAGTAAATAAACAATGTTCAGGCAGTTGTAAGTGCTGTGAAAGAAAACAGATGAGGAAAGAGACAAAGTGGCGTATGTGGAAGCTGCCTGGCCTGACGGGCTGAGCACCTGATGAAACACCTACCTCCATACCCAACCTTCAGCACCTGCTGTCACACATCCCTGTTACCTGTGGTCACCACACACCTAAGACCCCTGCAACCACTGACATGGTTAATTGAGTGAGTCATTTCCCTAACACAGCATTGGATGGATGAGAAAAAGACAGCCCTTCACTTATGTTCCCTGAAAGGACATCCTCAACGGAGAATGAAAAAATTAATGTACATGTTGGGAAGGACATGATCTCATGATGAGTTCTTGATCTGCCATGAGCATTCTAGAGTTCTGGAGAAACAGAACTTGCATGAACACTTCCCGGACACCCTTACTAATAGAAGATCCAGGCCAAGAGGAGAAATGTGCTCGTCTGCTGGCAAAGGGTAATCAACTCAGGAGAAAGAGCAAGTCCCCACGCACCCGTGGGTTCCTTGTCAGGAACTCGGCTGCCACCTGTCTTCCTCCACATTCTCCTTCAGGATGGTCTGAAAACTAAGCAGACAAAGCTGAAGAAGGATAAAGAAACCATGAGACCCTGGTCTTATTCACCCCTTCATGGACCTCCAAGCCTTCATCTGGGAGTGAGTGACACCAGCTCCAACCCACATGTACCTGCAGGGTGATCTAAGACAAACAGGAGGAACCCTTTTTTCCCAGATCACAAGGAAGAAGGCTTTGGCTACAGCAACTCATAAGGAACATGTGAAAATCCTCATTTTATAGAAAAATAAGAGGACAATTATAGTGTTGTATGCTTTGCTTAGACCTGGTTTTCAGGGATATCATATAATTCCCTCCCTGATGGCAACTCCTAGGAGGACCTGACTCATGTCACATGGTGATTCTTCTTTGCACAACCAAGAACAAAACTTTGTGACTTAATACTTCTTGGTTAGGTGCATTAGCATTCTTTCCCTAACACTCACCCAGCCCTGCAGAACAACCACCTCCCTGCTGTGCCCTGCCCTCACCCTCCCTGTCCTGTCCCACCCTACCCCCTTCCTCTCCATCCTGCCCTGTCCCCCACCCCCACGCTCCCCCCACCCCCACCCTCCAATGCACTTGCCCTCAATCATCTTGACTCCCCAGCATGTGGGTTCAGGCAGCACCAGAGCCTCAATCCCAGCTCCATGCCCCAGGGCCTGAATGTGCAGCCAAGCACATTTGGAATCTGTTTAACAGTGGACATAACAATTCAAAGCCTCATCCCCTGTTGGAGGGTTCAGTGGTTCACTCTGCTAGTTTAGCAACAAAACCCCTTTTACCAAAAAGAAGCGGGAGTGAGCCCTTTCTAATGCCACTGCTGTGTCTCACAGTCATCCTACGGCAGTGGAGCTCATAGAATACAGAAGGAAAGAGCTTAGTTTTGGGGGATATTTGACTCCTTTGGAAATCTTAGTAAAATGGTAGCTGGAGTTCTGCCTTAGTAATTATCATTGGCAGGAACATCTCAGCATTTCATAATTTATGTTTTTGAAGCATTTGCCAACAGTAGACTACTTTCCAGAACAACGTTAATAATTGGATGTATTGCATGGACAGATAGTGATAATGAGTCATGAACAGGGTGGGAAGACAACTCCTTGAGTGAAGTCCCCAAAAGAGAAAAAAATCCCCATAGCATTAATTGAGGCTCTGTGAATCAGTTACTTGAGATTGCTTATGTAATCCACCTTGTTTACTCCTCTGGGTGAGGTGACTCACTTTTGGAGGCCAAAGATAGATCATGAGGTCAGGAGTTTGAGACCAGCCTGGCCAACACGGTGAAACCCTGTCTCTACTAAAAATACAAAAACTAGCTGGGCGTGGTGGTGCATGCCTGTAATCCCAGCTACTGGGAAGACTGAGGCAGGAGGATGGCTTGAACCCAGGAGGTGGAGGTTGCAGTGAGCCGAAATCATGCCACTGCACTCCAGCCTGGGTGACAGAGCAGGATTCCATCTCAAAAAAAAAAAAAAAAAAATCCTCACAATAAGTGTGCTATTTGTGGATCAGCTGTCCATATAACAAGTGACATGAAGTAAGTTCTAAAAGCTTTATGAATGTGACCAAGTCTCATGCTACAAAATGACAGAGCTAGAATTTAAACCAAGCTCTGCCTATCTCTATCTCAAATTTCTACATGTGTTTGTCTTGAGAGAGGTGGACACCAGAGTCAGGTTTTACTGGAATATGTCTCCTGTCTGACCAGCGAGAAGAGGCTTTTCCTTGTTATCAGAGCCTTGTCTTTTCAGTCTGAACACACAGTCACTACCCTACCCCAAGCCCAGGTTCTACTCTATGCTCCCACGTCTCCTTATTTTTACTCTAAACCAAAAAGTGCCTGAGACAGATCTTCGTTGATTAGAGGTTTATTTTGCCCAGGTTGAGAATGTACCCAGGAAAAAGAAATGCAAGTTATAATAGGATTTGTGACCTATGCTTTTTCCAAAGAGGGTTTTGGGAACTTCATTATTTAAAGGGAAAAGAGCAAGCAGGAGGGGAAGAAAAAAGAGGAGGGAGGGTAGGCAGCAAGGCAAGTGCTTTCATTCTTGTGGGGCTCTGATTAGCACTCAATGAATCCACATTTCACATAACGCAAGCATGTGAAATTACAGCCATCTATTTGGGAACAAAAGGAAGGCAGTTTTTGCCTGACTCAGTCTCCCACGCTTAACTTTCCCTTTGGCATAGTGAGTTTGGGGTCCCAAGATTCTACTTTTCCTTCACATTACTCATCCTTACTCATTGCAACACATATGTACCAAAGACCAACAGTTCTCATGTCCACCTGACATTTCGCATCTATTGATCAAGAGTCCAATCCCAGATGATTCCAAATGTCACCTTTTCCCTGGCAGTATTTGCCCTAACAGATAGGTGCTATGTCAAAGCCACCCTTTGACTGACTACAATCACCAAGGATCTTCCTGTTCATAAATCTTGGTAAGATCACAGTTATCGCCCTGTAATTAAATTCCATGGAGTGTTTCTCAGCATTTGGGTTGGAACTAAAGCAGAATTGGAACGTAACCTCTTTTTCTCAACAGATTCAGAGTCCTTGAAACTTGCATGAATGGCCAGGGCACATCTTGAAGACGCATGACAAAGAACCTGTGGGGATATTAAGATTTAAGTCAGGATGATTGGTTCTTGTTACCAGCATCAAAGGATCTTCTCATATCACAAAATAATGAGATTATCCCCCAACATTGGTCAGCATGGCATAAAATACATGATCTGTGATAGGAGATGCTTTTCTGATCCGCTTTTATGAAAAGTAAATGTCCTTCCTGCCTGCATTTTCAACTTTAGTATGTGTGCCTGCCTTTTTCTTTTTAAAATGTGGTAAGCTTCACCCACCAGCCTTTAGTACCGGCTGTATAAGGAGCAACTAACACCAAGACATACATGCTTATGCCCCATCCACTTTATTTTAAAGCACTCTTCAATTTGTCAATACTTTAATTCTCTAAGCAGTGTTATAGTGGCTGACCACTTTTGAAATTATCTTTGTTTTGTTTGGTACTTGAAGGGCATGAAAAACTTCCCTCCACTTCCTTCCCCTCTCCCGGGGCTCATTTTCCCCTCTCTTTTCTCTGCCCTGCTTGCCCTCTGACCCTGCCGAGCTCTGCTGTTTCCACAGACTTCTGAATCTAATTAATGTCATAGTGACTATATAAGTGAATTATGTAGGCAGGAGGATGCGGGAAACTTTGGGGAAGGTGCATTCCTTAGGGAAAAACCTGGTTTTGTTAAAAAAAAAAAAAAAAAAGGAAAGAAATGCACATTCCCAGGAACACTCATTCCCAGGGGGTAGAATGTCAGTGAAGCATAAAACCTCAGCAACTACTTACATTCAATAAATATCTGTTGTCTGATGAGCAGACGGAACCCTAAGAGCGGCGGCGGCGGCGGCGCAGGGCCGGGGGCGGGGCCGGGGGCCAGGCGGGGCGGGGGCGGCGGCGGCGGCGGCGGCGGCGGCGGCGCAGGGCCGGGGGCGGCGGCGGCGGCGGCGCGGCGAGCTCGCTGCTCTCTCTTGAGTGTGCCTGCGCGCAAGCCGGGGAGCGGGTGAGTGCGCCGGCCGCTGCAGCCAGCCCGGCCGGCCCGGAGTCGGGGGCGGGGGGCGTCGGGAGCCCCGACCTGGGGGCGGGCGGCGGCCGCTCTGGCGCGGCTGGGATGCACCTTGAGCGGCGCCTTTCGTCGCAGCGCGCGGGCGGCCCGAGCTTCGGCGGCGGCGGCGGTAGCGGCGGCGGCGACGCTGACACCTCCCACCATGGACAGCTTCGACTTAGCCCTGCTCCAGGAATGGGACCTCGAGTCACTGTGGTAAGTCCCCGTGCCGGCCGCTTCGGGCGGGCGGGAGCGGCGAGGGGCGGCCGCGGCGGCCCGCGCGTCCTCACCTGGGCCGGGTGCTCCGGGCGGCCGGCCGCCGTGGGGGTGGGGTGGGTCGGGGGCGCCTGCCTCGCCAGCCCTTTTCTGCCTCCCCGGGTGGGATGCGTGGCCGCCTGCCTGTCTGTTTCCCCCTCTCCTGTTCGCCTCCCTCGCGGCGGCCCGCCCCAGCCCAGGGACTGGTGATCTAGGTAGCCAGGGGCAGAGCGCAGCCGTGGGGAGGAAAAGAAGCGATTTGAAGACTGCGTCACTAATGCCTGGGGATCCACCCGTCGGCCCCCTGCTCCTCTCACTTCCTTTCCCTCCGACTGCGCCCCCTCCCTCCTCCGGCTGGCACCACCGACCCCCTGGAGTTGGTGCTGCTGCGAAGTGCCCTTAGAGGATGCTCCAGCCTCCCCGCCTGCGCCCGGTCTCGGCTGCATCCTTTCTGTCTCTCCCACCCACTTCCACCGAGATGGAAAAGTGAACATCCAGGGCGGGAAACGAGTGTTTCTCCGTGCCGGTATTCCAGAGGCCTTAGCCCAGGGAGACTCCTTTCCTCGGGGTTCACAGTTCCTCTGGGCCCTTTCTTCACACCTCGTCACAGTTGCACTCCTCCTCCCCACCCCACCCGGGCGCCCCAGGTATCCCTTTGTGCCACGCTCACAGCTCGCAGCCCGGGGGGCACTCCAGGTTCCGTTTCTCGGGGATCTCACACTGGGGAGCTGCTGTAGGTAAATCGCCGCTGGAAGCAGTTTAATTCCAGTTGCGGGTGTCTTAAAAATCCCATTGGCTGCTTTAGTATCTGTCTTATTCCCCCTTCTTTCTCTGCTCCCCCCAACCCGCCACTATCTCTTAAATGTTTCCAACCAGCACTATTCAGGTGGTAAAATTACTGCCTGCATATTCCTGGAGGAACTTGTGTTATGTTTAATATTTACGGGGATGAACATCTGCTGGAACAAGCATATTAACTGCACTCTGTTCTGCCTCTGGTAATCGCTTATTGTAGAGCTGAGCTTGTTTTTTTTTTCCTTTTGCTTTAATTCAGTAAAGAGTTCACATGTGTCTAAAACTGCATGTGGTGTGCACATGAATATGCAATGTACAATTTTAAAGCTAAACTGCTTTATGATTTATAACTCATATAGATGATATGTGGATCTGTGTGTATTTTCTGTGATTTAGGTTTCCAGTGACTTTTATTTTCCTAAAGACAGGTGTAACAAAATAAACTGGACACAAAGCTAGCACATTATCGAACGGTTTCTTATAAAAGATCCTATGATGAGTAAGTACAGCTTGCTCTGCATAATGTTGGTGCCTGTAAAACACACAAGGACGGGCCCTAATGTAATAAAACTTTTACGTATTGCACTGGAAACTTCAAAGAGCCAGGGCAGAAAGAATATGAAACATGTTATGACTGTGTAAAAGTTGCTAATTACTGTGTTGCTGCTCCTGGGGTTATTTCAGCCTTTCATTTACAGATACCTATTATTTTATAGGTTTACATTTAGAGATGTTGGTTTCTGGCGCAAATTCAATAGCTTTCCAGATAGCAACTGTACTTTTAAAATGCTGTTTGCTTTTAAAAGGCAGTTTTTCAGTCAAAAGGAAGAACTTACTGTTTCGGTATATTTTTATGCTGCTTGTCTGCTTGCTGACTCAAAGCGAACCCCCTTATGACTTTCATAAGTAATATTTTGAGATTATCAGCGTAATTTGTGGGGTCTTCCTGCACAGAACCTGAGCTCTGTTTCCTTTTGCATCCTTAGTTCCCAGCTGAATTACCCTGGAGCAGTGTCACAGAATAAATATCTGTTGAATTGACTTGAAATTTACATTAGCAGTACATTTATTACTTTTAAAAAAACAAAAACTTACACGTTTTTTAAAAAGTTGATGTACGTGCAATCACATTTTAATGAGTGCATCGAGTTTTGGCTTATGAAGGCATGTAGACTTTCTTGATCACAATATACTAGGACAGTTTGGCTTGACCGGGAGGGTTTCTAGTTTTGCAGATGTAGAATTACATTTTACAAAAGCTTATATGTTTCTGATAAGTTAAAGAAAAACCAAGCTTGAGTATGCATTTCTAATATGTTTAGACATTTTCTCACAGATGAATTTTTGGATGCTATGTTCTCAGTTTTATGGTTTACGTAAATTTTTAAGTTTATGGTTACTTTTAAGCTTATAGATGGTTCAAAATAACTAATATTTGAGAACTTTCTGTGTGTCCAGTATTTTCATATCCATTGTTTTCTTATTTGAGTCTCTTAATCCTGGAAAGGGTAAGTAAGTGGTAGTAGTTCCATTTTATAGATGAGGAAATAGAAGCTTTGAACTGTTAAATGACTTTACTGAGGTCATAAAACAGATGACAGCAGACTTTTTAAAACTAACATTTGCTGAACACGTATTATTTATCAGACACTGTTCTGAGTACATTACATGTTTTAGCTCATTTAATTATAAAGCAAGTACTGTTATTAGTTCCATTTTACAGATAGGAAAATTGAAGATGGGAAGATAGGGTAACCTGCCCAGAGTCACACATCTAAAAATGGGGCAGCCATATTTCAACCAGAAATTAGCTTCAAAGCCCAGTGATCTGACTTCAAATCCAGTCAGACAATTGCCATTTTCTAGAGTACTTCACATATCTCTCAGCTTATAAGGACAGCTCCGAAATTAATTACAAAACAAAACCTCGATGGACTGGAAGTTAAGGTCCTACTAAAATAACAAAGAGAGAGAGCCCTAAATGGTATTAAAATTAAAAATTTGAAAATAAACTACCATAGTTAGGAAAGTATACCTGTTAATTATGAATTATTGTATTAGAGCAATATACATTTTAAAGACCATTGAAAGCTTCTTCCTTTGATTGATCATAGAAAAACTTTTTTGAAGGAGGAAGGAGGAGGTACAGATTAATGGCAAAAGAGAATCTTATTTTAATCCCTAAGAACTTTTTCTAATTGATGGACATCATTTTCCAATTGAACAAATTGGAATTTATTAGTGGTGACTGTGGCTTTGAATCTGAGCTAGTTTATTCTTGCAGTCACAGAGAGTGTCCTCAAATGACTGTATAGAAAATATAAAGGGAAAAGCTCAGTTCTGTTGAATATAATCAATATACACAATCAATTGATAATTCACAACTACCTCCTTTGCCTTCTTGCACGCTCTTCCTGCCACTCAGAAACATCCATACTTACTCTTCAGGATGGGTTTTTTGAGCCTGAATTATCCAGATGGCTGTTTCAACTTTTTCAGCCATACCTTAAAGTTGAAAAGGATGGCCCTAATTTCCACCTCTAATTCCACTTCCAGTTTCTGGTTTGAAGCAAGACTGGAGAACTTAGAAAAAGGTGAAGGTGTTCATTCAGCACCCGACACTGTAGCTTTGTTCTGTAGAGTCTTGAAGAGTTGGGCATTCCGTGAGTTTACAGGGGCAGCAGATATGCAGAGGCGCAAGGCTGCCCCCTCCACTCCCTGGTCTTCCTTCTGTGGTCCACCAGCTTTTGATTAGGTGCTAGACATATAAGCCATTCCTCAGGGCCTTTAAAATAATGACCATCCCTTTTAACAGGCTAACTGTTGCTTTCATTTAATTCGTTTAACAAATATTTATTGATCATCTCTTAAGTAGAAGACCTTGTGCTGGTTTCTGTGGGAGATGCAAGGATGAGTAAGGCGTAGGTTGTACATATTAGTGTTATTGTCAAATGAGGAAATTAAGACAAGAACACACATGAAAAAGGAAGTTTTCAACACTGGTGATTCAGAAAAGAGACCATATTTGGGACTTGGGTGGAGGATGGAAAGAGGAAAAATTGAATTAAAAAACAAAGGCTTCCATGAAATAGGTGGCCTTTGAACTAAGTCTTGGAAGACAGATGGTGTGGGTGGGGGTATTGAGAGTACAGGGAGACATCTTGGGCAAAGAAAACTTGAACAAGGGCTTTCATGGTGTCTCTAAAAGATCATTTTATGCATCATGGTGGAATTACCTATACTGTCTCTTTTAAAGATGCAGAACTTTGTAGTCATGAGGTAGTTTCAGTGAATGAGAAAAGTTTTCCAAAATGAACTTGTATTTCATCTTCCTTAAATGTTAACACATTTTAATCATTGGAGAGAAAGTCTATCAACATACAATAGTATAATAAATATTCTGATCTTCCCTACCACTCACCCCATTCCTCCACAGCTTCATATAAGCCAGAATCCACACACTTTTGTTCAGATAGGCATTATTCTTTATATTCCTTTAAGTTGGAGCCTTTGAAGTTATAATACATGGATCATTTCATACTCATCAACCTGTTCAATTCAATAAGCATTCACAGAATATTAGACAGAGGAGAGGTACCATCAGGGCAGTGACTTTCAAATGCTTCAGACCATGACCCCCAGTAACAAATACACGTTTAACACTGCCACCCACCACCCCTTGAACATGCATACACGTAAGTGAAACAAGAGCATCATGAAATAACGCTTATTACTATGTGTGATACACTTGGATATTTCCTGTCCTCTTTCTTTCTCTTTCTTTTTTTTAAAATTTCCCATTCATAGGCTGAAACCTGCAGTTTAGGAAACCCTGCTGTACAGGATGCAAAGGACAGTGTGTTTTTTGGGAACTTAATAGGAGAATAAGCCATACCCATAAATACCTGCAATCCAAGGCTGACACTGCCCGCTTGAGGGGGCATGGGCACATCCTGTTGAAAGTAAGATATTCATGGTGGGGTGGCATTTGAAATGGGTCCTGGAGTAGAATTTCAGGAGGAAATGGAAAGGAGGAAAACCACGTGGTGGGAAGACTGTGAATAGAAACATGGAGGGAATAAAGTGTGGATCTTGTTTGGTGAAGGTAGGCTAACACAGGCAGGGAGGGATGCAGAGGCACTAGCAGTTTAGTCTCCCTAAGGATGCTGCCCAGTAGTGCCCGCTGATGCTTTTGCTTGTCTTCAAATCAACTGCCAGGGGACATGCGCAGGCCAGTGGGCGGCTTCCTCCAGGCCTTTTTAGACTTTACTTCATGGTGCCAGAAAATGCTACAGATCCCTGATCTTGACCTTCAGGTGCCTCTACCCTTTCCTCCAGCTGCAGTAAAGCAAACATTTTAAGGCCTATTCCTATCCTTTTGGTCAGTCCTTATGGGTCAAAACAGAGTACAAAGAAAGGGCAGAAGGAGAGTGCACCTGTCTGAGCCCCAGGTGTCCTGGAGCTGATTGGTAGACAGCAGCTCTGCAGAGCTGCGTGTACTCACACTGGCCGAAGGTCACCGTGTAGTTGACTGCGTGGCTCTCATTGGCCCTCAGCATGGGCCTGGAGGGGCCTCGGCAGGTACGAGGAGGCAAAGCCTTCTCAGAAGAGTGGCTTCCAGGGCTAGGGCTGTGGGCAGCAGTGGGGAAGGGGCTGCTCATCAGCCTGGAGGAGGCAGGGGGCCTCGATGGGAAGCAGTGGAGTGTTGCATCCGCTGTGGAGGAGCTCAGCCCTTGTGTGGGGCGTGTTTTGGAGAAAGCTGGGTGGAGAGACTGGTTAGTTCAGGGCGCCGAGAACTTGGGGACTCCAGCTGGGCTGGGGCCCCAGAGGATACCAGGGAGGAGGAACCCAGGGAGTGTGCACCTTAATGTGTGGATAGGTTTTTAACCAAATGTATCTTGATGACGTTGAAGATGAGTATTGTGTGTGGGGAAATGATTCCTTCCTGTGTTCCAGATTCTCTTTTGTGAAAATGTAGGAGGGTTTTAAAATGCTAAGAATCTATTTTGGGAGAATGTCCTTGTTAACCACAATGGGTCTAATCAATGACACTTGAGCAACTTGAACAAAGACCTTTGGCTTAATACAGATTAATAGGCAAATTAAGAAAAAAAACCTCTCAATATGGAATGCAAGATTTTGTGTGTAAGTGGAATTTTTAACCTGGAATAGATTTGCCTGTTTGATTTTTTTTTATTTTAATTTTTGGGAATAAAGCCTTGGTGGCAAAATCGAGGCCCCGTAAAAGACGATTTTAATATCATTTAATGGTAACATAATTTTTTTGTTGTTGTTTTATTTCAAAGTGAAATCCATAAAACTTATTTTCAATGTTGGCTGTTCCCTTTTGTCTTGGAATTTAATTGAGGTTTCTGAATTCAGCTGGCCCCAACCTTGCTTTCTGTTTGGCCCTGGGCAGCTCATGATTTTTCTCATTTCCTATTCTCAGTCTTGGTTTAATCACTTATAAAATGACAGCACTTAGACTGGCCTACCTCATAAGGTTGTGACGTTAAGTAATAAAAGTGTCAATTGCTCTGAATGCCAAATGTAGCTCTTCTATACCCTTTGCTTTCTTAAAAATGTCTCTTTTTCATAAACAAGGAAGAATACAGAAAGGCCGCATAAGGTCAGATTCAGCAGTCCATGCGGTGCAGCGTTCTGTCCCTGGCAACAGGACCCTGGGACGGTTTTGAGTAGAGAGGTTGGTAGCTTTTCTTAGTCGTGCATCATAGTCCAGCAGACAAATATGCTCTTACTTACGGTGGTACTACTCACATATGTAGATCTATTAACCATTACATAATCTTTTATGTTTCACTGAGAATGTATTGCATTACCAACCATTACATCGAATGACTTCATTTGGCACTGTGGGTCTCATTAAATTATGTCAGGCTAATCATAATTTAGTTTCACTGGAAACAAAATACACAGTGTTTATATCAGAGTAAGAGGACACCACCCAATCCAAGGAACTAAATGGGTTCAATCTAAGGAAACTACCACCCGGGATATGACAGGGGCCTTAAGTGTTTGAAGGCATTTAGCTGGGAAGTGGGAATAGAGTTGTTCTGGGTTGCTCAAGGGCACGAGTAAGATCAGTGGGTGTGAGAGCATTTAACAGTGATGTGATGTGGGCTGTCTCAAAGGGTAACAATTACCTGACTTTGTAGAAAGACATTCCTGGGTAGGCAGAGCGGCAGCAATAGGCTATCTCCGAGATTCCTTCCAGCTTCAAAATTCTATGATCATTCCCCTCACAGGGTAGCAGGAATCAAAGAGTGCAGAAGTCATTAATTGTATTCACTTGTGTATTTTTCCTCTGCAATTTCCCCACTCACCTGTGGAGAAAGGCATAGAGGGTACTTAAACTTCTTCACATAATTTCTTCCCAGGAGGCTCATTGTTAGCGGAGGTAAACAAAAATGACTGTAATTTGGAGACCACTTTAACATAGCAACTCCATTTAGAGAGTTATGTGCTTAACTTGATACTGGAAATAATTTTATTTTTCCTTTTATATGGGCAGGAAATTAGTTTCGAAAATCCCCTAGAGGACCATGATGTGAGTCTGTTGGTCTTAAATTTTTCTTCTCATATCTGTACTGTTTACCTGCGTTATGAAGTGACAGAACAGAATTTCAGCCAGTGTTCATTGACATGTTAATTAGTTACCTGGCAATTTAGATAGGAAGAGGCTTTACTGTAGTGGATCACCACCAGTTCTGGGAAATAATCTGTTTTTGTTTTAAAATTTCAAAATATATTTGTTTTCACGTAGAATGCTTGTAGAAGAAGAAAAGACCCAGGGTGTAGAAAATAGTTTTGAGAGCATAGGTCAGTATGCTTAGCTCTCACTCGGGGAATGCTTCTCAAACTTCCATGTGCATCCAAATAATCTAGAGGCCTTGTTAAAATACACATTCTAATCTAATAGAACCAGGAGTCCACATTTCTAACTGGCTCCCAAGTATTAGTTTTGGTCCACAGACCAAACTTTGACTTGTAAGGACTAAATGGACAAAAATTTCCTTTGAAAAGAAGCCCTTTCAAAATTTGCATTTCCTTCTCCCTGTTTTGGGGACACCTTTGTGTAATAACAGTCCAGTTCCATAAAGCTTGACGGTTGCGTTTAGATGCAGTATTTATTTTATTTTTGTGAGTCTTTCTAATACAATTCTGATGAGTGAGGGGGTGGTTAATTGTATTCTGGTGGAGATATGGTGGGAAGTAAACATAAAAACCTAAGTAAACACAATTTGTAATAAATAGGCTAATCACTTTTTATAGCCTCTCAGTTCTCATCATTCCTTCAAAGCCCGGGACCTTCTGTTGTATCGGGCTCGAATGCTGAGAGTAACTGGATAGTCTTACAGACACTTTTGGATTTGTGGAGAATCTCTCAGTAACCCCTGTGGATGCCCAGGATTCAGACCAAATGTCCCCATTCTCTCCTAGCCATTCTGTCTTTGGGAGGGCTGGGGTTGGGGGGATAGGAGTGTTGGGGGTGGGGTCAGCTATTTGCAGAATTATTGCACTACCCCGTGGCCATAGCTGCAAATTGCAACTTTCCTAGTGTCCTACGAGAAATCACAACTGAAGACTCTACGTGGAACCCATAGTAGGTTTCAGATACTTCAGTTGGGGACCTTGCATCCCCGCTCGGCCAACCTTCTTCTCTCCGCGCCATTACCGGAGTACCCTGAGTCCATTAGGTGGCCAAACCTAGCTGCGGTTTCCATGTGTAATTTCCAGTTCTATTTCATTAGAATGTTTGCATATAGGATGGATAATGCAAGGAAATATTGCACAATTGACTTTGCATGTTCTGTGATACTGACAGGAAGTTTATTGACTTTATCTTTCTAAGGAGGGTGTGTGCGTGCACATAAGCACATGAGTGCACATACACACATTTTCATTCTCTGAAGTAGGCGTTGAAGACTGCTACTGACAAGAGAAACCCAGACTGGATTTAAACAATGGGGGGTATTCCAGATTTGGAAAAGAAAGGTGAATTTTCACGAATAGTAGGGCAAATTTAAATCTTGCAGTCTTGAGACACGTGAACTGGTGGATGAAGTTCTTGCAACAGTGTTTAGCATTATTTGGGGCCATAGTTGGTATCTATACTCCTGGTAGCCGTGATACTGCCTTAATACGTCATAGTCCATTATATGATCTGACTAATTGTGTTTAACCATTTCTTGTAATATGCAACATTACTTTCCACTGTTCTAACTCTTCCTTCAGATTGTGGGGGAGGAGAGAGGAAAACAGTTGCCCTCAAGCCTGAAGGTAGGTCAGGCCCATAGTAAGATAAGCAAGTATTTGATTATTGCTTCAGTACTAGTGTCATCAAATTAATACAGTTTCTTTTACATTTAAGAAAATACAGTTTACTATCAATAAATAGTACAAATAACAGGTGATTCAGACAACCCGCCCCCCACCACACACCAAAAAAAAGACTGTCAGACTCAGAGGTTTACTCTGTTGGGTCCCAAGAAGCGACATTCAGGAGTTCCTTAAGAATAGAAAAAGCTACTGATGATGGTCAGGTAGGTTCTGACCTTTAGATGCATTGTCTGGGCTTTTGCCCTGGGACCCTGCCTTGGTTGAGAAGATAGGTTGCCCACATGGCCCACTTGCTTCTTGTCCCACCAATCATATTCCATGGCAGGGAGGCTTCTGGTGTCCTTTCTCAGAACTGCTGAGGTAGAAACTACAGTTGGAGGCCGAGGACTTTATCTCAGGCTGTGAAGTAGGTATCTTCACTGGCCATAGACTCTGTAGTTTACTAAAATAGAAGCTCAGAGCATCCTGGGAAGAAGCAGGTAGACTTTCCTTGCCAGGCCTTCTCAGTGTGCCGAAGATTCAAATGTTTACTTCCTTCCACTTTCTGAAACATCCTGCCAGGCCCCTCTTCTGTTAAGGAGTGCAGGGGTCCCCAGCCCCCGGGCTGTGGATCAATATTGGTCCGGGGCCTGTTAGGACCTGGGCTGCAGAGTGGGAGGTGAGTGGAGGGCGAGCAAGAGAAGCTTCATCTGTATTTACAGCTGCTCCCCATTGCTAACATTACTGCCTGATCTCCGCCTCCCGTCAGATTAGCACCGGCATTATATTCTCACAGAAGCATGAACCCTATTGTGAACCGAGCATGTGTGGGATCTAGGTTTCTCCTTATGAGAATCTAATGCCTGATGATCTGTAACTGTCTCCCATCACCCCCAGATGGGACTCTCTAGTTGCAGGAAAACAAACTCAGGGCTCCCACTGATTCTACATTATGGTGAGTTGTATAATTATTTTATTATAGATTACAATGTAATAATAGAAATAAAGTCTACAATAAATGTAATGCACTTGAACCATCCTGAAACCATCTCTCCACCCCTGGTCCATGGAAAAAAAGTCGTCTACAAAACTGGTCCCTGGTGCCAAAGAGGTTGAGGACCACTTCTGTTGTGGGAGTAGAAATGAAGATTCACCTTAAAGGAGGATACAGCTCTAGCAACCCTTTGAGCAAAATATATGAGCTGTCTGTCATCTCGAGGAAATAGATGGCAACATCAGAAATGGGAAGACCACACTACTCCAACTCACATCTATGTCTATGTGCAGTAGGCCCTCTGTTTTGATGGATAATCAGATGGTCTCACGTTTTTACCATGGTGTGCCACCTGTGGCCCTAGCTGTGTGACTGTCTAGGATGAAGTCTGGACTCAGGTTACAGTGATGTGGATAAAGTCCGTTCTGCCTGAGCACCAGTGATCATCACGTGCGGCGGCATACTGTAGAGCCCAGGACAGAGTTTGACTTGGAGCCTGCTAAATTTTTCGCAGAAGCATGTCTACGTGCAGGAGAGGACAGCTCAGCGGGTAACACCAGGACTCTCTTATTTGTGTTCCTTTCATTGAAGGTAGTTCCTTCCCCAGAACATGGCATAGCTGCTTTTGAGAACCAATCCTTGTAAGTGACTTCCTTTAATTTTTTTCAATAAGTAGAGTTTAATCTTTGAATATGAACGGAACACCTGAGAAAATTCTTTGGAGTCTGAAAGGAAGTAGGGTATGTTGGTTTCTAATAGTTAGGTAAATAATTAGTTACATAAATTGATTTCTTTTCCTTACTTTTATTCCTCAGCAGGACAAAAGTAATATTTTAGACAAGGCATGGTGGTACAGGCTGATCACACCTGTAATCCCAGCATTTTGGGAGGCCGAGGAAGGAGGATGACTTGAGCCTAGGAGTTTGAGACCAGCCTGGGCAACATAGGGAGACCCCATCTCTACAGAAATATTAGCTGGCCATCGTGGTGCATGCCTGTGGTTCCAGCTACTTGGGAGGCTGATGTGGGAGGATTGCTTGAGCCTGGAAGGTCAAGGCTGCAATGAGCCATGATTGCACCACTGCACTCCAGTCTGGATGGCAGAGAGAGACCTTGTCTCAGAAAGAAAAAAAAAGTAATGTTTTAGAGCCCTAAAATATATAATAATGTAACGCAATCCATCTACAGTATAGAGGGCTTGAAGCTGCTCTTTGTAACTTTCTTCCTCTGGATTTCTAGGTGTCTGGGTTGAGATGAGCATCCTTTTATTGAGCCAGACACAGAAGTGAAGAGACCACATTTCTAGCCCTTGATATGTTTATATTTTAGCCTGATAATAAGAACAGATTATTTCGTTAGTCTAAGTAGACTTTTTACCTGCCCCAAATCCTGTGGAGTATGTACGGGGGTACCCTACTCAGCATGGTATTTTAGGGATGATTTCCTAGAGAAAGTGACATCTGATTGCAGTCTTAAAGGAAGGATAAGAGTTAGCCAGGCTGGGAGCGGGGTAGGGATATGGCAGGTACGATAATGTAAGGAAAGGCAAAGAGGTGAAAATTAGCAAGTTGTGAACAGTAGCAGTGACCAGTGCAGGTCAGTTTCAGGTCCCTGGCATTCATGTTGGGAATGGCAGGATGGGAGGTTGGGCAGTGGAGCTGGGAGCAGCTCTCAGAGGGCCTTGCATGGCTTTCTAAGGAGCTCAAACATTTTCCAGTAGGTGATGGCCTGCATGAGGGCTTTAAGCAGGGCAGCAAAATGGTCACGTTTGCATTTTTTTATTATTTCTAGAAGGCACTATAGATGGATGAGTCTGGTGGCTGTGAGAGGCCATGTCTGAAGGTCAGGAGGTCAGTGAGGAGTGAGGGCTGACTAGCCTGGGCTGGTGAGGATGGAGAGGAGGAGAGGGAGTAGAGAGCTGTTGGGGGCATGACACAGACAGTATTCACTCATTTTCTGGGTAGAAGGGGATGAGGGTGCTTTGAGGCTATCTAGCTTGTGTGATGAGATAGGGAAAGTAGGAGGAAGAGCAAGCTGAGTGGGGAAAGAGGAACCCTTTGGATTTAAATGTATTGCATGTAAATGCCCTTGGACCATGGAGATAAAATTGTCTCTAGGAAGTTTACTAAAGATCCTGACATTTAGGGAAAAGGTCAGGATGGAAATAAGTGGGCGTTATCAGCATACAGGTGCTGGTGAAAGCCTTGAGATTGGACAAGATTGTCTAGGACGGAGGAGGAGAGAATGAGAAGTAGGCTGCAGGCACCACGGTGTAGTGGGAGGGAAAGCAGCCGGTGAAGAGGGTTGAAAAGGAAAGATCAGCCAGGGCGAGGCCATGAGCCAGTGGGGTCTGTGACCAGCTGCTTTTTGGAGTTGGCAGTGAGGGTGAAAGAATGGATGGGAGGTGGGAGGGCGGCTATGCGTGTTCCCACTCTTGAGGGGAAAGATGGGCAAACTGATGGAGGAAGGCCTCAGAGGAGATGTGGGCAGGCCAGGCCCAGAATCAGAGGAAGAACGCGAGGGTGGAATCTGTGTAGATACTTTGGGATAAACCTTGTGGGTAGGGGTGATATTTAACAAAATACCTATGAGAAATGGAAGTTTCACAGAATGGAACTACAAAGAAGAGGGTAATATGAAACATCAGATTGTAAAGGGAAACTAGTAGGTTCTTCCTAGTTATTTTTGAATATATGACTTAAAAGTCCGCATAAGCCCCTTTGGCATACATCTATGTCATACTATCTGTAATTTAAAGTAATTTTGATTGAGAAGTAATTTGGTGAAGGTACATAGCCAGGAAAAATTAGTGAGCTTGTCTAATTGTGGGCTGTTTTAAATGGATTTTTAAAAACTATTTTCAAATAGAAAAGACAGGAGTCCCACGATGTTGTCCTAACATTTGATGGCAGATTTTCCTTGGAAAGGCATCTAGGCCAGCTGGCCTCAGGGTATTGTGTTTCTTACACATAAGAAGTGTCCTGAGCCTTTCACAGGTATGTATTATCTCTTTTAATCTTCATTACCTGTAGGGTGGATTCTACTATTCCCCATTTTATAGAGAAGGAAACAAAGGCACAAGGTAACTTGCCCAAGGTCCCATAGTTAGTAAGGCAGAGCTGGGAATTTAATGCAGGTAGCCTGGCTCCAGAGCCCCTACACATCACCACTATCCTGTAATATGTATCTCTTAATGACAGAATCAGAGGGCATGAGTACTGAGGTCCCATGTGACCTTAAAATATATGTGATATAGGCTGGGCGTGGTGGCTCACGCCTGTAATCCCAGCACTTTGGGAGGCCGAGGTGGGTGGATCACCTGAGGTCAGGAGTTCCAGACCAGCCTGGCCAATGTGGTGAAACCCTGCCTACTAAAAATACAAAATTTAAAAATACAAAAATTAGCTAGGCGTGGTGGTGGACACCTGTAATCCCAGCTCATCGGGATGCTGAGGCAGGAGAATCACTTGAACCTGGGAGGCAGAGGTTGCAGTGAGCCTAGATTGCGCCATTGCATTCCAGCCTGGGTGTCACCGCGAGACTCCTTCTCAAAAACAAACATATATATATATATAATATATATTATATATATTATATATAAAATATATATAATATATATATGTATGTAAATGGTCTCCAGCAGGTACAGTGAGGTATATATGGAAAAACATCTTGAGATTTATTCTGAACTTTCAAACTCAGAATGAATAGTATATTGTGTTCAAGCTATTACAGGTTTTAGACTAGTGGAATTCTAATTAAACAGGCTTCACTGTGCATGGATTGTCTGTAGTTCACTGTCATTAAGTCCTGCTCTTTTTGTTAGTATTTAAAATGTTAAAAATACACTGCCTATATATTTTCTTGCAATTAGTTGTATACTCCATAAAACCTCTAATTTGACAAATTTTATGGATGAAGACTATGGTAACAACTGTTTGCCACATCTGGTCAAATCTACCATAACACCTAAATGTAACTTCATTAATAACAATAATGATGGTACAGCAATACAATTTATAAAACCACTTCGTGAAAGTCATCTGAAATTGTAAGGTGATTTTTTTTTTCATGTAGATCATTTTGCTGTTTCTTCTTAGAAATGGAACTACACATGGTGTACAAATGGTCTGTACAAAGTCAGACCATCTCTTCTAGTTGTATGACTCTAATTCTAGAAAGAAGCATTGCTTCAGTGACCTGGAAAGAGTAAACAGGCTTAATTTATATCACAAGATAGTTGGGTAAAGTAAAAATGATAGATTCTTAGCTTAAGGGATTGGGACATATTAAAACAGATGACAAAAATAACTTTAAATGTTTTTTTAAAAAATCTTAGAGAATAAGACGTTAAATAACGTTAGTTATTTTTGAATATTTTAAGTTAGGTTAAAAAAAATCCACTTGGCTGGCAAAATTCCAGAAAGGCACGAATTAATGTTGGGAAGGGCAAAGGGTTCAGAGCCATCCAGCAATGGGTTCAGATTCTGACATGCCATTTACTAGCTGTGCCATCTTTAGTAACTCAGCATCTCTGAGCTTCAGGTTCCTTATATATAAATGAGATAATACTGTCACTGATTTGTTATGGGGATTAAATTAGATAATGTTCTTTTATACTATCAAAGATCTGTGCCTTACTGTGTGGTTTTCTTTTTACTGGAATTTATTATCTCGTGAATTTTTATGGCAAAAAAGGGGGACTGATGAAGAAAGTCAGTGAAATGTTTCCATCCAAAGGGCTAAAGTTTTCATGTGATAGGTTTAAAATATTAGGGAAATTGTCTTTGAAAGTGTTTGCCTTCACCATGTAGAGAGTAAGGTATACTTATATGTCTTGATTCTTTAATTAATAATTCGACTTTGCTTGCCACTTAAAAATTAGAATCAAATTCTGAATGGAGAGTAAAGCCCACATATATATTGGAAGGGAACCAGGCAATAAACTATCTGATTTACAGAAAACAAAGTGTTTCATGAATGCTTTCCTTAACCCAAGCTTTACTTGTAACTTGAGCCAGGTTTTAATTTTTGAAAAAATTTAAATGGCAAAAATATGTGAACCTACAAATAAATAGGGAGTGATAATCGACTGTTGAGGCCAGTGAGTGAACATGTATTTGATGTGGCCCTGAGATAGAGGCTGTGAAAGGAGTTTCTTGGAACTTATCAGGAGCCCCCAGAGCATAGGTTCACACTTTATACCTCGTGACTTTTAGAGCAGGCAGGGTCTGTATTCAGGCCTGCAGAAAAATAAGTGTAACACTTTTTTGAACTGTATAAAAACAATGCTTCTTTCTATTTGTGTTTGGTTTATATTACCTAAGAAGCATGTTCTGTATTATTAGGGTAGATACCACTTCTGTGTTTATTCTAATGAAAATGAAGAAGGAAACAGTCCCCACCAATATTGTGAAGTACTTAATGGTTTTTAAAATCTCTACGAGACTGGCCAAAGTAAAAATATAAATGAAATAAATGGAAATGTAGCCGTTACTTTCCAGTTTATGTGAGTATCACGATGCAATATTTGGAACTGATTGCAACTGCTGTAAAGTACTTTGAGGAAACCCATTAGAAGAGAATTAAAACTTGAACAGATTAGCTGATCTCTAATGGCCCTAGGAGAAGATCTTGTATTGCTTCAAAATCTTTTCTGATTCTCATCACTCAACCTTCTTGGCTATGTAAACAAAGGAAGCTTTCCTTTTGTTTTCCAGACGTTTGGAAAACAAAATTTTCCAGAGCTGTGCATCTGCCAGGAAATGTTTCTTTTAACCTGATATCATAGATAGTTTTAAAAGCTAAAGTAAACTCTGGATTTTAGATTTCTATATCCCAGGTTGAGAGTAATAAAACTAAAAGAGGAAGCTTTTTAGGTGCTAGTGATTATTTAGTGATGGTAACAGGGATCACTGATATTTTTACTTTCTTTTTTGTATGTTGATTTTGTATCCTGTGACCTCGCTGAGTGTATTCATGAGTTCTAATAGTTGTGTGTGTATTTCTTAGGATTTTATATATATACACATGATTATGTCATCTGTGAATAGAGATAGTTTTGCTTTTTCCTTTCCAATCTGGTTGCTTTTAATTTTTTTTTCTTGCCCGATTGGCCTGGCTAGGACCTCCAGGAGAATGTTAAATAGTAGTGGAGTGAGTAGACATCTTTGGTTTGTTTCTCATCTTGAAAGGAAAGCTTTGTCATTCACTGTTGAGTATGATATTATCTGTTGGTTTTTCATAGATGCCCTTTATCAGGTTAAGGAAGTTTCCTTCTGTTCCTAGTTTGTTGAGTGTTTTTAAGCACAAAAGGATGTGTGATTTTTGTCAAAGGCTTTTCTACATGTATTGAGATGGTCATATGGGTTTTAATCTATTAATACTTTAATATACTTTAATAGACTTTAATCTATTAATATACTTTTATATACTTTAATACATTGACTGATTTTTATATGTTGAACCAACCTTGCATTCCTGGACTATGTCACTTGGTTATGGTATATAATCCTTTTATATATCACTGGATTTGTTTTGCTAGTATTTTGTTGAATGACTTCCTTTTTCAGAAACAGTTGCCTATTTTCTTCTTTGATAATGAAAGTTCATGAACACTTGAGATAAAAATAAAGGAATATGACTTTCTCAGGACATGCCCATGGAAACATGAAAGCATTGTTTCTGCATATTCTCTGAATGATAGTCCTGTAAGTAAGAATAATCAAATCTCAAAAGAGATTTGAGTACTTGAGTACTCAAGTTCAGAAACTTTTATGTAATGATTTTCTGAAGAATTTTAACTTGACACCTGCTTAAGAAATTCTCACATAATGTAATTTCTTATATGACACATTTAGATTTTAGGTCCTGATCTTGTGCAAGTCATTCAATTTTTTTAGCTTAGTCCTCTAATGAGTAAACAGGATTATAAGGAAGAAATAAAATATGCAGTGAATATGCTCATAAGATGTTACATGATGGGAAGATATAATTATTTATATAAGTATGTAAGTATAATTATTTAGCACAGGGGTCAAAAATTCAAATACCTTCAGGGCCAAGTAGACCAAATAAATGTCTGAAACAGTATCACAGTTGGATGTGATGGGGCTTGTGGTCCATTTGAAGCTCTACTACCTTGCTTCAATACATTCAGATGAAAAGCAAAACAAGCAAAATACAGTAAACAACACACACCCACACCTGTACTTTCTTGGCCAGACATCATACATCTGCCTCTATAGAATCCCTCATTCAGGGGGTCACTGATGAAGTGTAAGGCCCTAGGGTTGAGCTTCAGCTCCACTGTGGGGTAGGTTTTTACCTTCTCCAAAGCTTCATTTTTTCATTTGTAAAATGCAGATAATGTGTGTCTTGCCTAACTCTAAGGGCTGTTGTAAGAGGTTTAAATGGCATAACAGATAGAAATGATTCAAGCTATTAAGTCCTTTATAAATGTGTGGAATGTTGTTTCTCCGTATAAATCTTAGCTTTTCTATTATCTCAACAAAGGTGATTTTCTTGTTAAGAAGGTTTAGTAGCCAGGCATTGGACAACTCCAGAAGACCAGCTAGAAACATCTTTTTTCAATAGTAGAATAACCTTGGTAATAGTTTCAAGCCCATTTAATATACTTCCTGGACTTGAATTGTTACCTGGATCACCCCACTGTCATTCCAGCAAAAAGATCCATGATACGTTCTTCTCACCATTAGGTTCTCTTAGATATGGGAATTCTTTTTTTCTTTTCTCTCTCTCTCTTTTTTGAGATGGAGTCTCACTCTGTCGCCAGGCTGGAGTTTAGTGGTGTGATCTTGGCTCACTGCAACCTCTGCCTCCCAGGTTCAAGTGATTCTCCTGCCTCAGCCTCCCAAGTAGCTGGGATTACAGGCTTGTGCCACCACACCCAGCTAATTTTTGTATATTTAGTAGAGACTGGGTTTCACCTTGTTGGCCAGGATGGTCTCAGTCTCCTGACCTTGTGATCTGCCCACCTCGGCCTCCCAAAGTGCTGGGATTACAGGCATGAGCCATGGCGCCCTGCCAGATATGGGAATTGTTATGACACTATGGCAGTATGCATCATAATTCTTACAAACCAGATACATTATCTCTGAGGGCTTTCTGTGGTTTCCTTAACATATAAACAGAAAGTCAGAACTTGTTGTATTTTGGTATACTAGAATTTGAAAGAGTTTGATTTCTACAGTTTTCTGACCACAGTAAATCCAGTGTTGACATCTTGATGCCTTTGTGGGAGGTTCCTTTGGAGCAAGATGTAACTCAGTGTCTGCACAAGATCTGCCAAGTAGCCCTGCCACAGCAGTGCCAGGCTCAGCTTACTAGTTACCCTCAGTCAGCGGGCACAGTCATAGAAACCCACGAGTCACAAGTTTATTGAGCTCCTTCTATGCATAACACACCATGCTGGCTTGGGGACAGTGAAAAAGTAATGTGGCCCCTGCTCTGAAGAAGCATGGAGTCTGTGTGGAGAGAAACCAGTATCTGTGAAATAGCTATAGAGTCTGGGCTCTTAGACTGTTAGATCTGTCTGGAAGGAACCTTAGAGATCATCTTTCCAGCCCACCTCCCTCAATGTACAGCAGAGAAAGTGATGCCTATAACTAAATGCTTATTTCTATGGTGTAGTCCAGGGCTTATCAAATTTAGCTGCTTCCCAGAATCAGCTGGGGATCCAGAGTGCCTGGGGTAGGGACCCAGGTATTTATTTTGGAGTTCATAAGTCCTATAGTTTGCTTATTGGATTTGGGAATGGTAACAGGCTGAGAGTGGTTTTGGAATCTAGGATTTTGGGAGCTCAGTGAAAGACCAAGAAAGAGCCTCAGGGAGGAAATGATGTTGCATAAAGGGGGGAGGTAAGATTGAGGGAGACTGGAGCCTTTGGGGACAGGGGTGCAGTTAGGTGAGCATATGGAATTGGGAACTGGTGTGGCCGAGGTGATGAGGAAGATGTTTTACGTCACGTGACTCTCTTGGACAGCAAGGGGCTGTAGGAGATTTTGTACATTTGCTTTGAAAAAGAGCTGTGAGTATATTTCTGCTAAAGACATTTTGATAGTCAATTTGACTTTTTTTTTTTTAGTTTTAAGAAAGTATGTAATTGCATCACAATTAATTCTTCAATTCCAAATTGATTATATTCGACAAAGCGTGATATTTTTCTTTAGTTTATCATCAAATCATAGTTAGTCTGTTCACTGCCATCTCAAAATAGTTGAGACAGAAACTGATAATTTCATATACTCAGTTTCCGAATTTCTTGGTAATAAAGTAATTTATATGCAATATGCTAATATATTTGGATAAAGAGGTGTACTATGGACAACCAATGAAAACACTTAACATCTATAAGCTATTCTTTTTGAAAATAATTTTATTCTCAAAGTGAATTCTCTTTATGGAACTTTTGATATTATAAAGATACACGAAATTGGACAATCTATATAAATCCTTCATAATAAATTTTATTTCTCCAATGTGTATAATAAGACATCAAACAGAATTCCCCTTTTATGGAAAAACTATTTTATACCTATGCATATTTTATGGTTGTGTTCATTTTCTTTTTCTAAGAAATTTAACTCTATGATTTAACTTATTTTTAAACGATGCATAATACGTGCACATTTTTATAGGGTACGTATAATATAATATTTTGTTACATGCATACGACGTGTAATGATCAAGTCTGGTTGTGTTCATTTCACTGTCGAACTGTCAAACACAAGCAGTGCTTTTTGGTACTGTTACATTTTTCCTCGTTGTGTGGGTTGGTTGAAGGCAGGAACCGTAATGATTAAGAACACAGACTGTGAACCAGATAGTCTGAGTTCTGATCCCCTGCTCTGCCACCAGCTAGCTGTGGATAGCTCTATTTTGTCTATTGTGAATAGTGGAAAAGAAAGAATAATACCTACCTCAAAGGATTAATGTGAGGATTAAATGAGCTAATATGCGTAAAGTGTTTAGTACAGTTAAGTGCACAATGTGTTTAGCTATGATTACTTTTTAAGTTGTTATTAATTGTACCTGGCATATGACCTGACACATAGCATGTGGTCGCTGAGTGTTTATTGACTAAATGAGGGACTGTACCGATTACTGTAAAGTTTTGTTAAATAGAATACTTTTTTTTCTAAGCTATTTCCATCCTGTATATGCCCAAAGGCATCAACAATTTGTAGTAGAATAGTTTAATCAATGAGAGAGAATATTTGGTCAGAAAGATTGGTGTGGTCACGTGGAATAGCTAATGGCACTGTGGGCAAGGGAGCGTTTTTGATGAAGTCATAGAACTTTGTGGCTTTCACTGGGAATCTCGAGCCTGAGCCAGAACCCATACCGTCTGATTCCAGGCTGAGACAAGGGCAGCACTTTGTTCAGTGGCTGGTCCCTGGAGCTGGCTCACTCCGTACTCCCTTCTCTCCCTCTCTGCCTCTCCTTCCACCACCCCCTCCATTCTTCCTCCCTTAGCCTTGTAAAGCTGAGGATCCTTAACCTGGAGGTCAGGGAATCCCTCTCATCGTCTCTGCATTTCTGTTCCTTTCTTTCATTTTTGTCTTTCCTGAGAAGAGAGCCTACAGCTTTCTTCAGACTCCCAAAGGCAGCCGTGACCCCGCTTCCGTGAGGGTGGAAGTGGCTCTGGCAGCAGCCGTTTTCCATTATGAGCAGACGCTGAGGTGGAGCTCAGAGAACTGTAAGAACTCTATTCCTTTGTGAGTGTTTCTAGCAGCAGAGGAAACGGTGGGCACGAAGAGGGTAGCTTGGCAAAGCCGTTGTGCCAAGCAGAAGTGCGGTGATTGTGAAGACACTGTGGAGTCCCTTCTTGACTGCCTGGACCAGCAGGGGCTTGCGGTGACCTGGCCAGGTCATAAGCACAATGCAGGCCATGGTTTGGAAGGTACTCCAGGAAAACCTCAGTGCCTGTAGGGCGTTCTCTTGTCTGTCATTTCCTCATGGCACAGTGGAGTCAGGTAGCTTAGATTTGCCTGAACTGCAAACCGGCTGATTGACATAGACTTTCTCGTAGCAAGGCACAACTGCTAAATGAAAAATACCATTGTTCTTAGCTTAAAATAAAATTAAGGGGGCAATGTTGTATGTAAATACTTAGGAATTCAAATGCATTATTTTAAGAGCCGTTTTATTTCATTTTATTTTATTTTATCCTTTTTTTGAGACGGAGTTTTGCTCTTGTTGCCCAGGCTGGAGTGCAGTGGCACAATCTGGCACGATCTTGGCTCACCACAACCTCCGCCTCCCGGGTTCAAGTGATTCTCCTGCCTTAGCCTCCTGAGTAGCTGGAATTACAGGGATGCATCACCATGCCCAGCTAATTTTGTATTTTTAGTAGAGATGGGGTTTTTCCATGTTGGTCAGGCTGGTCTTGAACTCCCAACCACAGGTGATCTGCCTGCCTTGGCCTCCCAAAGTTCTAGGAATACAGGCATGAGCCACCAAGCCCAGCCAAGAGCCATTTTATAAGAATGCATATCACACTATGTCCCAAGGGCTTTTCAAGTATTAATTGGAATTTGAGTTGTCTAGGTCACTACTCCATGACAAAATCATGACTAAATAGCTTCACATATCCCTTTTATAGCTGTAGTGTAAGTCCTTGATTTTTTCCCCTCCATTATGCAATATTCAAATTTATCACACAACAGCTTTAACGTAACTGTTGGCAGTGCACTTTTTGTTGCTGAGGCAGGATGAAGGACTTTTTAATATAGTCTGGCTAGACACCAAGAGTACAGAAGTGATCCATTTTCCCCTGGCAGCTAGGTGGAAGACAGTCCATGTTGGGACATTTACTTAAGCATGGCCAGACAGGAGGGCTTTATCAGGATAACATTCTTTTGCCAAGTATGTGTGATAAAGCCAGAGTTAGACTTTGGGAATTTGGACCTTGTCTATATTTAGCATCCAGAAACCACTATGGGGCTGTCATTGGTTAGGTGTTTCCAGTCCCAGTTCTTGCTGCAGTTAGATAGTTTGTTCTGAAGTTTGTCCATTCATTCATTCGTTTGTTCGTATTTCAACATATCTCACTTTTTCCTGACATTGTTTACTTATAGGACGTTTTTAGAACTATCTGAATTATTTTTGATGAGAAAATCTCATAATGAGAATTAAAATTAAGAAAAACTAGAAATGCTTATGTAATTTGGCAGATCCTCTTAAAAAGCTTTTCAAGAAACCAGATATTAAAAAAAATCCCTAAATCAAGGGAAGAACTATCAATACAAATTTTTCTTTAAAGGAATTTAAAAAACACACAAGAGCTTTCTGTGAGATTACATCTCAGTTTTATCCCTAAGAGACATAATTCCTCTACAGAGGCTGCCTACTGAGAACTGTTGATCAACCAGAGGCCAAATGTGAGTTTACTTCTGACCATGCCACTCACTTGAATCTGATTTTTTTATTTTCATGTCTATAAAGTGAGGATGGGGACACTATCCTGTCTAACGCATGGGGTTGTGTGAGAATTAAGTGAATTTTCACAGCTAACCTATGACAGTACCTTATACTCAACCCTCAATAAATCAGAAGAGTTTTCCCCCAATGGTTCTGTGTGTCAGAAAGTGTGACAGGTGAATCAGAGTTAATTATAGAGGCCCTGTGATCCTAATCCACAGTCTCCCTATTCTTTTGTCTGTGAATATAGAACATGGGTGGGTCAGAGGCCAAATGGTTCCTAAGCCAGATGATGAGGGGGTGCAGGTCAGGGGACGTTCAGGAAGGCCAGATGCAGGGTGGAGGCTCAACAGAAGGTCTTCTGTTGGAGGAAGTGCCTGGGTGAGCAGGTGGTCACTGACATGGTGGCGATTTTCTCGCTTGCCCAGCTCTGCTTGGGTTGGCTGCCCAGAGGCATCCTCTTCTGTCTCCAGATCTGAGTGAAGGAGAGAGAGGTGCTTTTAGAAAGAATTGACTTGTAGTTTGGAAACTCCTTCCTGGTTAGAGAAAATGGGCCTCTGTATCAAGACTTTTTCTTTTTTAAAATATTTGTATAAATGTATGGAGTACAAGTGTAATTTTGTAACTTGCTTAGATTGCATAGTGGTGAAGTCAGGGATTTTAGGGTTTCCGTCACCTGAGTGACAGACATTGTACCCAGTGAGTAATTCCTAACCCTTGTCGTCCTACTTCCTGAGGACAGTGACCTGATTCCACTTGTGGACTGTGGGCTTGGCTTACCTTGTGGATGGCTCCAGCCCCCAGCAGAAAACTTAGAAGCATCAGATCTTAGTGTTGCTGTGGCTTTCTGCCTGTGGTTCAGGCTGCATTGCTGGTTTCCGAACCTTGCTTTTCCTTGACCTCTGTGTGTATCCCAGATCTCTACTGTGATCTGACTTTGTAGCCTCTTCCTTGATCCTGATTGCCAGCTACTGGGTACAACTTAGTCTGCTCCCAGCCCAATAAAGACCCCACCTCTGGTTCCAACCTTTTCCTGGCTGTCATCCTAGGTTTCCACCTTCTTGAGAGCCATCTTTTTTAGAGAAGTGCAGAGTTCACTATCCAGGTCCTTTGGCAGCATCCTGGCCGGGGGTGGGGGCAACATACAGATCATTTCCCTCAAGTAAAACATTGAGGCACACTGGTTAGTGCTTGGTTCATGCCTGTGTTTTTTCTTTTTCTGGAGTCTTGCCTTAATATATATATATATATTTTTTTTTTTTTTGCTAATACACAGACTGTCCTTCACGGCTGCGCCTATGCGTCACTGAAATTCAGTGTACAGATTATGCCACGCGGTAATTTTGGAAATTCAAACTGAAATGGAGCCGGCTATTCCGTATCTTGATCGGAATGGATGCATATAAGAATCAAAGTAACAGGGCAATAATACAAGTTAATTGATTTCCTACATGTCAGTAAACAACAATTGAAATCTGATTTGAAATGAAAGAAAAATCATTTACAATAGCACCCCCAAAATTGAGTCCTTGTATAAACCTAACAAAATATGTACAAATGTGCATTCAGAAAACTTTGAAACACAGTTGGAAAAAAAATTAGACAAAAGCTAAATAAATAATTCCTCCAAACTTGATCTATAGACCCAGTGCAATTCCAATCAAAATCCCAGCAAAGACACCAATAAAATGTTTCTAAACCTAAAATAGACAATATAAGACTGAGGAGGAACAAAGATGAAGAATTCACACATCCAGATTCCAAGACTTATAAATCTCTGAAGAGAGTGTAACATTGGGGAAGAAATGGTCACACAGACAAATGGAACAATACAGAGAGCCCCTAAATAGACCAACATAAATATAGCCAACTGATTCTGTCAAAGAGCAAAGCTGCTCAGTGGAGAAAAGAGTCTTTTCCATAAATGGTGATGAAACAGCCAGATTACCTTGTGGGATAAAACGAATGTACAAACAAACTTTACAACGTACACAAAAATACATACAAAATTATTCATAGACTTATAATTTAAAGTAGAAAACTGTAAAAATTCTAGGATAGAACATAGAAGAAAATCTACCTGACCTTGCATTTGGTGATGAGGTTTTATACACAGCACCAAAAGCCAATCCAGGAAAGGAAAACATGATAATGTAGACCTTATTAAAACTGAAAATGTCTACTCCATAAAAGACCCCATTAGGAGAATGAAAAGGCAAGGCACATACTGGGAGAAAATATTTGGAAAACATCTACTAAAAAAGGACTGTTATTCAAAGTATACCAAGAAAGTAAAACTCAACCAGAAGGAAACAAACCATCCAAGTAAAAATGGGTGATGATCTGAACAGACACCTCACCAAGAATATATAAAGATGGCAAATAAGCATTACCAAAAGCAGCTCAATAGCATATGTCATCAGGGGATTGCAAGTTACAACAACAGTGAGGTAGCTGTGTGGCTGTGAGGGTGTTTCTGGAAGAGATGAGCACTGAATGGGTAGACTGAGGATGGGCCATGCTCACCAGTGTGAGTGAGTGCCATCCGATGCACTGGGGGCCCAAATAGAACAATGCAGTCTCTCTCTCCTTGAGTTGCAGCTTTCGTCTTCTGTCCTTCCTGGTTCTCAAGCCTTTGGACTCTGAGACTGCACCAGTGGCTCCCCACTTGACTATCAGGTCTTCAGGCTTGTGTGTTATACCACTGGTGTTCCTGGTTCTCCAGCTTGCAGGCAGTATACTGTGGGACTTCTTGGCCTCTATAATCATGGGAGTCAATTCCCATAATAAATCTCTCTCTTTTTTTTTTTTTTTCTGAGACAGGGTCTGGCTCTGTTGCCCAGGCTGTTGTGCAGCAGCGCCATCTCGGCTCATTGTAGCCTTGACTTCCTGGGCTTAAGCAATCTTCCCACCTCACCTCCCCGAGGGGCTAGGACCACAAGTGTGCACCACCACGCTGGCTAATTTTTTGTAGAGACGCTGTTTCACCATGTTGTCCAGGCTGGTCTCGAACTCCTGAGCGATCCACCCATCTCTGCCTCTCAAAGCGTTGGGATTACAGGCGTGGGCCACTGCACTGGGCACAAATATCTCTCTCTATATAGAGATATGTGTGTATATATATGTAAATATATATAAGTATATAAATATAAAATTCCTATTGGTTCTCTTAGAACAACTCAAATATAAAAAAATGACAATAGCAATTGCTATGGAGGATTAGGAACAACAGGAGCTTATCACTGCGGGTGGAAGGCATAATGGTACAGCCACTGGCAGTGCCAATGGTAGTTTTGTCTCAAAGCTAAACATAGTTTCACCATATGGTCTAAGAAAGCAGCTGTGCTCCTGGGTCATCAACTGCTTTGAAAACTTATGTCCAAACAAAAAAACATGCAGTTATGTACAGCACCCTCTATTCAGATATTTAAGTTTCCAGACACTTTAAATCAGGATGTCCTTCAATAGGTGAATAAAAAACAAGCTGAAGCACATTCACACAATGGAATACTACTCATCGATGAAAAGGAATGAGCTGTCAAGTCGCTCAAAGGCAGGAGTGAGCCTTCAATGTATATGACCAAGTGAGAGTGGTGGAGAGAAGAGGCTGCACTATTCTATTTAGATGCCCTTCTGGAAAGGTGAAGGTAGAGACACAAGGAGATCTGGGCTTGCTAGTGGTTTGTGAGGAGGCTGTTGAATAGGGGAATGGGGAATGGCAGGAGGTCCCTGGGGCCAGGGGGCCATGGGCTTCCTCTGGCTGTCAGCCATGGGGAGCATTTGCGGAGAAGCTTAGCTGGCTTACCAGCGTGAGCGCGGCTACTTTTCCCTAGGAAGGGATCCCATCGCAAGTGGATCTCTTTGGGGGCATTCTGGGGAGGATATTTTACCCACACTTTGTGATTTCTCAGGACCACGTGGAGACCCATCCTTGGGCGCAGGCCCAGCTCTTCGTTTTAGCCAGGTGAAGACGCACAGATGGGAACAACTTCATTCTCTGGGACTCAGTTTTTCCTCTGCAGTGAAATCAAGCTCCAGTATTTCATTCTCTGTTTTAAATTCAATTCCTTTTATCTTGTCCTTCCATTCAATGGGTCTTAAGAAATGTTTTCTAGAACCTCAAGGGGTGGACGGGACACTTTCTTTAGGGAAAGGTTTTGTCACGTACATGGCATGTTCCTTGGTCCCTGCAGAGGCTCAGGCCTCAGGGCAGCTGCCTCGCTAGGCTTCAGGACCTCGCAGGTGTCCAGGGGGCCACAGGGGTCTGCATGCGAGGGCAGGGGCAGCAGGTGGGTGCATCACAATGGGGCGTTGGTGACAGTGATGTCCTGCGGGTCCCCCACCTGCCACCTCCGTTCAGGGAGGTTTCCTTGGGCCCACCCCAGCCGGAGAGACCTTGCCCGAAGTCACCCTCTTCCATGCTATGTGCCCTGTAGCTGCAGTTTACTGGTGAGCTTGGTAGGGCACAGAGAGGATGGCACTACCAGCTGGAGGGGGACAGGCCCCAACCATGAGCCCAGGATGCAGAGAGCGGCAGGGATCACCGGAGCCCCCCCGGCTCTGGTGTCTTGGCTCTTCCTGCACACGGTCTCCACATGACGCCCAGCAAGCCGGATCTCAATTTGTTCACCCATCCTTTATTTTCTGTATTTATGACTAGTATTTCTCCAGTTTGTCTTTTGTTGGCCTTAGTGACAGTGAGTTTTCCTGTTGAGTTTCTATTCTGTTGGATCTTTATTTTAGCAGCGGATAGGCAAATTTTGGGTGATGTTTATTAATGCAAAATGGAAGGTGATGATATGTCACACACATCCTTCTGCTTCCTGCAGCAGTTTCGCTGTGTGCTGTGTCAAAACAAAAACAACAACATCAAAAAGGAAACAAAAAACCAGTAAAGAGTGATGGGGAGGACACTTCTTGGAATAATTCCCTTGGATGCCCGTTGCGGGTTAAGTCAGAGATGAACTGACTTGGGAAAGGAGCTGAGGAAGAAATCCAAGAATTCAAGAAAGGAGGTGCTGGAACTCAGGCTGTATTTCCGCAGGTGCATGGAATCTCGCCTGTTTCACTCTGGTAAATTACTCATACTAGCTCCTACTACCATGAGGAAACACAGTCTTCAGAAGTTGACAATTAGCAAATTAGAGAATTGCAAAGCCTGTTTTACCCTGAGAACCTGAACCCTTTCTTATTCCTGAAGGGCTTTCCATCAAGGAGTCTGTGTGGTGGGCAAGAGACTGGATCAATTGAAAATAACAGAAATTGTCACAGTGTTCTTCTAGCAACTGTCACTCACCATAACTATCCCACCCGAGGCTTAACCAGAACCCTCCCTTCCAAGAGCTGAAGTCGCCCTGAGAAAGAATGAACCCGATACCTGTCCACCCCCACAGGGGCCATCAGGTTGCCATGGAGCTGGGCTGTCTGAGTCTTGGTCCAGCCTGTTCCTGGCCCTCATCTGGGGCCCTAATGTATGTCTTAAACGCTACCTCTCTCACCATCTAAATATGAAGAGGAAGAAAAGAGAAGCTGATTCCTGGGGCTAAGGCATTTTAGTGTGGAAGCCAAGTAAAGGCCTCAGAGTCACTCTTGTCTTCTGTCTTTGCTGTTTCACTCCAGTCTCAAAAGCAATCCTGGTCTTAGGTCTTAGAATCACAGACTGCCGAATGACAGCACCTGCCCTCAGTTCATTTTGCCGCACTTCTTACTTTGACGGTGCCATTTGTGGGATTCCTGTTTGCCCATCTTCCTTTCGTGCCGAGGAGGCAAGTGCATCCCTTCACCAGGCCACCACTGCAGGTGTGTGTGTCAGACTGAGGAACAGCAGGGAGAGGAGAACAGCATATGGTAGGCAGCCCAGGGGAAGCATGCTGGGCCCTTAACCCAGAAGGAGGGTCTCAGTGTGTCCAGTTGCTCATTTCCTTGAAAGAAAACCCAGATGTCCTCTGAGGTGAACCTAGTGATAGTTTTCCCTTGTAGTTTTAAATGTGCTCATTCAAATTAGAATGCTTAGCCATCCGTCCCATATTCCGGCATTTTTCCTTTAATCTATGTTTGCAGGGTTGTGAGTTGTGCTGAATAGTATGAAATGTGTTATTAGTGGACGCACCACTGTTGACCTCAGAGCATGTGACTAGACAGTGCAGGAGGAGATGTTGTCATGTTACTTTGGATATAAAACGTCCCTAGGTGACCTTGTGGGCCTGATCCACGGTGAAAGGTGGGGAGAGGGTACTGGAGCAGGGCAGAGGGACTGGATGAGCCTGCATGGGGAGGAAGGCGTGACTGAGGGAAGACAGCTCAGCCCCCCAGGGGAAACCTGAGTTCAGTGTTGGGGAATGTGAGGACACAATGGCGGGGCAGGATGGCCCTGGCACCAGCGGTGCTGGGGACCGTAGGGGGCCATGCTTTGTGAGAGGCAAACTTGGCTCCAAGGATGTGAGGCTGGGAGCATGGAGGTGAAAAGGCCGAGAGACAGAGGGGAGCTGAGGCAGGCAGGGCAGAGACGGGGGGCCCAGCAGGGCCTGGGGCAAGAAATTAAGGATGGGGCAGGGTACCTCCAGCAACTTAGTCACACTGAGGGGATGGGAGGGGTAGCAAGGGACTGGGTGGGGACAAAGTGACAAGATGGGGAGTAGGGAAGTGGGCACTAGTTTGTGTGTTAATAGGTCAGCAAGTCTTTTAGAGTCCTGGGAAGTAAAATAAAAATTAAAACAACAAAAACAAGCCGGACAGGGCAGCACATTCCTGTAGTCTCAGCCACTAGGTAGGCTGAGGTGGGAGGATCACTTGAGCCCAGGAGGTTGTGTCTGAGCCTCCCAGCTACTCGGGAGGCTGAGGCAGGAGAATCGCTTGAACTCAGGAGGCGGAGGTTGCAGTGAGTCAAGATTGTGCCATTGCACCCCAGCCTAGGCAATAAGGTGAGACTCCATCTCAAAAAAAGATAATAATAATAAGGGGAAAACTCAGAGATGGAATTACATGCACCAGGTGTAGTGTGAGCAAAGGATTAACTTCCTGATACATTCTTGTTTCCCATATATATAGCTATCAAGGTCATCTTTTAGTAATGAGTTAAGTTCTTTCTTTTCCAACTCAAAATTTGTCTGCATCTTTACCCAAATATCCAGATCTGATACTCTAGGCTTGGGCTAATATAGTGGGGTGGAGGAGGCTTGGGTTAAGGTTTAAAGTTCCAAGGGCTGAACCGGAATAAATGGTGTATTTATCAAGGGAAGAGCAAGGCAAAACCAGCAAGTCCAAACCATGGAGGCCTCAACCGAGGTGAGGGGAAAAGTTAGGGAGCCTTAGGAAAGCTCTGAGGAGGGACCCCAATTAGGGGGACCGTAGTTAGGGTATGAGGTTTGTGAGATCAGGACTGGAATTGCTGCAAGAGACCCTATGATTGGGTGGCAGCAGCATGTTGTGGAGATGAGCCTGCTTCCTCAGCCTCTTCCTCTTGTCAGAACCCTTTGCCTCTCCCTACACACGCACACACACATGCATGCACCATGCTACAGAAACCTTTCTCAGTCTTGCCATTCTCTCAAATTATGCGTTGGTCTTCCCTTCATCTTCAGATTCTTTAAAGAGTAATCAAAGTTCCCACTTCTAGCATGATGAAGTGAGGAGGTCAACAAATCTTTCCAAAATGTAACTGTATAGCTGGACAAACCATTTAGCATTCTGCAATTTTACCAAAGGCACGGCACAAATGGGGATGTGTTTAAGAATGAAAGCTGGCCAGGCGCGGTGGCTCACGCCTGTAACCCCAGCACTTTGGGAGGCTGAAGCAGAAGGACCACTTGAGCTCAGGAGTTCAAAAACAGCCTGGGCAACTTGGTGAGACCCCCGTCTGTACAAAAAAAAAATCAAAAAAGGCATGGTGGTGCACACTTGTGGTCCCAGCTACATGGGAGGCTAAGGCGGGAGAATCATTTGAGCCCAGGAGATTGAGGCTGCAGTGAGCTGTGATCACACCACTGCACTCCAACCTGGGCAACAGAGTGAGACAGACCCTGTCCCTAAAGAAAAAAAAGAAGAATTAAAGTGAGCCTTGGATAAGACCAGCCTGTGTCCGTGGCATCTTTGCCCAGGCTGCTACCCCCATTTACCCCAGCTGTTGATAACACACACAGCGGCCCCCAGCAGGGCAGCCTGTGGAGATAAGCTCCCCTGCCACCTCGCTGCAGGGGCTGGAGGCAAGAGTGAGGAAGGTTTTGATTTGCAGCATGGCTAGTTAAGGTGGTGATATCAGTGACCAGGAGGAAGAAAGGCCACTGACTCCTAGCCTGAGGCTCTGGGCCTTTGGAGACGAGCAAACGACCTGCAGATTAGTCATGGATGTAAGAGGGAGCTCCGGGAGGTCGGAGAGCCAGAGGGAGCTTAGTAAACTCTTCACACTACCCAAATGGACTGAAGGCTCATAGCTGGCAGAGATTAGAGCAAGCCCAAGCCATGTCCATATGCCCAGGGCACACAGCCTGTGTGTGTGCCGGTGCCAGTGTTAGGAAGTAAAAGCCGGAACACCCTTGCAAATGGCCCGGGGCGTGCCTCCTCCCCATTGCACATAGATCCAGCAGCAGATGGTGGAAACCATATTGGCTTTAACTGATGTTTGACTGACGAACTATGCAAACAAGAAGCGACCTCTAGGGAGTCAGTCTGAAAAATTAAAGCAAACAAATGCCAACAATAAAACTTAGCAATGACCTGAGTGAGTGCACACTGTGGAGGAGACAGGCTTCCTGCATGGAGTCCAGCCAGGAGACAGTACAGAATGCATGGAGCAGCTATTGGAAGACATTGAAAACTAAATAGTTGCAGGCAGCTTTCCCAAGAAGACCAGAACTTGAAGTACCACCAAACCGGTGGTGAGATAACCATGTTTCCCCTATGGCATCCCGTGACTAACCTGGCAGTGGGCACCAGGGTGCAGATAGAAAGAGCTCCAGAAGATGCCCTCTATTTCTGGCTCAAGTAACGGGAAAAGGGTCTCCTAACATTCCGAGGGAATCCAGAAGTTCGTTCCTCCCCATTTTTCTTTTCCCTGTTCTCTCATACCTCAGCCCACAAGCAGTCCCACAGTGGCACTGGCACCAGCCCCAAGAGGAGCCCAGGAGCCAAGACGCAGGAGGGAACCTTCTCCAACTGACAGAGCTGTGGTCCCAAGAGGGCAGAAACAATCCATGTTGCTTCTCTTCCAATTCAGTCCTCCCACTGCTTGGCTTCAGATGTAGAAATGCATGGTAGAGCCAGATACCGAAAGCCTGTTTTCTGCTTGGAAGACTAAAAAGAGAAGCCTCAGCAAATGAAAGCAACAGGGTAATTGCTGAGAGAGAGTTAATCAGTGAAGCAACCCCATTAACCTGTCTATAAACCCCAGGGCTCATTCTTGAGCTGCTCCTGCATAGATCTCGTCCTGTTCAACACACCAAAGATTGACAGCTGAACTGAGAGACCATCACCCACAGACACAACTGGCCACTGGGTGGTGCACAAGTCAGACAGAACTGAATAGTCCTGTGAAGACTCTGGACACTGAACTGACTTTGGAACCAGACTGCAGAATGGAGGGGTGGGAACTTGTGGCTTGAACCTAATCAGGTAGATTGCCTGGCCAAAATGAAAATACCTATCATCTCCATAGGATTTAATTTCATTCAATGATTTTTTTTTTTTTAGTAAATTTGCAATGTTTTACAGCCTTCCCCAAAATCTAATTCCAAAATATCTCTATCACCCCAACGAGAGACTCCATTCACGTTGGCAGTCACATGCACTCCCAGATTTCCCCTCCACCCAGCCCTTGGCAATCACTAGTCTACTTTCTGTGTCTTTGAGTTTGCCTACTCTGGATATTTCATATAAATGAAATGATATATGAGGTTTTGTGATTGGCACCTTTAATTTAGAATAATGTTTTCAAGGCTGATTCATGTTGTAGTATGCATTGGTACTTCATTATTTTTTATGCAAAAGTAATATTCTATTGTATGGCTATACCACATTTTTCTTTGAGACAGAGATCTCACTATGTCGCCCAGGCTGGAGTTTAGTGGCTCTTCACAGGCCTGATCACAGCTCCTGCATGGATCAAGGAGCATCACTGCAGCTGCAAACTGCAGCTTCAAACTCTCCGGCTCAAGCGACCCTCCTGCCTCAACCTCCCCAGTAGCTGGGCCTACAGGCACGTGTGTCTGTGCCCAATAATACCACATTTTAAAAATCCATCTTCAGTAGATGGAAATTTGGATTGTTTCCACCTTTTACTAATAAAAATAGTACTGCTATAAACATTCATGTATAGGTTTTCTTTTGTTTTTGTTTTTTCTTTTTTGTAGAGATGGGGGTCTCGCTGTGTTGCCCAGGCTGGTCTCAAATTCCTGGACTCAAGTGATCCTCCCATCAAAAACTCCCAAAGTGCTGGGATTACAGGCGTGAGCCACTATGCCTGGCCTGTATACAAGTTTTTGTGTAGACATGTTTACATCCAATTAATGAACACAGGATGTCTTTCCATTGATTTAGCTCCTCTTTAATTTCCTTCAACAGTGTTCTGTAGTTTCCAGTCTACAAGTCTTACACTTTTGGGTTAAATTTATTCATAATTATTTTATTATTTTTGATAATATTATAAATGGAATTGTTTACTTAATTTTACTTGAATTGTTCCTTGCTGGTGTATAAGTAGACATCTCATTTTTTTAGTTGACCTCGTATGGTACAATCTCTTTGAACTCATTTATTATCACTGATAGTTTAGGTCTTTTTTTTTCGAGGTTTCATTAAGGTTTTCTATAGATAAGATCATGTCAAGACACCCTCAGACCACAGGGCGGCGCCACGAGCCCGGCCGAGTGCAGCTGGAGCGCCGACGTCGCCGAGGATACACAGTGCTGAGGCAGAACGCAGGTTCGTCACAGTGGGCCTCCGTGGGCGGCGCCGCACGCTCGTCACAGTGGGCCTCCGCCGGCTACGCCGCTGCTTCAGTGGCTTGCAGGCACTTTCCTCTTGGAAGTGGCGACTGCTGCGGGGCTGAGCGGTGCTCGCACGCGTCTCGGGAGCCAGGTTGGCGGCGCGATGAGGCGCAGCAAGGCCGATGTGGAGCGGTACGTCGCCTCGGTGCTGGGTCTCACCCCGTCGCCTCGACAGGTGAGTGGGTCTCGAAGAGAGCGACGGCGGCCTCGACCCGGCCGGGGGGCGGCGGCGGCGGCGGCGGCGGCGGGGGGGGCGGCGGCGGCGGCCGCCTCGATGGCTCAGGCGTCATGTCTCCCGAGGGGCGCTGCTCCGTGGCGCGCTCTGTTGAGGCGCCGGCCGGCTGGCGCAGTCCTGTGGGCGGCGTGGCGCTTGCAAGCGCAGGAAGAGTCCTGGGGGGACCGCGGCGGGCGGGAGACCGTTGGCGCCGGCGCTTCCTCTTAATCCCGGCTTGTTCCCGACGCTTGTTCCCGACGGTGCTCGCTCCTGGGCCCGTCCTGGCCCGGGCTTTCTGGCCGATCGCGCACCCCGTAGTACCCGCGCGGCCTAGTTCTCGGGGGCTTGGGCACCCGGGTGCTGTATCGGCGGGTTTCTTCCCATCTCCTGGACATTTACTTTATATGCTGCGGCGGAGGTCGTACCTCCTTGGCCTGGAGGAACCCAGTGGGGACTGACGCAGCTCCGGGTGAGCTTTGGCGGCTGCGTCGAGTGACAAGGTAGGCATCTCAGCGCGGACATTTGCAATGGCCCGACGGCGCAAATGACACGGAAAGTCCCCTTGTTTTGAGTATGAGGTGTTTGTCGCTGTCCCTTTGTAAGGGTCCAGCTCCACTCCACTCCTCATACTCACCTCCCTCGCCCCCCTCCCCGCCCGGAACACTTTGGTAGCTGCCTTTGCTTAAAAAAAAAAAATTCTAAAGTTCTTACAAATCGTTAGTATGGCTTGCAATTTTTAACCTTTTCCACAGATGTTTTAAGGGTATTTTTCCTCTTTACATGTAAATAATGCTGAGATTACAGGTGTGAGCCACTCTGCTCAGCCTGATTTTTTTTTTTTTAAACAAGCTTAAAAAAAAAAAAAGCAAGTTTGGAGCCTTTCTGAGATTCTTAGTGGGGACCTTGGCTTCCAAAAGATTAAAAACCACTGGTCTAGACAGAAGTTAGAATGTTCTTTCAACTACATAACTTCTCCATTAAATAAAGTGGAGTGGTGGCAGAATTTTGACGATTGGTTATTATGACACCTCTCTTACATTTAGAGTCTTTTTTTTCCCCCAAATTTAAAGTCATTTACATTAGAACCTGGGGATTTCAGCGGAATATGGATTAACTAGTGAGTAACTGGAACATGTGAAGCTATTCTGTGAAGTTAGGTTTGAGTGAAATGACAAAACAGGGTGCTTTGGATAGAAGGTAAAGAATGGAGGGAGAAGAGGCAGTGGCTGTGAAGAATATGAAGAGGTTAGTATTCTCCCCCAGTTTGGCAGAGGCTGGCCATCTGTGAACTGCCCATGCTTTCTAGAATGTCGGAGTTTTGGAGTGTGATGATGCGTCTGTATATCATATCTTTCTAGTCTTCCATTGCGCTTTCATTTGTTAGTCTCCTCTTGTTTTGCCATTTTTCTACTCCCTCACATGTGCTTTTGCCCTTCTTAAAAATATTCTTCGTCTGTAATCCGAGCATTTTGGGAGGCCGAGAGACCAGCCTGACCAATATGGTGAAAATCCGTCTCTATTAAAAATACAAAAATGAGCCGGGCGTGGTGGCAGCGCCTGTAGTCCCACCTACTCGGTAGGCTGAGACAGGAGAATTGCTTGAACCCTGGAGGCAGAGGTTGTGGTGAGCAGAGATTGCGCCACTGCACTCCAGCCTGTGTGACAGAGCGAGACTCTGTCTCCAAAAAAGAAAAAAAGAAAAAAAATATAATTCTTTCTCTAGTTTTTCTTTTTCCAGATGGCTTCTGTTTAGTTTTTCTATGTTCTGTCAAGTCGGTTTCTTATTCTGCAGCTGATTCCTACTTCTCAAAGTCTACTTGACAGCTCTTATTTTTATTTGTATTTTTTTTAGAATAGGGTCTTGCTGTGTTGCCCATCAAATTTTTGGGCATAAATGATCCTCCTACCTCTGTCTGCTGAGTACTTAGGACTACAGGCAGGCACCTTTGACAGCTGTTAGTTGTTTTTTCTGCCCTTTACATCTATACTTCATACTTCTGAGTAACACACATATATACTTTTGTTATTTTTAATTCCCTTTCTCCCATTTTAGACATTTTCTTTTCTTTTCTTTTCTTTTTTTTTTTGAGACGGAGTCTCGCTCTATCGTCCAGGCTGGAGTGCAGTGTCGCGATCTCGGCTCACTGCAAACTCTGCCTCCGGGGTTCACGCCATTCTCCTGCCCCAGCCTGTAGCTGGGACTACAGGCACCCGCCACAACACTCGGCTAATTTTTTAGCATTTTTAGTAGAGACGGGGTTTCACCGTGTTAGCCAGGATAGTCTCGATCTCCTGACCTCATGATCCGCCCGCCTCAGCCTCCCAAAGTGCTGGGATTACAGGCGTGAGCCACCGCGCCCGGCCCCATTTTAGACATTCTGTACTGGCTATTATGCTCCTCCAAAACTGTCCTCAGACACTTTGGTTTGCCCCTCATTCTTTCAGTACTGTTACTGCAGTTTTTGTTTAAATGAATAGTTAACATTTATATAAATAGAAGGTAAATATTTTTGCATTTGAATTGCCCTTGTTGTGCAGTTTTTTGTTGTTTTTTTTTTATTATACTTTAAGTTTTAGGGTACATGTGCACATTGTGCAGGTTAGTTACATATGTATACATGTGCCATGCTGGTGTGCTGCACCCACGTTTTCCTGGACTGAATAATTGCTTTATTTTTTGGTTTGCTTGTATGTTGTGTTACTACTTGCTTACTTAAACTCAGCAATTTAAACCCTCAAATGTGGTCAAACTGGTCAGATAATCCCATCAATTTCAGCTTAAAACACTGATTGATTGATTGATTGTCTGTCTACCTGGAATACCCTTACTAACCAACTTCTCCAACCCGGATTGGTTTTTCTTCCTCTTTGCTACACAGCTGTGCTCTTGGGACTTCCCTTTATCACCAGTTTGAGAATTCCCTTCATCTTTTTTCTGAGTTAGACCCTTTGTTTCTTGTATCTCATGTCCTCTTCATTTACTTTCTTTGTTTTGGTGTAGCATAGTCTCACTTGCTTTGAGGAAAAGTGGATGAGAGGTTTTTTTGTTTGTTTTTGTTATGGGACAGAGTCTTGCTCTGTTGCCCAGGCTGGAGTGCAGTGGCATGGTCTCAGCTCACCGCAACCTCCGCCTCCCAGGTTCAAGTGATTCTCCTGCCTCAGCCTCCCGAGTAGCGGGATTACAGGTGTGCGCCAGCATGCCCGGCTAATTTTTTCTATTTTTAGTAGAGATGGGATTTCACCATACTGGTCAGGCTGGTCTAGAAACTAATGGTATGTCTTTAAAACATCTTTACTTAATTTAGTTGATCATTTGGTTATCGAATTCTGAGTTTCAAATAATTTTTTTCGCAATTTTGAAAGCATTGCTTCATTTTCTAGAAGTTCTGTTGTTAGGAGTCCCATGAGATTCTTGTTCTTGGTAACTTAAAGGTTTTCTGGAAGTGTCCTTTCAATTGGGAAACTCATTTCTTTCAGTTCTGTAGCATTTCTTGTATTATTTCTTTAACCATTTCTTACCCTTTTTTTTAATGATGTTTACCTGAAAGCTGGAGTTTCTCTAATTTTTCTCTTATTCTCCTCTTTTGTTTGTTCTGCCTTTTGAGAGATTTCCTTACCCTTATGTTCCAGGGGAAGAAGATTGGGGAACTCATGGTTCAGTATCTAGACTTTTCCTCATTGTCCTGTATAATCACGGCCTTCACCCTTGTTGGGACTCCACAGATTTGGAGCTGATCAGATGGGTTTGTTGAGAACAGCAGCTTTTTTGGAGGATTTTAGGGGGAGGGAGATTCATTTGATTGTGCAAGATGGGCGACAGGGTGAGACTCCGTTTGAATTAAAAAAAAAAGAGAGAGAAATTTAGAACTGCATAATGAAAAAGTAGGCCACAAATATTAAGTTTTGGACAATTACAATTACATCTCTATCTTACTGTGCAAGATAGCGATGATGTGGCATCTCTTAGGGTCTTACTGTTCCTGTTTTCAGCCCTGCATCAGTTCTTGATATTTGACAGCTTAAGTGAATTCAGGTATTTGCTTATAGTGACATCTGCTGTCATGTAAAGAAGTACTGCTTGCATCAGATATTGTCCTGTTTACATAACATGGGCTGTGCTCCTTTCTAGCTGTATATCTTTAAACAAGGCATTTGCCTGCTTGAGCTTCAGTTCCCTTGTAAAGTGAGCAGGTTAGAGGCAAAAGATCATATAGAAGAATAATTTGTAAAGTTGTTTAATTATCTTAAGATTGTCTACTTTAATAACATAGTTGGAAGCAAAGAAGGTAATGGAATTATTTTTCTATTATGTTTTAACATAGTTGGAAGCAAAGAAGGTAATGGAATTATTTTTCTATTATGTTTTGGCATTGTACCTTGAATCTATTTCTTCATTTTGAAAAGGGGGAACTGGCGGGCTCGGTGGCTGATGCCTGTAATCCCAGCACTTTGGGAGGCGGAAGAAGTCAGATCACAAGGTCGAGAGATCGACACCATCTTGGCCAACATGGTGAAACCCCATCTCTACTGAAAATACAAAAATTAGCTGGGCATGGTGGCATGCGCCTGTAGTCCCAGCTTGTACCCGGGACGCAGAGGTTGCAGTGAGCTGAGATCGAGCCACCGCACTCCAGCCTGGCGACAGAGCAAGACTCCATCTCAAAAAAAAAAAAAAAAAAGGAAGGGGGGAACAGGCCTTGTTCCTTTATGTGCTGTCCTGACTGTTGTGTATTATTTTTGTTAAGATTGCTATAGTTCTTTTTTTTTTTTGAGACGGAGTCTTGCTCTGTCGCCAGTGCTGGGATTGCAGGTGTTAGCCTGGCATTGAGCAAGGTTTTGTAATTTAAGCATACAAGTCTCTCACCTCCTTGTTTACATTTATTCCCAGGCATTTTTTTCTTTTAGATGCGATTGTAAATGGAATTGCTTTCTTAATTTCATTTTCTGATTGTTCGTTGCTGGTACAGTAGTCCCTTCTTATCCACAGTATTGCCTTACGTGGTTTTACTTACCTGCGTCACCCGTGGTCCAAAAATATTGAATGGAAGATTATATAAATAAACATTTCATGAGTTTTAAATTGCAAACAGGTCTGAATAACATGATAAAAATCTCACGGCCTCCTGCTCCGTCCTACCCAGGACACGAATCATCCCTTTGTCCAACATATTCATGCTGTATGTGCTCCCCACCCGCTAGTTACATACTAGCCATCTCAGTTATCAGATCAGTTGTTGGAGTATTGCAGTGCTTGTGTTCAAGTAACCTTTATTTTATTTAAAATGGCACCAAAGAGCAAGAATAGTGATGCTGGCAGTTCACATATGCCAGAGAGAAGCCATATAGTGCTTCCTTTAAGTGAAGAGGTGAGTTTTTGACTTAGGAAAGAAAAAAGATCATATACTGGGGTTGCTGAGATCTATGGTAAGAACAAATCTTTTGTCCATGAAATTGTGAAGAAGGAAAAAGAAATTTGTGCTAGTTTTGTTGTGACACCCCAAACTGCAAAAGTTACAGCCACAGTGTGTGATAAGTGCTTAGTTGAGATGGACAAGACATTAAATTTGTGGGTGGAGGACACAAACAGGAAGCATGTTTCGATTGATGGCAACCTGGTTTGGTACTATTCATCGTTTTTGGACATTCACTGGGGTCTTGGAATTTCAAAAATAAGATGTTTGAGTAGCTGTATACTCTATCACATGGATGGAACATACTCTGGTTGTATCAGCATTTTTTTTTTTTTTTGAGATGGAATCATTCTGTTGCCCAGGTTGGAGTGCAGTGGTGCGATCTTGGCCCACTGCAGCCTCTGCCTCCCGGGTTCAAGCGATTCTTTGCCTCAGCCTCCCAAGCAGCGGGGATTACAGGCGTGTGCCACCATGCCCAGCTAATTTTTGTATTTTTAGTAGAAAGGAGGTTTCTGTATGTTGGCCAGGCTGGTCTCGAACTCTTGGCTTCAAGTGATCCACCCGCCTCAGTCTCCGAAAGTGCTGGGATTACAGATGTGAGCCACCGCACCCAGCCTGGTGTGCATCAGCATTTTGGACTTTGGAGTTTATGTAACCAAGGATCCAGGCTGTGGACCTCGTTTATTACTTGAAGAATTCAATATTTATTTCTGCCTTTTTGACTCCTTGACTGTAAAATACTGATCTGATCTGTAGAGAGAACAGTACATGGACCCGGGAATCCTCAGTGCCTTAATAGATCCTAAGTACTTACTTATTCTTTCCCATAGAGGCTTACACATGGTAGGAGAAGAGATTTCTGGAATACCTTTCCTCCCCAAAGAAAGCTGGTTTCTTTTGTTTGTTAAGTGAGAGAGTGGTACCACAGGGTTTCCAAGATTTCCAAGGCTGATGAAAATTCTTAACTTCTGTTGTCTGCTTGTCTTGCTTTCTTGAATTTATTTTTTGTATGTTATGTATTTATTATTTAGAGAGAGGATCTCCCTGTGTCACCCAGGCTGGAGTGCAGTGTTACAGTCATAACTCACGGCAGTGTCAACCTCCTGGGCTCAAGTGATTCTCCTTCCTTGGCCTCCTGAGTAGCTAGGAACACAGGCATGCTCCACTATGCCTGGCTATTTTTTTCCCCCTGGAGACAGGATCTTGTTGTGTTGCACAGGCTGGTTTCAAACTCTTGGCCTCAAAGCTAGCCTCCCACCTTGGTCTCTGAAAGTGCTAGAATTAAATAGAATTAAAGGTGTGACCAACTGCACCCAGCTTATTTATGATGATGATGATGATGATGATGATGATGATGATGATGATGTTTGGGAGATGGAGTCTCTGTCGCCCAGGCTGGAGTGCAATGGCACGATCTCAGCTGACTGCAACCTCTGGCTCACTGCAACCTCCACCTCCTGGGTTCAACTGATTTTTGTGCCTTAGCCTCCTGAGTAGCTGGGATTACAGGCACCCGCCATCATGCCTGGCTAATTTTTCTATTTTTGTAGAGACGGGGTTTCACCATGTTAGCCAGGCTGGTCTCAAACTCCTGACCTCAGGTGATCCGCCCACTTCGGCCTCCCAAAGTGCTGGGATTACAGGCATGAGCTGCTGCACCCAGCTCTATTTTTTGTTTTGTGGTAGGAAATTATAAAACATGGAATTATGCATTTGTCAGGCTTTAACTACTTTTGAAAAAATGTTGGAAAATATTTCTGTATGAAACGTAAAACAACTTTTAATTTTTTTTTAGAAGTCAATGAAAGGATTCTATTTTGCAAAGCTGTATTATGAAGCTAAAGAATATGATCTTGCTAAAAAGTAAGTACAAACCGTAACATGTATTCTTTTTTTTAAAATCAATGCCTTTTCTCATTTTCTTCTTTGAAATAGGTAAAAATATGTCCTTAGTAGTTCTTCCTAAGTGTATTCTGGAATAAGGGATTTATCACTCAGACTGATGCTAAGGACCAGCCTAGATTCCATTGAGATTGAAACTGTAATTAGTGTTTTCTGCATGCTGCTGCTTTATACCAAGGGCAAGAAATTGTTTGGCTTAAAACACTTTTTCTAAAAATTGTCTTCTGTTGGAGTAAAAGAGGACCATGCCTATATCTTAATTTGTTTTTGGTTAGATATCTGATACCTTAATCAGATGGAAAATAGCAATGAATAAAAAATTAAACTGTAATTGTAAGGCAGGAGAATAGCTTGTATAAAAGATCTTTAACTGACACAATATGTGATGCTCTAAGGCTCTATCCTAGGGATGAGAAGCTTGGTGATTCTGATTTCCTGGCTGGGAGTGGATTAAAGCAGGAAATTAAGAGGGAGGCAGGCTTTTTTTTTTTTTTTAGGCAGTATCTGTCTCTCTTGCTCCGGCTGGAGTGCAGCAGCTGGCTCCATCTTTGCTCACTGTAACCTCTGCCTTCTGGGCTCAAGCGATCTTCCCACCTCAGCGCCCCAAGTAGCTGGGGATACAGATGCGCACCACCACGTGGACCTGGCTAAGGTTTGCATTTTTTGGTAGAGACAGGTGTCACTATGTTGCCCAGGCTAGTCTTGAACTTCTGAGCACAGCAGTCTGCCTGCCTCGGCCTCCCATAGTGTTGGGACTACAGGTGTGTGTTACTGCTCCCAGCTGGGAGGCAGGCTTTTAAAGGCATCCAAAGGAAGATGGAAATGCTGGTAAGAAAGGAAAATGGTGGTACATAAATTATGTAACTAGCAGCACTGTGACTGTTAACTCTTGTACCTTTTTACTGTGAGACTTTAATCCCTTAGTTTAGGTCTGGCCTAATTTCTCTGATCGTAATACTGTCAAGGAACCTAGAGGATATTTACTTATTTTAGTTGTTACTTGATTTGAGAAATGGAAATTTCCTGTATTTGGTACTGTAATTAGTAATTTTTCTTCTGTTCGATTTTAGCTGGATATAGTACTGTTAGAAATTACTTTCTTGCTTAAAGGGTAAATGTATTTCCCTTTGTTGTTTGGGAAATTGTTGCTGTTTAGTATTTTGCATTATGATAACTTTAAAAATGTTTATTATAATCACTTCTAATTTATTGGCAAAACTGTTAGTGCTTTATTAAAATGTGATCAGGAAGAAAAAGCAATCTATATGTTCATTTCTTATGTGTGGTTAACACTGGAGAAAAATTTGGTAAATGTGACATTTAATGGTAAAATGAGTATGTGGTCAACTCTATGTACGTGTTTTTAAGTATTACCCATTTCTTTCTATGAATACTTTTGAGTTATCTGCATAAATAGTGGTAGTTTTGAGTAACAATATAAACGAGTTTAGTGGTTGCTTTGGTTTAAGATGTATTCTTCGGTTAGCATTTAAAAGTACAGTTCTAAGTTTAATTTACTTTTGTATTACTTTTAAAAAACAGATACATATGTACTTACATTAATGTGCAAGAGAGGGATCCCAAAGCTCACAGATTTCTGGGTCTTCTTTATGAATTGGAAGAAAACACAGAGAAAGCCGTTGAATGTTACAGGGTAAGTTATAAGATTCAAATATAGCCTTTGCGTAGCCAAACACATGATGCCCAGAGAAATTTATATAAGTAAGTCAAATATATTTTATGAATATCATAAAACAGGCATTGGTATCATAGTACAATTATGTGATACAGCTTGGAACAGATTTAGAATTGTTTAACACCTATAAATTGTAAGTCTAACACGGTCAGAAATGGTGTTCTTTTGTGTTTTTTGCATTCAAATGACACAAATATAATTTTTATTTGATTCATTTCTAGAAAATTCCAAGACACTTTTATTTTAACACCTTTAAAGTAACATGTTTTCTCTAGAAGTAGAATTTTTTAAGGGTTGGAGTGATAATTTTTAACCTTTATGTATAAGTATATATACTCCTACATACATACATACAATTTATTTACTAATCTTTAATTTCTTTTCTGATATTAGCGTTCAGTGGAATTAAACCCAACACAAAAAGATCTTGTGTTGAAGATTGCAGAATTGCTTTGTAAAAATGATGTTACTGATGGAAGAGCAAAATACTGGGTCGAAAGAGCAGCAAAACTTTTCCCAGGAAGTCCTGCAATTTATAAACTAAAGGTAAACAAACAAAACATAAAGGGAGAAAACTTAAGACATAACCATTTCTAATATTTGGAGTTTAAATTACTTTTCAATAGCAAACCTTAAGCTCAGGTGTTTGTGTTTCCTTTAACATTTTTCTTTTAAAAAGTGTATTAAAACCTTTCTGAGCATCTACTGTCTTATTAGGCATTGTTATACTTTATAAGTGACATCTCATTTACCCTTCTGGAATAATTAATATTTTAGGGATTTTACAGTTTAGTAGCTGTAAACTAAGTAGAGCTAAGATTTACATTAAGTTCTGTCTGATATACAATTTTTGCTTCATTAAGTGAAAATTACCTACAGGATGACAATTTAGGGATATTTTAAAGAAGAGTTTTCTGATAACTATTGTCTGAAAGTAGAAGGGATTGTATTTTGAGATAGTAAGGTTTTCAAGCAAAAGATAAAAGGTGGTTTCTGTAGTATATAAGACGTAATTACTAAAAATGGTAGGAAGTTCTTGCTAGTGTGTTGACTGGTCCTGATATTCTTTATAGAGTAAAATATAGTTTACTAAGTAACTGTTCTGGAGAAATCTACACAAATATGTTTGGCAAACATTTAAAATGTATATTGTAATGTTTTATATATTAATGTATACTTTATTGTGTGTGTACAATATAAAATTATAAATGTATATTTGCCTTTAGCTTCCTCCTACCCCCATCATATATGTTTCTGATAGAAATTTAAAAAATTTTAATTTTGAAATAATTATAGATTTTTTTGCACAGGAAGTTGCAAAGTTTGCACAGAAAGATCCTATATGCTACTTCATTTTTCCCCAATGCTTATACAGGTTGAGCATTTAAAATCCGAAATCCTAAATGCTCCAAAATCTGAAATTTTTTGAGCACTGACATGATGCTCAAAGAAATGCTCATTGGAAAATTTTGGATTTCAGATTTTCAGATTTGGGATGCTCTATCTGCTAAGTATCCTGCAAATATTCTAAAGTCTGAAAAAGTTCAAAATCTGAAATACTTCTGGTCTCAAGCATTTTGGATAAGGGATACTCAACCTGTTTAACCTGACCAAAGCACAGTATCAAAATCAGGAATTTTGACATTGGTACAATGTGTATGTATAGTTTTCTTTCATTTTATCACGTGTAGATTCATACCACCACTGCCGTCAAGATACAGAACTACTCTGTTACCACAGAGATCTTCCTCATGCTGCCCCTTTTGTAGTCATGCTATTTACTTCTCTTCACTATGCCTGACCTCTGGCAACCATTAATCTGTTCTCCATCTTTATACTTTGGTGATTTCAAAATGTTATGTAAATGTCATCATGAAATGTGTGACTTTTTTTTTCTTTTTTCATTGTTTTTGAGACGGAGTCTCGCTCTGTTGCCCAGGTTGGAGTTCACTGGCGCAATCTCGGCTCACTGCCACCTCCGCCTCCCAGGTTCAAGCGATTCTCCTGCCTCGGCCTTCCGGGTAGCTGGGACTACAGGCACATGTTACCATGTCCCGCTTATTTTTGTATTTTTAGTAGAAACTGGCTGGTCTCGAACTCCTGACCTCCTGTGATCTGCCCACCCCAGCCTCCCAAAGTGCTAGGATTACAGGCGTGAGCCACCGCGGCCAGCCAAGCATGTGACCTTTTGAGGTTGGCTTGTTCAGTCAGCATAATACCATTTGTGATCCATATTAAGTTTTGTATATCCATAGTTGGTTCCTTTACTTCTGAGTAGTATTTCATGGTCCACAATTTAACCATTCACTTTTTTTTTTTTTTTTTTTTTTTTGAGACAGAGTCTTGCTCTGTTGCCCATGCTGGAGTGCAGTGGTGCTACCTCGGCTCACTGCAACTTCTGCCTCCCGGGTTCTCAGGTGATCCACCCACTTTGGCCTCCCAAAGTGCTGGGATTACAGGTGTGAGCCACTGTGCCCAGCCTTAACCATTCACTTTTGAGGGGCATTTTGGTTATTTCTAGGTTTTGGCTATTGTTCAACTGCTATGAACAATCATGTACAGATTTTTGAAGCTGAAAAAGCATTGAAGATGCTTCCAAAGATAAATATTACTGATAAGTTTTTCTCCCCAGTAATAAGCAGCTGGATTTTAAATGTTAGTCTAAAGCGTGAGGTCTAATTGTGCAGATTTCTTTACTCTCTTAGGTGTTATGCCTCAAACATAACTCCCATATTGGGCGTGGCAATCCAGTTAATCTGGTGTCAGTAGTGTTAAAGAACATATGTAATGGCAGGAGATTCTTTTCTTGCAGTGTAACAAGTTAGATACTTTGAAGCACTCTTTAAAGATTTTCTTTAATAACTTGAAGGCACTGTTACACCTTTCCTGTATCAGATTTTTTTTTTTTTGGAATTGAAATCCATGAGATTTATAACTGTCATGCAAAGTAATTCCATTTCTCCTAAAATTTAAGGCTTGCTAAGGTAAACAGTTTCTGACATTTGTTTAATGAATGAGAGTATTACTGTTGAGAAGGCTTTTTCTCTCAAGTATGAGATAGAACTTTTTAAAAGCACTCATAGTGGTTTTTAAAAAAATGTTTAACATAGAGTCAAAGACTAGGGCTTTTGCAATAGGGAGAGGCCAGGGTTTCATCCATCTCATCCAGAAGAGGAGAAATTGATAAAGGAGAGAGGGGAATGAAATACAGAGTACTAATGGGCGGCTTGGTCTTGAGAGTTGGGGAAAGACGAGTTTAAGTAGGTAAGGTAAAATGGAATTTATATGTGATAGCATCAGGTTTCTCAGTGAAGGATGAATCTAGGTTATAAGTTGAAAGTGAGGGTCAAAGGAAGGTATGGGGAAGTTGAGGAAATAGGAGGAGGTGTGAAGTGTCAGGGAGTGGAGAAAGTGAGTCTGTTAGTACTAAAATGGTATTTTGTTTTAGGCAGCACCAGTTTGATGGTTGAGATAATGCAAATGAAATCAGTTAGCTTGGGGTTATGATTTCCCAAATCTAAGCACACAGAAACCAGTTGGGAGGGTTCTTCTGAGGAAAAGAGGGAATTAGTTGAAGGGATCTGTAAGCAAACAGTAATTATGGATATAAGGGATTATAGCATTTTTTGCCTGACAGAAGAAAGTGTGTGTATTTATATGTGTTTACAGGTGTTTAAAACTTGATGATGTTATTGTCTTGAAGGGAACTTGTCATATGGTGGAGAAGTATATTTCTGAAAGTAAGGGTATGTAGGCCCTCAGTGAGGTGGAAGAATAAGAAGGGTGGTATGGTGGTTTCGGTGGTATGACCAAAATGCAGATTTTGAAGACCTGTGTCAGTGGCAAGTGGATGGTTGAGGTTGGAGTAGAGGATAACATCACTGGAGATGAGGTGATTAAGGAACTGAGTAGTCAGCCTGGGCAACACGGCAAGACCCCATCTCTACAGAACGTTAAAAAAAAATTAGCCGGGCATGGTGGTGCATGCCTATGGTCCTAGCTTCTTGAGAGGCTGATGGAAGAGCATCGCAAATGAGAAGCGAGTGGCCACAAACCCTACTTCCTCTCCTCGTATGTAAGTTCAGAGAGAAAAAGCCATCATGGTAGTGGGGGTTATCCTGAGATGATACTGTCTTCATTTAAGGTCAGGAGGTGATGACAGTGCTTTGAGATGATGATAAAGGTAACAGAACAGTGGGAGGAGAGGGGATGCAGGATTGAATCAGATTTAAGGAGATACAGAGCAGTTTGAACATAAGGACCTTGTTGCTGAGGATTGACTGGGGAGGTCTAGGCTTCTGGTGGTGACTCAGATGGACAGGAATGTGTGGCATTAGTCCTGGTAGTCTCTGAAGAGAGTATGAGCTACTGCAGTAATCACAGATGCTTTTCTTCACATACAGTTCTTGAGGCTTAGTTTCTGGGTTGTAAGCAACTCTCAGAAGGGACGAATAAGGTATTTAGGATGGTGTTTTTGGTGGCATCATCATAAAACTAGACATAGTGGAATGGTGCTTTTTGGGAGCATGACTTGTTTAAAGTTGCACAAGTGTTACTCTAATAATTTTTCTTTTTCCTCTCTAAATAGGAACAGCTTCTAGATTGTGAAGGTGAAGATGGATGGAATAAACTTTTTGACTTGATTCAGTCAGAACTTTATGTAAGACCTGATGACGTCCATGTGAACATCCGGCTAGTGGAGTTGTATCGCTCAACTAAAAGATTGAAGGATGCTGTGGCCCACTGCCATGAGGCAGAGAGGAACATAGCTTTGCGTTCAAGTTTAGAGTGGAATTCGTGTGTTGTACAGACCCTTAAGGTAGATAAAAGCTATTGAGTCTTTACATTTCTATGTAGGCAATTAGCATACATCTTTTTGTACTAAAGCAGCAGTGCCCCGCAGGACTTAAATTTCTTTTATTTATGTAGAACAGTTATAAAATGAAATTTTTACCAGGATCAGTTAAATTTATAATGGGAAGATTGGGGAGATAACTATGATAAATGTATATATTTTTGGTGTTTTCATTTATAAGGTTGATGTAAAAATCAATGTAGTTTCACAAATGTGGTTGGAGTGAGAAAAGGAATTTGTAGGCATAAAATGGTTAATTACTTAACACTTGATTAAGTTTTGTAACTTACTATTCATTCCACAAAATAGGAATATCTGGAGTCTTTACAGTGTTTGGAGTCTGATAAAAGTGACTGGCAAGCAACCAATACAGACTTACTGCTGGCCTATGCTAATCTTATGCTTCTTACGCTTTCCACTAGAGATGTGCAGGAAAATAGAGAATTACTGGAAAGGTGCGTAGACTTTGAGGAGAATGCTTTAGTACAAATTGCAGTTTTTCTTTTTGCAGTAAGTTCATTGCTCTAAATTTCTTCACTGAATCATTATTTCTATAATGTACCTAGGAGTTATAGTTAATACAGTGAACCACTAGGAGGCAATCTTATTTTTCTTCTTTTACAGGGAAGTTCTAATTGGTTTTATATGACTTTCCTTTTTAGAGAACTCTTATAGTTCAAGCTTGATTAAAATTAGCCTTATGGTTACTCAGTTTTGTCATAGTCAAGCTTAAAATGAATGTTCTAACTGCTATTTCATATTTTATTTTTTTATAATAGTATAATCTTTAGTGAAAATTAAAGTTCATCTGTCATCAGATGGCTAGGTTCACATGTACTAGTATAAGCACTTAGCATCACTGGTATTTCAGAAAATACTGTTTTAGCTAAGAAACAAAATAACTCAACTATGTGATTTACCTTTTTTCCTAAATTTTGATTTTGAAAACCAGTGTCTCCATTTTGAAAATAAATTCCATTGAACAAAAACATCACTTGGATTTGTATAAAGATGTTAGTTTAGAGCAGGGGTTGATTAGAACTTGTGGGCCAAATATGGCCCCTGCCTAATTTTGTTAATATTTATTGGAATGCAGCTTGCCTCTGTTTATGTATTGTCTGTGGCTGCTTACATACTACAGGGTTGGAGTTGAGTGGTTGCAGCAGAGATTGTATGCCTGTAAAGCCAGATTAGTAATCTCCTCCTTTTGTAGAAAAAGTTTACTGATTGCTAATTTAGGCTGTCCATTTGTTTGGAAGTTAATTTATTTCCCCATCTGGTATAAGGAAAGAAGTTCATTTCACTGAGTGCAGGGAGTAGGTAATTTTCTTGAAAAAGTACATAGTGTCCTAAATTGGTAGGGTAAGAGCAGTACCTAAAAGAACTAACATAACTTTATTTTAGAAAACATGTAGGATGTTTTATTTTGTGTTCTTTGTATACTCAAATTTTTTGGTCACAAGTTCCTTTTACATTTTTCTTAAGGACATCAAAGATCTTTGTATGTGGGTTCCTTTTTTTCTTTCTTTCTTTTTTTTTTTTTTTTTTTTTTTGAGATGGAGTCTTGCTCTGTCACCAGGCTGGAGTGCAGTGGCACGACCTTGGCTCACTGTAACCTCCGCCTCCCGGGTTCAGGCGATTCTCCTGCCTCAGCCTCCCAAGTAGCTGGGACCACGGGCACACACCACTACGCCCAGCTAATTTTTGTATTTTTAGTAGAGACGGGGTTCAGGATGGTCTCAATCTCTCTTTTTTTTTTTTGAGACTGAGTCTTGCTCTCGCCAGGTTGGCATGCAGTGGTGCAGTCTCGGCTCACTGCAACCTCTGCCTCCTGGGTTCAAGTGATTCTCTTGTCTCTGCCTCCTGAATAGGTGGGACTACATGTGCCCGACACCACACCTGGCTAATTTTTTTTTTTTTTTTTTGAGACAGAGTCTTGCTCTGTCACCCAGCCTGGAGTACAGTGGCACAATCTCGGCTCACTGCAAGCTTCACAATTTCCTCTCAATGCTCTGAATAAGAGCTTATCCTCCTGCCTCAGGTTGTTCCCCACCAGGAAGCCCCAGGAGGGCCCTGAGGACAGCCCTTGGCCCTCAGAGGGGGAGGCTCAGGAGGGGAAATGACCATGGGGATGGAGTCACTCAGGGGAGAATCTGGACCATGATGGGGTGACTTGGGGGCCTGAGGGGAGGACCCTGAGGAAGATAAAAAGCTGGTGCCACCCTAGGCAGTTTCACAGTGTGGCTTAGGGCTGTGGGTGACAGATGGTTTGTCAGATCAGTTAATCAGGCCTCATGGGCCCTTTGTTACCCGCCTTGTGAACCTCCCAGGTTCACGCCATTCTTCTGCCTCAGCCTCCTGAGTAGCTGGGACTACCTACAGGCGCCCACCACCACGCTCGGCTAATTTTTTTTGTATTTTTAGTAGAGACGGAGTGTCACCGTGTTAGCCAGGATGGTCTCGATCTCCTGACCTCGTGATCTGCCCTCCTCGGCCTCCCGAAGTGTTGGGATTACAGGCGTGAGCCACCGCGCCCAGCCCACACCTGGCTAGTTTTTGTATTTTTAGTAGAAACAGGGTTTCATCATGTTGGCCAGGATGGTCTCGATCTTTTTTTTTTTTTGAGATGGAGTCTCGCTCTGTTGCCCAGGCTGGAGTGCAGTGGCGCCATCTCGGCTCACTGCAAGCTCTGTCTCCAGGGTTCATGCCATTCTCCTGCCTCAGCCTCCCGAGTAGCTGGGCCTACAGGTGCCCGCCACCACACCCAGCTAATTTTTTGTATTTTTAGTAGAGATGGGGTTTCACCGTGTTAGCCAGGATGGTCTTGATATCCTGACCTTGTGATCCGCCTGCCTCAGCCTCCCAAAGTGCTGGGATTACAGGCATGAGCCACCACGCCCGGCTGGTCTCGGTCTCTTGACCTCTTGATCCGTCTACCTTGGCCTCCCAAAGTACTGGAAGGTCTCAATCTCTTGACCTCGTGATCCGCCTGCCTTGGCCTTCCAAAGTGCTGGGATTGCAGGTCTGAGCCACTGCATCCGGCCGTATGTGGGTTATTTCTGTCAGTGTTTATTACATTAGAAATTAAAACAAAAAATGTAATCCATTAAAAATGTAATAAGCCCTATTGTGTGTTAATAATAATAGCTTTTTTTTTTTTTTTTTTGAGACGGAGTTTTGCTCTTGTTGCCCAGGCTAGAGTGCAACAGTGTGATCTCGGATCACTGCAACCTCTGCTTCCCAGGTTCAAGCGATTCTCCTGCCTCAGCCTCCCAAGTAGCTGGAATTACAGGTGCCCACCACCACGCCTGGCTAATTTTTTGTATTTTTAGTAGAGATGGGGTTTCACCATGTTGGCTAGGCTGGTCTTGAACTCCTGACCTCAGGTGATCCACCCGCCTCGGCCTCCCAAAGTGCTGGAATTACATGTGTGAGCCACCGCGCAGGGCCAATAATAGCATTTTTTATGAAAAATAACTATTTCCCAACAGCAAAAAAGTAGTCAGAAAAGTGTCATTGTTTTTGCATTTTTGTAAATCTTTTTAATGTCTCGCTTAATAGAACATAGCTAGATTCTCATTTACTTCCTCTTTCAGTCTGTAAAACTATTACATGTCATGAAGCCTCTAGAAAACTCAGCTCAGCGGGGCGCGGTGGCTCAGGCCTGTAATCCCAGCACTTTGGGAGGCCGAGGCGGGTGGATCACGAAGTCAGGAGATCGAGACCATCCCAGCTAACAATGGTGAAACCTTGTCTCTACTAAAAATACAAAAAATTAGCCGGGCATGTTGGTACACGCCTATAGTCCCAGCTGCTCGGGAGGCTGAGGCAGAAGAATCGCTTGAACCTGGGAGTCAGAGGTTGCAGTAAGCCAAGATTGTGCCACTGCACTCCAGCCTTGTGACAGAGTGAGATTCTGTCTCCAAAAACAAAAACAAAAAAAGTCAGCTCTACATACATGAGAAAATGAGTATGTAATATATAAATTTTTTTTGGTATTATTGTAAAAGTAATTTTAACTTCATGGATCCCCTGAAGGGGTTTTTGAGCACCCTCAGAGATCTTTAGACCTCACTTGCTCTGGTTGCTTTATTGTAAGCCACTTTAAAATCATGCTTCACGTTTAAGTGTTTGCTTTTTGCTTTTACTTTTCTTCCAAAGTGAGGATTTGGAGAAACATTAGGATTTAGAAGAACTAATTTAGAATATAGATTACAAATAGTAGGCCAGACATAGTGGCTCATGCCTGTAATCCCAGCACATTGGTAAACTGAGGCGGGCGGATCGTGAGGTCAGGAGTTCGAGACCAGCCTGGCCAACATAGTGAAACCCTGTCTCTACTAAAAATATAAAAAAAGTTTAGCGGGGCATGGTGGCAGGTGCCTGTAATCCCAGCTACTCAGGAGGCTGAGTCGGGAGAATCACTTGAACCTGGGAGGTGGAGGTTGCAGTGAGCTTAGATCGTGCCATTGCACTCCAGCCCAGGCGATAGTGAGAGACTCCGTCTCAAAAAAAAAAAAAAAAGACAATTTATTTAACGCTGTAATGATCTATATAGTAAAAAGAGCAATTGCTGTATTGATACTCAAATACCTGTCAGTTATTTACTTATAATTTGGAAATGGTATGTCTAATTTGAGAAATTACAACTGTTAATTAAATAATGAAATTATATGATCAGGAAGAAACTACAAAATAGTCTCCCAACTTTATCCTGGTTTATTTTGAAATGTGCACCTATAATCACTAATCTTATATTTATTCTGTGATTGGAGGGCTGGAAATAACTGGGAATAAGACATCATTTGAGAGGTTAAGCATGAAGTATAGGAAGTATGCAGGATAAAAATAAGCATTAGATGATTCATAATTTATAACATGGGGAATAAGAATTATTAGAAGTTGAATGTGGAAGATGAAGCTTGAAATAAAATTTTTATTTTGTTTTGAATTAAATCAACCATGATTATTCACAGTGCAGTAAGTGTGTATCATCTGTTTGATATTTTCATATTACAGTTTTGATAGTGCTCTTCAGTCTGCGAAATCTTCTTTGGGTGGAAATGATGAACTGTCAGCTACTTTCTTAGAAATGAAAGGACATTTCTATATGTATGCTGGTTCTCTGCTCTTGAAGATGGGTCAGCATGGTAATAATGTTCAATGGCGAGCTCTTTCTGAGCTGGCTGCATTGTGCTATCTCATAGCATTTCAGGTAAGTCTTCCACTTGTAGGAGCAATTGACATTTCACGGAGTCTTGATGTGTTTTAAATGAAGGTGTGCTCTGGTATGTAATGACAATATGTGAACAAACCTGTGGAATTAAAGTTAAAATGAAATAGTCAATTTGATACAGTGGAAAATAACTAAGCATACACAATACTGGTGAGGCTGGTGAAACAGGGATGTTGAATGCACTCTTGTCGAAAGCCTGCATTGCCATGATTTGTTTGTAGACAAATTTGAAGAGTTTGATCTTTTTACTCTGCCATTTTTGGGAACATGATAAAGATGTAATCTCGTATTATGGGTAAAGCTTGATTCAAAAAGATGTGTTACTTGGACAAAATCCTAATAAGTAGACGTAGGGCAATGGCTTTATAGCCTATGATAGAAGAATATGATTGCAATTTAACATGTTAATTGAAACACATGTATATAACATTTATGACTGTATTGTGTATATGTAACAGTATATCTATTAATCTTTGAAAACATAAAACCTTTTCTTATTTTTTATTTTTTTATTTTTTTTGAGACCAAGTCTCTCTCTGTCGCCAGGCTGGAGTGCAGTGGCGTGATCTCGGCTCACTGCAGCCTCCACCTCCTGGGTTCGAGTGATTCTCCTGCCTCAGCCTCCCGAGTAGCTGGGACTACAGGCCCATGCTACCAAGCCCAGCTAATTTTTTGTATTTTTAATAGAGATGGGGTTTCACCATGTTGGCCAGGATGGTCGCAATCTCTTGACCTCTTGATCTACCTGCCTTGGTCTCCCAAAGTGCTGGGATTACAGGCGCGAGGCACTGCGCCTGGCGCGCCTGGCTTTTTTTTTTTTTTTTTTTTTTTTTTGAGACGCAGTCTCGCTCTGTCGCCCAGGCTGGAGTGCAGTGGCACGATCTCGGCTCACTGCAAGCTCCACCTCCCGAGTTCACGCCATTTTCCTGCCTCAGCCTCCTGAGTAGCTGGGACTACAGGCACCCGCCACCATGCCTGGCTAATTTTTTTTTGTACTTTTAGTAGAGACGGGGTTTCACCGTGGTAGCCAGGATGGTCTCAATCTCCTGACCTAGTCATCCACCTGCCTCGGCCTCCCAAAGTGCTGGGATTTACAGACATGAGCCACCATGCCTGGCCTTTTTTTTTTTTTTTTTTTTTAATGAGCTTGCATAACTTTCGAAAGGAAAAGAAATAAGCAGTCTTCCAAAAAAACATTAAACCAGGCTTAGAAAGATGATTAATTTTAGAGAAGGATTTTTTGCTTGGGGAGGGAGAAAAAAGATTCATTACTTTTAGAGAAGGCCCCTCCTTCTAATATAAATCTTTTTTTCTTTTTGAGACGGAGTTTTGCTCTTGTTGCCCAGGCTGGAGTGCAATGGCGCCATCTGGCTCACTGCAACCTCCGCCTCCCGGGTTCAAGCGATTGTCCTGCTTCAGCCTCCCGAGTAGCTGGGATTACAGGCACATGCCACCACGCCCATCTAATTTTGTATTTTTAGTAGAGACGAAGTTTCTCTATGTTGGTCAGGCTGGTCTTGAGCTCCTGAACTCAGGTGATCTGCGCGTCTCGGCCTCTCAAAGTGCTGGGATTACAGGCAGTGAGCCAGCATGCCCTGCCTAATATAAATCTTTTTATTTTTATTTGAGACGGAGTCTCGCTCTGTCACAAGGCTGGAGTGCAGTGGCGCAATCTCAGCTCACTGCAACCTGTGTCTCCTGGGTTCAAGTGATTCTCTTGCTTCAGCCTGTCACGTATCTGGGATTACAGGCACACACCACCATGCCTGGCTAATTTTTTGTATTTTTTAATAGAGATGGGGTTTCACCATGTTAGCCAGGATGGTCTCGATCTTCTGACCTCGTGATCCACCCGACTCGGCCTCTCAAAGTGCTGGGATTACAGGCATGAGCCATTGAGCCCGGCCTGTAAATCTTTTAAAAACACCGTTGATAGACAGTTCACATGTTAAGTGCTAATATTTGCTCAGTAGAAACTTCTGTGTTCATAAGGAATGGATTAGTGAAAATTAATGGATTTAGTGAGGTTCACTAGGTAATACAAACATTAAAAGGTTCTTATAGAAATTCTCAAGTAACTGATAGTTCTTATTTTTATTTATTTTATTTTTTTTTGAGATGGAGTCTCACTCTGTCGCCCAGGCTGGAGCACAGTGGCACGACCTCGGCTCACTGCAAGCTCCGCCTCCTGGGTTCACGCCATTCTCCTGCCTCAGCCTCCCGAGTAGCTGGGACTACAGGCACCCACCACCACGCCTGGCTAATTTTTTTGTATTTTCAGTAGAGATGGGGTTTCACCGTGTTAGCCAGGATGGTCTCGATCTCCTGACCTCATGATCCGCCCACCTTGGCCTCCCAAAGTGCTGGCATTACAGGTGTGAGCCACCGCACCCTGCCAATAGTTCTTATTTTTAATGGAAACTTTAAAATTTATCTGTCTGTGTGTCTATTAGAGTCTTGCTGTGTCACCCAGGCTGGAGTGCAGTTGCGTAATCGTAGCTCACCGTAACATTGAACTGGGCTCGAGCTTCCCAGAGTGCTGGGATTATAGGTGTGAGCTACTGCGCACAGCCTACAATTTTTTGATATGTAGTTTTGGGAGGCAGAGTCTCACTCTTGCTCTGGCTGGAGTGCAGTGGCATGATCATAACTCACTGCATCCTCGAACTCCTGGGCTCAAGTGATCCTCTCCTGCTTCAGCCTCAGCTCAGTAGCTGGGACTACAGGTGCCTGCCACCATGCCTGGCTACATTGTTAAATTTTTTGTAAAGACAAGGTCTTGCTATGTTTGCCAGGCTGGTTGGTCTTGAACTCCTGGCTTCAAGTGATCCTTCTGCCTTGCCCTCCCAAAGTGCTGAGATTACAGGTATGAGCCACCACACCTGACTGTGAACTTTTAATCATAATAAGTTAGTTTCCCTCTTAATCCATTCACTCAGGTCTCCTTTCCTAGATGACAGCTACTGTTAGGAGTTTCTTGGGTGTTCAGAAATATTTTTTGCATATGCAAATGTGCAATACATTCTTTCTCTGCTTTTAAAAAATATTGTGCCTCAGTGTGGGTGTGCTTTACCTATTGCCAGATGCCTTGCTTTTCTAAATGTTTCTTCATTGTTCCACTTCAGCACAGAGATACCTACCTCAGTCTTTATTAACTACCACATATTTCTGTAGAATGAATATATAATAGAAACATCTTAGATGCTTGTATTTTATTTGATCAGTTTATTTTAAAGCTTAATGAACAAATGATTATAAGCATAAAATGTAGGTTATGTGCTGGCATTTGGGTATTTAAGAATTGGCTAACTTTTATGGCAAGATTTTCAGACTCTTAATCAGAGGAATACTGTGGTTCTAGTAAGTGCATCTGCATTGCAGCTAGGTAGTTAACAAAGTATCTTGAAACCTTTTAGTTAAGATGAGGAAATAGCCAGGCGTGGTGGCTCACACCTATAATCTTAGCACTTTGGGAGGCTGAGGCGGGCGGATCGCTTAAGGTCAGGAGTTTGAGACCATCCTGACCAACATGGTCAAACCCCATCTCTAGTAACAATACAAAAATTAGCCACGCATGGTGGCGGGTGCCTGTAGTCCCAGCTACTTGAGAGGCCGAGACAGGAGAATTGCTTGAAACCAGGAGGCGGAGGTTGCAGTGAGCCGAGATCGTGCCACTGCAGCACTCCAGCCTGGCGACAGAGCGAGACTCCATCTCAAAAAAAAAAAAAAAGGAAATAGTGAATTGAGATGATTTGATTGAGTGGATTCACAACTAATTAACTGGTCACAGATTCAACTGTTGAATAATTTTGTAAAAGAGGCCGGGTTTATGAATTGAGGTCAGTTTGAAAACAAAAAGAATGATGTCAACATTTTGTTTCTTACTTTGTGTGCTCTTTTCAACATATAGATGACAAACTTTGACATGATGTTTAGAAAACTTGTGAGTAAAAGGATAGGCGATACGAATATTTCTAAAATTCAAAATCAGAAGCTTTTAGGTTCATAAATCATATATTTTGAAAAATGAGCATGTTTGGAAAGAATTATATATACATGGTTTAAAATTCTGGCGGCTCTTAAGAATATGCTATGAAGACTCCTTTCTGTTCCCTAGTTATTTACTTTCTCCACCCCCAAAGAAACTAATGTTATTGCTTTCTTGTGTGTTCTTCAGGAAATGTTTTATGCATCTCCAAGTAAACACACATATATCCCCTGTCTTTAAAAGAAGGAGGAAAACATTTGAACATTGCATTTACTTTATTTCCATTAACTGTATCTTGGAGATGTTTCCATGTCAGTATATATAAAGGGCATTCTCATTAGTTTGGATGCTTGCATATTATTCCATTGTATGGATGTACTGTAGTTTTGGAGTTTTTAAAACCAGGGTCCTAAAACCAGGACATTAGCTTGCTTTTACTTTTGTTTTAAATGCTACTTCAAGTAATTTAGCAATGATTAACTTGTGCCATGAATTCCTGAAAGAATTGCAGTATCAAAGTATATCTGTGCATTTATAATTTTTAGAGCTGTTGCCAAATATCTAACCCTAAAGAGGTTGTATCAAATTACATTTCCACCACCAATTAAGAAAGTGGTGATAGAATTAAAAGCCGATGCTCTAGTCACCCATATAGTTACTTTTGGCATGTTTCTAGTAAGCGGGCATTGCCTATGACTGGACGTTTTCAGTGATGGACATTCATTACTTTTCAAGATAGCCCAGTGCATCTTTAGGTGGTTTGGCTCTTGGTACTTCCTTATATAGAATAAAAATATTCTTCAAGCCTTCTACCTGTTGGTCTTGTTTCTTCTTTTGATGATTTCTTTTATAAAATAATTTTAATATTTGAAGGCAGCTGTCACGTCTTCCCTTCGCCATTCTATTCATCATGCTTTTTTTTTCTTCCATAGGTTATTGCATGAGGATCTCTTTAATTTCCTGGTTGTCCCATTTATTCTAGTGCTATCCCCTATTATCCATACTCTGAAAATGTGTTATCTACAATGTGGCATTTCCAAGTGTCATTTCACCTGTGCTTTTTAAAGTAGGGTGTCATATCTACTCAAATAGGACAACATCTGCTGTTGTCCTATTTATGCAGGGTAGAAAAGTAATGTAATTAAATTTTCCATTTCTCTGAATGTAACATGAATGTGCTTTTAGTAGAAACTAATTTCTCAGAGCTGCTCTGTGTATGCTTTTTTTTTTTTTTTCTTTTTTTGGAGATAGGGTCTCACACTGTCGCCCAAGCTGGAGCACAGTGGCATGATCATGGCTCACTGCAGCCTTGACCTCCTGGATTTAAGTGATCCTCCTGCCTCAGCCTCCTGAGTAGCTGGGACCACAGGTGTGTGCCACCACGCCTGGCTAATTAAAAAAAAACTTTTTTTAGAGATAGGGTCTCACCGTGTTGTTCAGGCTGGTCTTGAACTCTGGGCTCAAGTGATCCCCCCACCTCGGCCTCCCAAAGTGCTGGGATTACAGGTGTGAACCAACATGTCTGGCCCCTCTTTTTTTTTTTTTTTTTTGCGATGGAGTCTCGCTCTTTCACCCAGGCTGGAGTGCAATGGCGCAGTCTCGGCGCACTACAACCTCTGCCTCCCAGGTTCAAGCTATCCTTGTGCCTCAGCCTCCCGTGTAGCTGGAATTAATAGGTGTGTGCCACCACGCCTGGCTCTTTGTTTTTTTTTTTATTATTTTTAGTAGAGACTGGGTTTCACCATGTTGGCCAGGCTGGTCTCGAACTCCTGACCTCAAGTGATCAGCCCACCTTGGCCTCCCAGAGTGTTGGGATTACAGGTGTGAGCCACCACGCCTGTACCTGGCCTATCTTTCATAGGTTATATAAATTCCTTGGTTCCCAGTTTTTGCAGTCTTTTCCAATTCAGTTTAATTAATGGTTAACTGTTTATTCATTATCAAAAAAAGTACAGTGTAATAGATAAGACCATGTTACTATTAGAAGTATGGGTATCATCAAATTAAGATTTTTGATTCTAAAATTATTAGGTTCCAAGACCAAAGATTAAATTAAGAGAAGGTAAAGCTGGACAAAATCTGCTGGAAATGATGGCCTGTGACCGACTGAGCCAATCAGGTAATAGTAATATTAAACTAATTTAATTTAAAAAGAAAAAGGAATTTCTGTTAAGGCATATCTTATGATAAAATCTTCATCTGTCCAGGAGATAATTTGTCAAAATTATTTCTTTTTGCCGTATCAGTTAAGAGCAATAGGTATGGAAGAGATGCGAAGAAATAGCACATTCTTTTAAAAAAATGAATATTTGATATTGTTTGTTCCTATGTGGAGAGGATTTCTTAACTCTTTCTTCATCTGGCTGCTAGAGCCTCTATCCTGAATATTTAGTCACTTCCTGAACTAAGTATAATTATTGATTTGCCAACCATTTAACACCAGCTGATTCTAAAAACACTGCTGTGGGGATATAAAGATGAAGAAGATACGGATCTGTCTTAAAGAGCTGAGAGCATAGTGAGGAAGATAGAAGATATATACTTACCTTATATTAGGCTCTTGGAATTTGTGGATTTTTTCCCCCATTTTTGGCTTGGGATGAATCCTAAAGGTCTGTTGCATATTACCTGTGATTTTGCTAAGATACAAACTTTAAGGTAGTTAGATGGCCATTGAATCAAGCAGTGAACTGAAGAAACATAATGCTTTCTATAAGGAGCAGTTTTGATATAAAATTGGATGAATTTTGTAAAGAGCAAGATGTAATATTAAATCAAAGTTATTATAAGCTTTGGTGTATAGTTAGGCTGTTGGCCAGAGCTCACATTGCTCTTTTATTCCATAGCCCACTTTTTTTGTGGGAGTTAGGCTTTCAGTCCTTAAAGTGACTTTCTACTTTTTCCCTTTTCTCTTTTCCTTCTACCCTTGCAGGGCTCTCATAAGTGCCTTTGCATGGTGTCACAGTTAGATAAAAATTGCCTGTATCTTTTTTTTATGTCTTTGATCTGGGCATTCCGAGGGTGCCTCTGTAAGTGTGCTGAGACACAACTGTGTAGTGGTAACCAAACCTAATTGCCCAGCAGAATTAACTCGAAGGAGGGTTTTTAAAAAAAGTTCAATTGAAATATAATTCGTATACCATACGCTTCACCCATTTAAAGTGTACAGTTCAGTGGCTTTTACTATGTTCATAGAGTATTACCACTGTCACCACAGTCAGTTTTAGAAGATTTTCATCACTCCGTGAGGAATTCCTTACCTATTAGCAGTTACTCCCCATTTTACCCAAACCTCTCAGCCTTGGCAACCGCTAATCTGTCTCTGTAGGTTTGCCTCTTCTGAACATTTCACATAAATGGAATCATAGTATGTGGTCTTTTGTGACTGGCTTCTTTGATTTAGCAAGGTTTTCAAGGTTCATCTGTGTTGTAGCATGTATCAGTACTTTATCCGAGGACTATGATTTTTTGATTGCTTACTGTAAACCTATGGCATAAAAATCTCTGGGAACAAGGCCTGGAAATAATTCTTTTTTTTTTTTTTTTTTCCTGAGACAGTCTTACTCTGTCGCCCAGGCTGGAGTGCAGTGGCGTGATCTCGGCTCACTGCAAGCTCCGCCTCCCGGGTTCACGCCATTCTCCTCCCTCAGCCTCCCCAGTAGCTGGGACTACAGGCACCCGCCACCAGGGCCGGCTAATTTTTTTTTTTTTTTTTGTATTTTTAGTAGAGATGGGGTTTCACTGTGTTAGCCAGGATGGTCTTGATCTCCTGACCTCATTATCCACCCAGCTTGGCCTCCCAAAGTGCTGGGATTACAGGCATGAGCCACCGTGCCCAGCTGGAAATAATTCTTAAAAGCTGTTTAAAGGAGGATTCTGATCAGCCAGGTTCAGAAATCAGTGTATCAGATCAGAGAATAAGAGCTTGTCCCTGTTCTCCTATGGCCACTTAAATCCAGACCTTTTCATCTAAAGTGCAAATATGTTTGGCATTTTTCATACACATTCCTGTCTTTTTTCCCCGTTCTGCTGTCTTATGTAGATACTGAGAATATTAAACCTGTACTCTTTTCATTTGCTACATAAGCACCCATTTTGTTGTCCAGCTGTATTTTTTGGGTTGGAGGGTTAGGTTTGCAATAATCATGTTATTTCCCCTTTGGGTATACAAATGAGACAACGTGAGCAAATACAATCTGTATTTTTAAAGTGATGGAAATAACTTAAATTTTTTTTTCAGGGCACATGTTGCTAAGCTTAAGTCGTGGCAAGCAAGATTTCTTAAAAGAGGTTGTTGAAACTTTTGCCAACAAAATTGGGCAGTCTGCGTTATATGATGCTCTGTTTTCTAGTCAGTCACCTAAGGATACATCTTTTCTTGGTAGCGATGATATTGGAAAAATTGATGTACAAGAACCAGAGCTTGAAGATTTGGCTAGATACGATGTTGGTAAGTTATATGTTTCAGAGGAAATGGTCTCCGTCTTAATTCTTATAAATTGCCCATAATCTTATTACCCAGAAATAACGACTTAATATTTTCCTGTATTCCTTTTGTGTGTGGGTTGGGCTGGGGGGAGTTTGAATGTGGTGCTGTGGGGGTGGCATGTATTTTTTGTTGTTGTTGTTGTTGTTTTTGAGACCAAGTTTTGCTCTTGGCGCCCATGCTGGAGTGCAGTGGTGCGATCTCGGCTCACTGTAACCTCTGCCTCCCTGGTTCAAGTGATTCTGCTGCCTCAGTCTCCCAAGTAGCGGGATTACAAATGCCCGCCACCACGCCCGGCTAATTTTTTGTATTTTTAGTAGAGACGGGGTTTCATCATGTTGGTCAGGCTGGTCTCAAACTCCTGACCTCAGGTGATCCACCTGCCTTGGCCTCCCAAAGTGCTGGGATTACAGGTGTGAGCCACTGCGACCAGCCTTGTTGTATTTTGAGACAGGGTCTCGCTGTGTCACCTGGGCTGCAGTGTAGTGGCATGATCGTAGGTCACTGGTGCCTTGAACTTCTGGGCTCAAGGGATTCTCTTGCCTCAGCCTCCTGAGTAGCTGGTACCATAGGCACATGCCACTCGGCCCAGATAATTTTTTTTTTAATTGGCAGAGACAGGGTCTCCCTTTGTTGCCCAGGCTAGTCTCCAACTCCTAGGCTCAAGTGATCCTCCTGCTTAAGCCCCCCAAAATGTTGGGATTAGGCCCGGCACAGTGGCTCATATCTGTAATCCCAGCACTTTGGGAGGCCGAGGCGGGCAGATCACCTGAGATCAGGAGTTCGAGACCATCCTGGCCAACATGGTGAAACCCCGTCTCTACTAAAAATACAAAAATTATCCGGGGGTGGTGGCATGTGCCTGTAGTCCCTACTCAGGAGGCTGAGGCAGGAGAGTCCTTCAACCCGGGAGGTGGAGGTTGCAGTGAGCCAAGATCACACTGCTGCACTACAGCCTGGGCGACAGAGCGAGACTTCGTCTCAAAAACAAAAAGTGTTGGAATTATAGGCATGAGCCACTGCATCTGGCCATATTTTTCATCTAAATGGTTGTTTATGTATGATTTATCTTGCTTCCTTCATGAATTCTCTCCCATAGTCTGTGTATTAAAACTATAAATATCACTTTTATTGGCAATATAATCTTTTTTATGAAGTAGTCATAATTTGCTTGCTACTTTCTGTTATTGGGCATCCAAGTTTTCTCAACTTTTCCACTGTTAATAATCATACTCTGATAAAAACTTCAACAAAAAGTGTCTTCATTGCAAGTTATTTCCATAGAGATACCTAAAAACAGAATTACTGAGACAAAGGACATGAACATCTTTAAGTCTTGCAAATTGCCAAAATGACAGAAAGATTATACCTCTTCATGCTTCCAGAAGCGCATAACCTTTTCTTTTCTTTTCTTTTCTTTTCTTGTTTTTGAGACAGAGTCTCGCTCTGTCACCCAGGCTGGAGCGCAGTGGCGCAATCTCGGCTGCCAGGTTCAAGCAATTGTCTTGCCTCGGCCTCCCAAGTAGCTGGGACTATAGGCATGTGACACCGTGCTCGGCTAATTTTTTGTATTTTTAGTAGAGACGGAGTTTCACCATGCTGGCCAGGCTGGTCTCGAACTCCTGACTGCGCATAACATTTTCAATATTGACTTTCTTGTAGAAAAACAGATTTCTTTACTGTACCGATGGATTAATATAGTGGTGTTCCATTGCTTTAATGACTTAAAGCAAAACCCATTGTTTTGGGGTTTCTTATTAGGTTAGGTGTTCTTTATTTGGCTTTTGTCAGTTGATTTTGGTTTATTGAGTTCTAGTCAGTGTCATTTTTTAAGATGGACTTAAACATTCTTCATCACTACTATTTTTATTAAAATTTCTAGAAATAATCAAGTGAGAATGCATTTAATAAGAACATGAGATTTTGCCTAACATAGAATTCCCTCCAGCTTTGATATAGAAAAGCAGTTATATAATTAAGATATATATAATGTGAATTGTTTATGTTGGCAAAACTAATGGCACAAAGAAAAATTTCAAACCCTTAAGCCAATTTTTAAATTTTATTTCAGGTGCTATTCGAGCACATAATGGTAGTCTTCAGCATCTTACTTGGCTTGGCTTACAGTGGAATTCATTGCCTGCTTTACCTGGAATCCGAAAATGGCTAAAACAGCTTTTCCATCGTTTGCCCCATGAAACCTCAAGGCTTGAAACAAATGCGCCTGAATCAATATGTATTTTAGATCTTGAAGTAAGCAAAGATTTTAACAAATTAAATATTCTGAATTTTGTTTAATTTTTTTTTCTAACTTAACTTTTCCTTAAATGAAACAGGTATTTCTCCTTGGAGTAGTATATACCAGCCACTTACAATTAAAGGAGAAATGTAATTCTCACCATAGCTCCTATCAGCCGTTATGCCTGCCCTTTCCTGTGTGTAAACAGCTTTGTACAGAAAGACAAAAATCTTGGTGGGATGCGGTTTGTACTCTGATTCACAGAAAAGCAGTGTAAGTAGTAAAACAAAAATATTGCTTTCACTTAGTGCGTAGGTTTTACCGGGGATTTAATCCTCGTGTGAAGATTTAATTTGTCATGTGACCCATTAACATATATGTATGTAAGCGCTGAACTGTGTATTTAGAAAGCAATTTTAGTAAATTGAACTATTTTTTAGACCTGGAAACTTGGCAAAATTGAGACTTCTAGTTCAGCATGAAATAAACACTCTAAGAGCCCAGGAAAAACATGGCCTTCAACCTGCTCTGCTTGTACATTGGGCAAAATACCTTCAGAAAACGGTGAGTTTTAAAGTATAAGCATTTTTAATGAACATTACCTTAATTTTTTAAAATCATGAACTTTTTATTGAAAGTTTTTTTGTTCTGAAAACAGCAGCTTGGTCATATTATGACAGATGTGTTTTTTATTGCTGCAAAATAGTTAATGTAGTTAAATATAAGCACTTAGAGGAGCAATGCCTGGCACACAGTGAATGTTACATATTAGCTGAGCTGTTACTGTTATTCCTTAATAATTAAGTTCTGATAATTATTCAGCCTGAAAATTAAAAAAAAAATTAGCACAAGGCTTTGTAGGTAAGACCATTATAGATCTTTCTAAATATTTAAGGTGTGTTTTGTGTCACCATTAGGTGTAGATGGTCAGCCTTTTGAACAAACTGACACTACAGAAGAGGCAGGTTTCAGCTATCTAAAAAGGACAACTGTTAAAAAGTAGTTTGGATTGCTACGTTAGAGTGGTATCATTAGAAGCATTTAAAAGTTGAGTGTAGAGGCCGGGTGCGGTGGCTCACACCTGTAATCCCAGCACGTTAGGAGGCCGAGGCGGGCAGATCACAAGGTCAGGAGGTCGAGATCATTCCTGGCTAACACGGTGAAACCCCGTCTCTGCTAAAAATACAAAAAAAAACTCTACTAAAACTACAAAATTAGCCAGACATGGTGGCAGGTGCCTGTAATCCCAGCTACTTGGGAAGCTGAGGCAGGAGAATTGCTTGAACCTGCACGGCAGAGGTTGCAGTGAGTTCACTGGTATTAAGGTGGTTTAGTTATTACAGTATTTGGAAGTTGAACAAATGACTATTGAGGTACCATTTGGTTTTGACTTGAAATTTTAGCCAGTTCTTACAACTTGTAAATGAACTTTAGATCTAATCATGCGTGTTCCTTAAAGTTGTGTGCTTTTAACTTTCTTTTTTAGGGCAGCGGTCTTAATTCTTTTTATGGTCAACTAGAATACATAGGGAGAAGTGTTCATTATTGGAAGAAAGTTTTGCCATTGTTGAAGATAATAAAGAAGAACAGTATTCCTGAACCTATTGATCCTCTGTTTAAACATTTTCATAGTGTAGACATTCAGGTAACAGAGTTCCTTTATGAATTTATTGGAGATGGGAATTTCCAGTTTATAAACAAAGACGTGGAGCTATAAACTGCTTAAATTAATTGCCTTGTTATTTAACGGTAATCTTGTTTTCTAAATTCACTAGCTCTCACAGATAAGATATGACAGAGAAGAGTAATGAGATGTTTGTCTCTTAAGATCATATAAAATCTTTGGAAAATCATTTGGGTTTTATATTCTGAGTATAAACAATTTGACTAAAAACTATTCTATGTGTTTAGGCATCAGAAATTGTTGAATATGAAGAAGACGCACACATAACTTTTGCTATGTTGGATGCAGTAAATGGAAATATAGAAGATGCTGTGACTGCTTTTGAATCTATAAAAAGTGTTGTTTCTTATTGGAATCTTGCACTGGTAAGTAGATGCAGTACTTGAGCTAAAAGTTGTATTTATTTATTTATTATTTTTTTTAAAAGACGGGGTTTCTCTGTTGGCCAGGCTAGAGTGCAGTGGCACAATCTTGGCTCACTGCAACCTCTGCTTCCCAGGCTCAAGCGATTCTTGTGCCTCAGCTCCCGAGTTGCTGGGATTACAGGCATGAGCCACCATGCGTGGCCAAGCTGAAAGTTTTTTGTTTTAAAAAGCTAATGATTTCATGAAAGCACTATTTGTATAGATTTTTCACAGGAAGGCAGAAGACATTGAAAATGATGCCCTTTCTCCTGAAGAACAAGAAGAATGCAGAAATTATCTGACAAAGACCAGGGACTACCTAATAAAGATTATAGATGACGGTGATTCAAATCTTTCAGTGGTCAAGAAAGTAAGTAGCAGGTTGTTGTATGTACGTTCTTACTGATAACCCACTGGTCAGTGTTTTTGCGTTGGTCTTATATTTTGGTAATTTCAAAAATACTCAGTAATATGTTGTTATTAATGCACAGAAGGGATGCGTGTGTCTAAATGCTTAGATTTGCTTGCTTTGTCTTAGGTTTGGTGTGTCTTTTTAAACTTGGGAATCTAGGTATATGCTCTTAAAAAGTACTTCTTGGGGAATTAGAAAAGATTTCTAAGATAAGACATTGATTTTGTTATCTTAGCAGTGTAATCAAAACAAATATTATAACCTCAGGACTAATTCTTAATGAACTTTGCTGAAATTGAAAGTTGTTGCTGACAACTTAAGAGCATTTCTTCTCATCGTCATCAGCCATTATGAACGCCCTTGTTTTCTTGCTGTCAGCTGTTTGAGATTGTCATGATGATGTTAAATTATGTTCAGTCTTCTGAGTGTTTTGTTGATTAATTTGTGTTACTACTCTTTTATTAGGATTTATGTTGTCTGGTGTATTGTAGCATCTGTATTTCTGTCACCATTGAAAATCAGTTAGAAAACATCAGTAACTTATTTTGTTCACTTGGAAAAGCTTTCCAAGTTAACATTCCTCTACAATTATCATGGTTAACAGAAGTAATAGAAAGAGCATGGACTTTAGAATCAGAAGATGTTAGACTGTACAACACTTTTCTGTGTTCCTGAAGAAAAAAATAGAATAAAGACAAAAAAATAAAAATAATAATACAAAACAACAGAAAAACAAAGAAAAAAGATAATTAAAAAACACTTTCACGTGTATTATTATTTAAAGTGTAAAGTGCTTATTAAAGTGACAAAAATGTAAATAAGATAAAATATATCATTTTAGAGTTTTTACTTTTGGAATTTTTTGCAAATGAAAGCCCTTAATTAATGTCTTTTATTTTTAGTTGCCTGTGCCCCTGGAGTCTGTAAAACAGATGCTTAATTCAGTCATGCAGGAACTCGAAGACTATAGTGAAGGAGGTCCTCTCTATAAAAATGGTTCTTTGCGAAATGCAGATTCAGAAATAAAACATTCTACACCGTCTCCTACCAAATATTCACTATCACCAAGTAAAAGTTACAAGGTAAACAGGAAAGAATGGAATCATTTCATTGTGAAATTGTTTCTGTTCTAAGTGTTTTAAATGCTGTTTTGTTATTTTTATTTTTTTTTTCAGTATTCTCCCGAAACACCACCTCGATGGACAGAAGATCGGAATTCTTTACTGAATATGATTTGCCAACAAGTAGAGGCCATTAAGGTAAGTCACTTAATTTCTCTAGCTGTACTTTTTATTCCAAGATTCCTTCCCTGGCTACTCTCTCACTTTTTTTCTGAAGCTGGTCAGAATGTCCCCTTGCCATCCAAATAGTATGGCAAGGGGACATTTTGGTCTTTTTTTTTTTTTTTTAAGACAAGGGTCTTGTTCTGTTGTGCAGGCTGGAGTACAGTGGTATGATCACAGCTTACTGCGGCTTCAACCTCCTAGCTCAAGAGAGCCTCTTGGCTCAGCCTGCCACGAAGCCAGGACTACAGACAGTCACATGCCACCAGGCCCAGCTAATTGTTGTATTTTTTGTAGAGATGGGATTTTGCCATGTTGCCCAGGGTGGCCTTGAACTCCTGGCTCAAACAATCCTCCTGCTTCAGCCTCCCAAAGTGCTGGGATTGCAGGTGTGAGCCACTGTGCCCAGCCTACATACCTCGGTCTTGACCCTTTACCATATTTTGTTTTGTTTTGTTTTGAGATGGAGTCTCACTCTGTTGCCCAGTCTGGAGTGCAATGGTGTGATCTTGGCTCACTGCAACCTCCACCTCCCAGGTTCAAGTGACTCTCCTGCCTCAGCCTCCCGAGTAGCTGGGATTACAGGCACCCGCCACCAGGCCCAGCTAATTTTTGTATTTTTAGTAGACACAGAGTTTCACCATGTTGGCCAGGCTGGTTTTGAACTTCTGACCTCAGGTGATCTGCCCACCTTGGCCTCCCAAAGTGCTGGGATTACAGGTGTAAACCACCGCACCCAGCCCTTTACCATATTTTTGAAAGTACTTTATGTGTCTCTCTCCTCATCTTCCACAAAATTTGAGACCTTCAAAGGTAGAAACTGTTTTATTTAAAATATAAGAGTTCCTGACACAGAGAAGGTTCCCGAGTGATTGAAGTGCTACAATGTACTAATCATACTCTGGTCTATGAGTTCATTCCCAGATTAGCTGTGGATTACATGTGTTTCAAATGTATAGCTAGGAATCGAAAAGTGGTCTGAGCTTCAAAAAGTCTTACTATATTTTAATACTTCCATATGAATTTGACTTAATTATGTAAGGAAATAGTTATGTATATATATCTTATTTTAACAATAGGGTTCAAAGGAGCTTGACTTTTTTGGAATTGGAAATAAAAGTAGGTTCTTTCATGTTTATCAAGCAAGAACTAAATTACTCATACTGCTAAAGTTACATCAAGGATATGCTGATGTGTGGCGATTATTACAGTGTGATCAGCAGCATTTGCAAATTAAGAGAATACTATTTGGTGGGGAAGACATTTTTGAATTTGCACAAAAATTTTGAATGTTAATTCTGTGTAGTCGTGGCCTATGACAATTACATACAATTTTGACTTAACATACAGGTTTCAGGCTCCCAACATTGTATTCTGTGGAAGTATAGTGGAGCACTAGTCCATGAGCTTGAAAAGCTTGGTACTAGTACTGACTCTGCCATTAATTAATGATCTTGGGCCAGTCACTTCCTTTGTGACTGTTTGGCTTCTTATCTTTAAAATGAGAGAATTATTGAAGCCAGTTCTCATCACACTGAATGTTAAAAATTACAGTTACAGCAGTGATTGCAAATTCAAAGCTCTGGTGCGGATACCAACAGTGACTATAAAGTTTTCTAGGTGATTCCACTAGTTTCTTATTTCTTGGATGTGTATGTGTAGCATCTGGACTAGGCACTGTAGATGGATGAATGGGGGAAATTTTATTTAGCTTGAAAATTGAGATAGTTTTGGACCTCATGGTTAGGTCTTTCTGGGAAATTTTTAATTGAAACACTTGTAGAAACAGAAAGCAGACATGCTAGATCTGTCCCTGACCTCACTTGTTAGAACTGATCGGATTCCTGGGCTGATACAGAGAAGTTTGAAACTTTTCAAAATTTACCTGTTTTCTGATACCACTACAATTTCTTTGGAAAAAGAATTTCCTGTTAAGTGTCTGTTTTGTAAGGGGACATTTTGTAGGTTCTAGGGTGTTGGGTATGGTGCTGTCATTTAGTTTTCTTCAGCAGAGATCAAGTAGCCACATAGCTACACTAGACGGCATTGGATCTATCTGCCATCTTGTCAAGGCAGCAGAGTTGTGTTAAGAAAACATTTTTGGAGTCAGATGTGTTTCAAATTCCAGCTGTTATTCCCTGCATCCGTTTCTCTCATTTTAAGATAGGAGCTAATATTGTTTACCTAACAGTGTAGATGGTGTAAAAATTAAGAGTTTAAGTGCATTGGACGTATTATTATATACATAATAAATTCTCTGCAGCTACTACTTTTTTCCCTTTCCTGGTGGAGCATTTGAACATCACCTTGAGAATTAGTTGTATTTTGTTTGAACACAGGGTTAAGTGAAAAGCTAATTTGGGGAGGTGATTTGGAATGTCAGGTAGTCCAGGTTGCAGTGTAGAAAGAACACACTGAAAGGATGGTCAGTGTAATGTTAGAGGACTGTGAAAGTTGGGGAAAGAAGTTTAGTTTGTAGGTACTTGTTTTTTTGAGCAGGGAATTGTCTTGGCTGGAGGTGAACGTCAGAAAGGTTAATGTAGGCAAGTGTAGAATGGAAATGAAGGTGTGATCATTTAGGAGGTTATTTGTTTAGGTGAGAGAGTTAATGAATTAGGTTTTGTATTAACGAATGAAAATGGGAGCAGATAAATTTTTAACAAATTAAGAATCATATTTTAAAATCAGCACCAGGTACCTAGAACTCTTTGGCAAATAGAAACTTTCAAAAGATATAATCAGGTCCGGGCGTGGTGGGTCACACCTATAATCCCAGCACTTTGGGAGGCTGAGGTGGTGGATCACTTGAGGTCAGGAGTTCAAGACTAGCCTGGCAAACATGGTGAAACCCCATCTCTACTATTATACCAAAAATTAGCCGGGCGTGCTGGCTGACGCCTGTAATCCCAGCTACTCGGGAGGCTGAGGTGGGAGAATTGCTTGAGCCCAGGAGGTGGAGGTTGCGGTGAGCCAAGATTGTGCCATTGCACTCCAGCCTGGACGACAGATCGAGACACCATCTCAAAAAAGAAAAAAAGAAAAAATCAGTTATTTAAATTTAAAAGAGTAAGTTTCCCCAGCACTGTTTCTGGCATGATATAATTAAATGATTAAAATTATTTGATTTTTTTTTTCTTCCAATAGAAAGAAATGCAGGAGTTGAAACTAAATAGCAGTAAGTCAGCATCCCGTCATCGTTGGCCCACAGAGAATTATGGACCAGACTCGGTGCCTGATGGATATCAGGGGTCACAGACATTTCATGGGGCTCCACTAACAGGTGAGCTGGCAAGTGGATAATCGCATATTTTAGTAAAACTACTTTACTTCCCTCTTTTAAGTAGATAACGTGTGAAATCACCTTGTTTATATATGTTTGTTAATATACATGTCAACGTCTGTTTATATGTGACTTCAAAAGCTGTATTAGGTGTTACGGAGATTTTTATAATCCCAAGCAGAAAAAACGAGCCGTATGTGATCACGTGTATATAAAGGCTTAAAGAACACTTAATCCACACCTCAGATGAGCTGAGATGAGATTATTCCTTAAATTGCAAAATGTTATTGAATAGAGTTATGCACTAAGAAATGCTTAATTAAGAACCTACACCTCTGGGGAATTATTTTGATGATAATGATGAGAGGCAGGACGTTATATAGGAAATCTTACTTAATTTGAAATATTATGGTTATATAAAGAAAGAAAAGGAGTTTGGACCTGAATCATACTGGGTTTTTAAGTTCTGCTCTATCACTTACTATAATAGCTGTGTAAGTTAACCTGTCTGAAATGTGGAGATAATACTTGCCTTACATAATTACTATGAGCATTTGTGTATGTGCAGGTGGGCGTGGGTGTGTATCAGACATTTATTAGAGTATACAGTAAACAGTTAATGAACTAAGGTTACTAATAGTGTTTACTGTGGGTTGGCTGTGTGCAAAAGTGCTGTGTGAATGTAATTTGATTTAATTACAGTAACTTAGAATGGCCGGTACCATTATTAATCCCTTTTTTATAAATAAGGAAATGGATAAAGAAAGGTTAGGTAACTTACTCATTATTATACAGCTAGTTATTGATAGAGCCGAGATTCACACTCCAGTGGTGTAACTCCAAAGCACTTGCCAGTATAATACATTGCTCCCAGGCAGCCAGAAATAACAAAATTGTTCCTTTTACGTACGACAGACTTCTGAAATGGTAGTAGTAGTGCCCTTTTTTTTTTTCTCTTTTTAGCCCAGGAAAGATTTAGAAAAAAATCTAGTTTAGATGAGCACATTTGTGTGATGGTTCCTATAGTTAAGGCAACCCCACTAGCCTTTTGTGATAGTATCTTCTCAACACAAGCAAAATAACAGAAAATCTTTGTGAAGTCAAGCTTATTAAATGTCGTAAGTCATAGATAAGTATATGAAATGTCTAACGTTCAAACCTTGTTTTCTTAAAACCTTACACATCATATAGGTCCTTGTAAGAGGATAAACAAACCGGCTAGCCTTTCCTGGGGCTTTTTTAGTGATGTGTGCAGTCAGTTATTTGGTGCCTTGTGGGTCATGATTTCCATTTCTTCTGTGTACAGGCATAAAAGGTCTTCTGTTCTTATACAAGCATGTAAATCCAACATTCTCATTGTCTCATTTTATTCTTGCAATGACCCTGTGAAATGTGTAGAAGCAGCACATCGTCATTTTACAATTGAGAAACATGGAGACTCCAAATGGATTATTTACAGGTTCACAAAACAGCTTTGTGGCACTGAAAGGGCGAGAGCCAAGATCTCCTGATTTCTGTTCCTGTGTTCATAGATTCTTTTTCCTTAATAAAAGTAAACATATATCAAGATGGTCCTTGTTTTTTTAAAATAAGATGATTAAAATTAAAGATTAATGAGCTCATAGGAGATACTCAGAAGTACTGAACAGGGTGAAGAAAACTAAAAGCTAACCACCTCATTAACATTTCTTATATTTGAGAGCATTTCCTTCTGGTTCTTTCTCTATACATATAGTATTTTTTATGAGATTGTTACCATGTTACTATGTTGTGTGTAGATGAGCTAGCCTGTTTTTAAAATGTTACTTTAGTTCTGAGCATTTTTAAACTTAAATGTTTTTTGAATATTAATGAGTTCATGGTATCCCATCACATGGAAGTACTGTAAATTCTGTTCCTTTATTTATGTTGTTTCTGGTTTATGCCATTACAAATTCTAGGACACTGTCCTAGTTTTGTAGGGTATTCAAAATATTCAGTTTATGCTCTTACCGCTAGTATCTGATAGTGCCATTTTCGCACTTTTGCTAATGCTGACTTACTAGTTTATAAAATCCTTTGCCAATTTGTAGGAACAAAAGTGATATCAATTTTTAAGTTTTTTTAATACTAGTCATGCTCAACAATTCATGCAAATGGCAGTTGGTAGTTTTGCCATCTTCAACGTACCTTCCAGTTGTTTGGTTTCTTGGTAAAACTCACACAAAACAGATGGAGAAGAGTTTTTGTATATCAACATGAATGTTAATGTGATTTTTTTAAAGCCAACGAACACATTTGTGTTCCTTGTGAGATCCTGTGCGTGAATTTGTCAGGTAATTTTTTTGACCTGAACATTCTCATAATAGCTTCAATTTGCACAATGCAACCTCGTCATTTTGCAGATTTTCAAGGCTCACTTCAAAAACATGTTCCTTGAGGCCTATTAACATTTCTTTCCTAAATTGTCTATTCATATGGTGCTTTAAAAAATTAGATTACTTTTAGTAGATTTATTAGAGCCGCACAGTTTAGAGTCAGTAGTCAATTAAAGTCCCTACTTAAACTTCAGACTAAGATTTTTTTTTATTTAATATTTTATTTTTTCTTTTTGCTTTCATGCAGACAGACATCTTGCAAGACTTTAAGATTCTTGGGCCATTTCTGTCAGGTTGTTCTGTGTTCTGTGCCTGCTTCCTCCCCATAGTAATTTCAAAATAGCTATCCTCACCTCTGTAAGGTTTCCGAAATCAAACTTGGGCTTCTGGCTAGCCTTTTCTAGGTCTTGATTTTTCAGTGCTTTCCAGAGGCAATTGTTTGGAACCTCTTGGCACAGTTTCTGTTTCTCCTTCCATGTACAGGCATAAAAGGTCTTTTGGTTGTTTTCTGGTAAAACTATCATAAAACAGTTCAAGCAAATGACTATTGGTAGTTTTGTCATTAACATGGGTGCCTTCTAGTCATTTTGTTTCCTGGTAAAACAGACCAAACAGAGGGAGCAGACAGTTTGTACATCTGTATGAGTGTTGATGTGCTTTTTATTTTAAGCCAGGGAACACATTTTATGTTATTTATGACATCCTTTCCATGAATTTGTCAGGTGATTTTTGAGCTGAACATTCTGAGTAATAGCTTTAGTTTACAAAATACAACCTAGTCTTTCTGCAGATTTTCTAGGCCCACTTCAAATGCATTGACTATCAGATGGCATCTTGGTTCCTTACGTCCTTTCTGTGACTGAATGTCCATAATTCCACATCATACTGATCTTTCTTAGAAAAGGCAACAGTTACTATCTTCTTTATTCCTTTTTTAATGCTTGCGAGGTAGTTCTTGTTGATCACAGCGATGCTATTCTCTCATTCTTCATGTCATATTTAGCAATTTTTTTCTAGTTTGTCATTTGATAATCTTGATTGGTGTATTTTGATGTACAGAAATTTAAAATTTATGTAGTTAAATCTTTCTTTAACTTCTATTGCTTTTGTATTTATAGCTCTTGCCTAGATAGTCTTAACTGTAGTATAGACTTTAACAGTGTTTTCTTTTCTTTTTTTTTTTTCAGTTGCAACTACTGGCCCTTCAGTATATTATAGTCAGTCACCAGCATATAATTCCCAGTATCTTCTCAGACCAGCAGCTAATGTTACTCCCACAAAGGTAACAAAGGAATAATTTATACATTTATAATTATTTTCTTTTTAAATTGTTTAGGGTTCCTTCAAATAAATTCAAGAGAGCAGTTCACTATTAAAACTTTTATGTCCCTTAAAATGTAGATATTTTAAATTTATCTCCAAATACAGAAATTATCCTTCTTAGTCACCTTATTTTTGTGTTAGTAAGTGTGAATATTTAGAATATTTTAAAAATGGGAGTGGTGGTGGTGGATCCTTCATCGTTCTGTTTTAACAGAAATAGAACTGTAATGCCCTTGCTGACCCACTATGTGGTAAGTACTTTCAGGCCTGATACAGCTATATATATAACAATTGATTGAAGACTCAATATTACAGTGGTAGTTGAATGTGACAGCTTTGAGGACAGAGTGTTGGGGTGCATTTAGACCCTTGCTCTTCTGCTTATTTTGACCACAGGCAAGTTTCTTAACCTCTCAATGCATCAGTTGCCTCATATGTAAAATGAGGATAATAATAATACCTTAATTCATAGGGTTTTTGAGGATATTAAAATGAGATAATAATGTAAAGTGCTTAGAACAGTGCCCAGCTGGCACATTAATGAATGCTCAATAAATGTTATCATCATCATCATCATCATTATTGTTAACATCATTTGATAAATTGTTTAGGAATGAAGAAGGTATTTATTTCATGACTATTTTGGGCATGTGGATCAAGAAAATTCACCTTCATTTATGTTTCAGGGTTCTTCTAATACAGAATTTAAGTCAACCAAAGAAGGATTTTCCATCCCTGTGTCTGCTGATGGATTTAAATTTGGCATTTCGGAACCAGGAAATCAAGAAAAGAAAAGGGAAAAGCCTCTTGAAAATGATACTGGCTTCCAGGCTCAGGATATTAGTGGCCGGAAGAAGGGCCGTGGTGTGATTTTTGGCCAAACAAGTAGCACTTTTACATTTGCAGATGTTGCAAAATCAACTTCAGGAGAAGGATTTCAGTTTGGCAAAAAAGACCTCAATTTCAAGGGATTTTCAGGTGCTGGAGAAAAATTATTCTCATCACGATACGGTAAAATGGCCAATAAAGCAAACACTTCCGGTGACTTTGAGAAAGATGATGATGCCTATAAGACTGAGGACAGCGATGACATCCATTTTGAACCAGTAGTTCAAATGCCTGAAAAAGTAGAACTTGTAACAGGAGAAGAAGGTGAAAAAGTTCTGTATTCACAGGGGGTAAAACTATTTAGATTTGATGCTGAGGTAAGGCAGTGGAAAGAAAGGGGCTTGGGGAACTTAAAAATTCTCAAAAACGAGGTCAATGGCAAACTAAGAATGCTGATGCGAAGAGAACAAGTACTAAAAGTGTGTGCTAATCATTGGATAACGACTACAATGAACCTGAAGCCCCTCTCTGGATCAGATAGAGCATGGATGTGGTCAGCCAGTGATTTCTCTGACGGTGATGCCAAACTAGAGCGGTTGGCAGCAAAATTTAAAACACCAGAGCTGGCTGAAGAATTCAAGCAGAAATTTGAGGAATGCCAGCGGCTTCTGTTAGACATACCACTTCAAACTCCCCATAAACTTGTAGATACTGGCAGAGCTGCCAAGTTAATACAGAGAGCTGAAGAAATGAAGAGTGGACTGAAAGATTTCAAAACATTTTTGACAAATGATCAAACAAAAGTCACTGAGGAAGAAAATAAGGGTTCAGGTACAGGTGCGGCCGGTGCCTCAGACACAACAATAAAACCCAATGCTGAAAACACTGGGCCCACATTAGAATGGGATAACTATGACTTAAGGGAAGATGCTTTGGATGATAGTGTCAGTAGTAGCTCAGTACATGCTTCTCCATTGGCAAGTAGCCCTGTGAGAAAAAATCTTTTCCGCTTTGATGAGTCAACAACAGGATCTAACTTCAGTTTTAAATCTGCTTTGAGTCTATCTAAGTCTCCTGCCAAGTTGAATCAGAGTGGGACTTCAGTTGGCACTGATGAAGAATCTGTTGTTACTCAAGAAGAAGAGAGAGATGGACAGTACTTTGAACCTGTTGTTCCTTTACCTGATCTAGTTGAAGTATCCAGTGGTGAGGAAAATGAACAAGTTGTTTTTAGTCACAGGGCAGAAATCTACAGATATGATAAAGATGTTGGTCAATGGAAAGAAAGGGGCATTGGTGATATAAAGATTTTACAGAATTATGATAATAAGCAAGTTCGTATAGTGATGAGAAGGGACCAAGTATTAAAACTTTGTGCCAATCACAGAATAACTCCAGACATGAGTTTGCAAAATATGAAAGGGACAGAAAGAGTATGGGTGTGGACTGCATGTGATTTTGCAGATGGAGAAAGAAAAGTAGAGCATTTAGCTGTTCGTTTTAAACTACAGGATGTTGCAGACTCGTTTAAGAAAATTTTTGATGAAGCAAAAACAGCCCAGGAAAAAGATTCTTTGATAACACCTCATGTTTCTCGGTCAAGCACTCCCAGAGAGTCACCATGTGGCAAAATTGCTGTAGCTATATTAGAAGAAACCACAAGAGAGAGGACAGATGTTATTCAGGGTGATGATGTAGCAGATGCAGCTTCAGAAGTTGAAGTGTCTAGCACATCTGAAACAACAACAAAAGCAGTGGTTTCTCCTCCAAAGTTTGTATTTGTTTCAGAGTCTGTTAAAAGAATTTTTAGTAGTGAAAAATCAAAACCATTTGTATTTGGCAACAGTTCTGCCACTGGGTCTTTGTTTGGATTTAGTTTTAATGCACCTTTGAAAAGTAACAATAGTGAAACTAGTTCAGTAGCCCAGAGTGGATCTGAAAGCAAAGTGGAACCTAAAAAATGTGAACTGTCAAAGAACTCTGATATCGAACAGTCTTCAGATAGCAAAGTCAAAAATCTCTCTGCTTCCTTTCCAACGGAAGAATCTTCAATCAACTACACATTTAAAACACCAGAAAAGGGTAGGTACTTTGTTGTTAAAGTTAAGCACAATTTTTCTTTCTTTTAATGTTTAGCTTGATGCAGACTCTTTGTGGGATACTAATGTTGGGATATAAACGATGCTTTGTGAACACCCCCAAAATATTTGAGCAATTTTTTTTCTCCCTTAATAAGTTCACGGTGAGGTTTCAAAGAGCAAGAGAACTTAGTTAAAGACATTTCAGTAACTGGAAGATACTTCTATCATGCTAGGGCAGAGCAAAAGAACTTGGTACAGTGTACGGACTCATGCTTGAATCATGCGCATTAACGTGAGTCTTTTTTTAAAGTGTTCATTTTCATTTGTTCTGTTTCTTTTGTCACTCAGAAAACATGATATTGAGGCTGGGCACGGTGGCTCACTCCTAGAATGCCAGCACTTTGGGAGGTTGAGGTGGGCAGATCACTTGAGCTCAGGAGTTCGAGACCAGCCTGGCCAACATGGTGAAACCCTGTTTCTACTGAAAATACAAAAATGAGCCGGGCATGGTGGTGCGTGCCTATAATTAGCAGCTACTCAGGAGGTTGAGGCAGGAGGATCGCTTGAGCACAGGAGATGGAGGTAGCAGTGAGCTGAAATCATGCCACTGCACTCCAGCCTGACTGAGTGACTGAGTGAGACTTTGTCTCCAAAAAAAACAAAAAACAAAAAACAAAAAAAAACATGATATTGAGATGTTCTCATTTTATGTGTTGTATGTCAGTCTTGCTCATGTATTAAATGAGCAAAGAATGAAACTACAGGGATAAATGAATATGTAAGACAGTCAGATTGGTGGTATAAATTGAGGGATTCTGGCTTTTTATGTTTTAAAAGCATATTCATTTTGTTTCCTAAAATGTTAAAAAATGAAATATTCTTTATTTTCTAGGATTTAATTTTAGCCTTTTTAAATCTAATCCCATGGCCTTTTGGACTAGCACCCCTTCCTCACAGCCTGAGAGCAAAGGTATAGAACTAGCATTCTCAGTATGAGATAACAGCAGTTTTTAGCAGCTGGGTAGCCCTTAGCAAAGTATTAATTACTGTGGCTGTATGAAATGAAGTACTTACCACTACAACATGCATGTTAAAGAATGCCAGTTTAAGCAAAGTACCTTTTGACTGGTGGCATGACACCCTTGTTGGTTTGTTTTTTAAAATGTAGTGGGATGCTGATTTGTAATGTACTTCATTGCTCTGCTATTTCAGGTCTGCTCAATGAAGACCTATGTTTTATCTAATGTTTATCTTTAGCCACTAACGTCTGCCAGTATTCACATGTAGTGGCAACGGCATGTATACAGTATGGAAGAGTGTCCCTGTAGGGCTGTTCTTTTGTGCATGGTTTAGAAAAATGTTGTATTTGAAAATGGACCCCATTTTTAACAGCCAGCATTCTACAGCTTGCATATTATATATGTTGCACAGATCATTTTTAGAAGTGTGGCTACTAGAGTGGAACAAGAAGTGGGATCTGTTGAAGGCCTTCAAGAACAGGTTAGGGAAGTGAAATCTCACCCTTAGTGACCAGTAACACATCTTAGCCATGCCAAACAAGTACAATGATAAAGTAACAATCTCTGATTTTTTTTTAAGTATACCAGTTTTATTACCAGCTAAGGTAGCTCTTAATCTTTTATTTTAAAGATACGGTCTTTGAGAAATGTGAAAAGTGTTAACTTAAAAGTGGATGTATACTTGCGTACAGTTTCTGTGAGCTCTAGGTTAAGAATCCCTGAGCTAAGAACGAATGTGCCTATACACTACTGTAGAACATAGAGCCTTATTCTGTTTTGAATCTGATAATGTCATTGTCCCAAGGGACCTTAGAAATGAAGACTTTAGACATGAGTAAACTGAGGCCAAGAGAGGCTATCTGATTTACCCAAGGGGTCTTTACTGAGTAATAGCAGAAGTGGAACAAGAATCTGTATCTTATGGTGTACTGTTATTTCTCCTAGCTAGGAAATGATACTAAGTTTTTGTTTATAATGAAGGAGAGGGACAGATTTAACATTGTAAAAGGAAGGGCACTGGTTCTGCAGAGCAGTGTCATCCAATAGAAATAAAATATAACCTGTGTATGTAATTTAAAATTGTCATTTGGTGCAATGGCTGGTGCCTATAATCCCAGTTACTTGGGAGGCTGAGGCAGAGGGATCACTTGAGCCCACAAGTTCCAGGCTTCAGTGAACTATGATCACATCACTGCACTCCAGCTCTGGGTGACAAAGGTGACAAAGGAAGACCGCATCTCAAATAAATACATAAATAAATAAATTTTCTAGTAGCCATATTAAAAAGAATAAAAAGAAACAGTTAAAAAGGGAAACAGATGAAAGTAACTTTATTGATAGATTTGATTTAACTCATTATGTCCAAAATATCATTTTAACTTCTAATTAATATAAAAATTAACGATATTTTACATTATTGTTTTTCACCAAGTCTTCAAAATCCAGTGTGTGTGTTTACACTTACTGTTAGCATGTCTTGATTTGGACTAGCCACCTTGTGAGGTTTTAATAGAATGTGGCTAGGCTACCATATTGGACACCATAGCTCTCAGAATGTTTCCCTGTCACCAGTTGGTATACATGGCATGCTTCATAACTGGCTTACTTTATTAAACTCCTTTAGCCAGAAGTTCTTCTTTACATTAATAGATCAGAACAGGTTGCATATAGAAGTTTTTTCTGTTTCTAATTTTTTGCCCTTTGCATTGATGGTGGCTGGGGATGGGTTGTTTTCAGCCATATGAATGGTCTTAGATTTTATAGTATTAGCTACCCATAGAGTCACAGTTTTTATTTAATTTTATCTAGTATCATGCTTGAACACAGGCAAACTAGATGCAACTCTAGTCACCTTCCATTCTTGGCAATTGTTAACTTTCCTTACAGGAACTAATCACAGTTGGCTTTGGATTAGTTTCATATGTATACTAATACTTGCTTATGTTTTAAGATTTTTTTCAATTGCTGCAAATGCGTGGATATTTTGGTAAACTATTGTATGCTAAGTATAGTTAGGCAACACTTTAAAATTTTTAACCTTTTTAAATTCTAGAAATTTTGTAGTAATTCTTTTCAATGACTATTAAGTAAACACAAGATTTTTTTTGTTTTCTTTGGTTTTAAATAGATTCTGTGTTCACTTAGGGTTTTTGGTAGAACACTAAATCAGGATGCTAATTCTAATTCATGATTATCGTACATCTCTGCATCAAAGTATATGTGTTTTTTATCAGTATGCTGTTTTAACCTATAGATAGGTTCCATGGTTTTTATTTTCAGGTAGAGTATTAACGTCAATACTTAATACCTTATCTTTGTCAACTTTTTTGACTGGTGTTACAGCAAAAGAGAAGAAAAAACCTGAAGATTCTCCCTCAGATAGTCTCGGTCTCCTGACCTCGTGATCCACCCGCCTCGGCCTCCCAAAGTGCTGGGATTACAGGCATGAGCCACTGCGCCTGGCTGACACATGTCTTAATTCTGGTATTCACCAGATTTGTTTCGTGTTCTCCGTTGTTAGTCATCAAATTTGTCTACTTTTTAAATAGAAACATTAGCTAGAGCAAGGAACTTAGAAACACTCAAGCGGCACTGAATGTGTAGAATTGCATAACCAATATAGCTTCTTTGCTTTCACATTTACAATTAGTTGGAGTTTTAGTTCAGCCGTACCCAGTATCTTCCATTCTGCTTCCAGGAAGAAATGGAAAAATGTCAGCCATGATGATGCAGTATTTTAGTAGCAAGTTGATGGTGTTTTGGTTTCCCATGGGAAATATTGTCACTGGAGCATTAGCAGCTATCGGTCACTTATTAGGGTAAAAAAGCAACTTCAGAAGAATTTAATATATGCCAAAGAATCAACAAAGGAAGTAATCAGCCAGGGCAAAGGTCGCACAAGAGATTGTAATCTAGCAATCAGCAGTGGAATAAGCAGTCAGCTTACCAGAAACCCAGGAAAATGCTTCAGAAAGGGCAGTCAGGACTAAGGCAATTTAATGAAATGCAAAATAAATGAAATCTGAAGTTTAAATAAAAATCTAGATTACAATTCTGGTTTCTAACTCAGTTATGAGACCTTGGGCAAAGTCATTAAATTTCTCTGAACTTCAGATTTTTGGGAGTCAATAAACCAATACATGTCAAAGGGCCTGGTAAACTTTACAGTTTAGACCAGGCGTGGTGTCTCACCCCTGCAATCTGAGCACTTTGGGAGCCAAAGCAGTTGGATCACATGAGGCCAGGAGTTTGAGACCAGTCTGAACAACATGGTGAAATCCCATCTCTATTAAAAGTACAAAAATTATCTGGGCGGGATGGCATGCACCTGGAAGTCCCAGCTACTTGTGGGGCTGAGGTGGGAGGATGGCCTGAGCCTGGGAGGCAGAGGTTGCTGTGAGCCAAGATCGTGCCACTGCACTCCAACCTGTGTGACAGAGTGAGACCCTGTCTCAGAAAAAATAACACTTTACAGTTTATCAGCAAACAGGAAAGTCTTGCTAGGCAATGTAATTGATTAGTTCCGTGCCCTGGATTCTGGGCTCTTAACTGTATGAGCACTGTAGGTGTGAGCAGCAACAATTAAGAAGCTGCAGAGGTAAAGGTATAAGGGCAGTGATTGAGGATGTCTACCAAGCAGATTTCAGCAAGTGTGTTTCAAGAAGTATGCAGCAATCTGAAATACCTAATCCTGAAAAATTTCTAGAATCTAGTCTTTTAATTTTGGCCAGTATTTAGCAGTAGTTTGGCCCTCTACTCTAAATTAATAAAAAATAAGTAGTACTATATTATGAGCTGTGTTATCTAACAGTTTATCTTAGCTAGTAGCAATTAATTTATAGCTGCTATTAAAATGACTAACGTAGTTAAAAGTTTGATGAGTAAGTTTTTTTTTGTTGTTTTTTTTTTTTGAGCTGGCGTCTCGCTCTGTCGCCAGGCTGGAGTGCGGTGGCGTGATCTTGGCTCACTGCAACCTCCGCCTCCTGGTTTCCAGCAATTCTCTGCCTCAGCCTCCCCAGCAGCTGGGATTACAGGCACCTGCCACTGTGCCTGGCTAATTTTTGTATTTTTAGTAGAGATAGGGTTTCACCATCTTGGCCAGGCTGGTCTTGAACTTGCTGACCTCGTGATCCACCCACCTTAGCCTCCCAAACTGCTAGGATTACAGATTTGAGCCACCACGCCCGGCCTTGATGACTAAATTTTAAGAAATGTTTTAGCAATTCTTCATACACCTTTCACTTATAGTTACTTAATTCCTCTACTCTTATCATTTGATATTTTCATTTTATTGTGTACCTCTGTAAGGCCGAATCAATAGATTTTGAACAATCTCACACTTAACCTTTAAAAAAAATCTAATAGGCCCAGTTTCCTCTCAACAATCTTTGAAGAACCTTCGAGAAAGGAGAAACACAGACCTCCCGCTTCTAGACATGCACACTGTAACCCAGGAAGAGGGAGAAGGCATGGAGACAACTGATACGGAGTCTGTGTCTTCCGCCAGCACATACACACAGTCTTTAGAGCAGCTGCTTAATTCTCCCGAAACTAAACTTGGTCTGTTACTCTGTCTAAATATGTTCTTCTTCTTTAATTTCACTGTCTTATTTAATTACTATTACTCTAAGGTACATATGCTTTTTTGGGCTGCTCCAATAAAATTTCTTTCAATATTCCACTACCTGTTTGTATTAGGGTTCTCTAGAGGGACAGAACTAATTGGATGGTTGGATGGATGGATGGGATGGATGGATGGATGCTTATTAAGTATTACCTTACACGATCACTAGGCCATCTGCAGACTGAGGAGCAATGAGAGCCAGTCCAAGTTCCAAAACTGAAGAACTAGGAGTCTGATGTTCAAGGGCAGGAAGCATCCAGCACAGGAGAAAGATGTAGCTTGGGAGGCTAGGCCAGTCTCGCCTTTTCAGGTTTTTCTGCCTGCTTTATATTCGCTGGCAGCTGATTAGATGGCACCTACCAGATTAAGGGTGGGTCTGCCTTCCCCAGCCCACTGACTCAAATGTTAATCCCTTTGGCAACACCCTCACAGACAACACTCGGATTAATACTTTGCATCCTTTAATCCAATCAGGTTGACACCCAGTATTAACCATCACACTGTCCAAATGGAAAAATTATTAAACAAATCTTTTTTAAAATAAAATGCTAGCTCTTGCCCTAGGCTTGAACCATAAATAAGTGGTGGGAAGTTTATAGTCACAAATAGGTGGTGGGTATTAGAAAGCAGGATAAACTATCCTCTCACCCTTCCAAGAAACTGACAGTTTCAGTTTATTCCTCTTGATGAAGTAATGCTAAATTTTTGTAGTGATGTTTTGGTATATTTTATTACTTGTAATTAATATTACTGTTCAAAATTTAGGGGGAATCTGTCATCTTCCTGAAACTTCAGAATCACCTGGAGTAAGGGTCATTTGTATTCATGGTCACTGACCACGTGGGGTAGAAACTGCAAGTCATGGTTCCTTCAGGCAAAGTTAATAGTGGTGACACGGAGGCATCATGATAGAGCAGCAGACTCCAGAAGCCAATTTGACTTTGTGATTTCTGAAAAAATTACCTGTCAACTGTGAGCCTGTTTCATCATCTGTAAAGTTTGAATAATGATACCTACCCCGCCTGATAGAAGATTCTTATGAGGGAACATGATACGTGACCAGTAAATGTTAATGCTTTCCTTATACGTGAAATGACATAAAATCTTGGAATATTAATAGATGGGAAGAAGATGTGTAATAAAACTGTCTATAAACACAATTCTGACAAATTTCAGAACTGGGATTCATAGGGCTTTATTCAGTTAGATTACATGCTTTACAACAGAGATACTGTTTTATTTGTGTCACCTACAACATATAATCTGTTGATTGAGGTATGCTGAATAGATGAATGGCAAAGAAAGCAGACCTATAAAATATCACATAGTAAGATATTTATATTTAGATTTTTCTTATTTAGAATCTTCATCTGTAATGTATGATTTTGAAAATTAATTCTTGGAACAACATCTTGCAGAGCCTCCATTATGGCATGCTGAATTTACCAAAGAAGAATTGGTTCAGAAGCTCCGTTCCACCACAAAAAGTGCAGATCACTTAAACGGCCTGCTTCGGGAAATAGAGGCAACCAATGCAGTCCTTATGGAGCAAATTAAGGTGAGATCAGAAAACCTGGCCACCGTGAAAACCGCCAGTTTGGTTTTCTGGACCCTCCACACACATGCACCCAAGTTTAAAAATTCACATTGCAGATGCATCTATAACGTCTTGATCTTTATATTAGATTCCTGATGGTGAGAAATATTGCCTTTTTTTTTTTTTTTTGAGACAGTCTTGCTCTGTCACCCAGGCTGGAGTGCAGTGGCACGATCTTAGCTCACTGCAAGCTCCACCTCCCAGGTTCACGCCATTCTCCTGCCTCAGCCTCCCGAGTAGCTGGGACTACAGGTGCCCGCCAACATGCCTGGCTAATTTCTTTGCATTTTTAGTAGAGACAGGGTTTACCATGTTAGCCAGGATGGTCTCGATCTCCTGACCTCGTGATCCACCTGCCTTGGCCTCCCAAAGTGCGGGTATTACAGGTGTGAGCCACCGCATCCAGCCAAAATACTTCTTTTACACCTATTACATAAAGATTATTTCTTAATTCCTACTTTTCCTAAGAAACCGTAATAGATTTAGAAACTAGAGAGATGTTCACAAATCATTGTTCACATATGCTTAAATAAAAAATGGGTGTGAGTCTTTGAATTCTAAAGATAACCAGTGAATTTAAATTATTCAACTGATATTTATAGTACTGAACTACTAAACAGTTTTCAGGTGGAGATGGCAAAGTGGCATGGGAAGTTTTTCCTGTTTAAAGTAGACACCAGAAACATCTAGGAATGTTGCAGAACAGTTGAGGATTACTCAAATGAGGTTTTTCCACCCTGGCTCACTGATAAATCACCCCTCAGAATATAGTCATACTGCTTGTTGAGGAGTTCTTATGACCCAGGCCCTGGGCTTTACATACGTTATTTAATCTCATCACTGGTTGAGAGAAAAATTGAAGCTGGTAAATGGTGGAACAAAATTCAAACTCATAGCTGTCTGAAAAGTACATGCTTTTCCCCTGTACTTTGCTGCTCCTAATAGATCTGTCCTGCCACTGTGCAAGGCCACTAGCTATCCTTGTCAGATTATTTTAAAGCCGAATTCAGTTATTTTCAGTAAATTGTATATATCATGACATTCCACCATTAAATACTTCAGTATGCATCTCTATAAAATAACATTTTCCCACTAATAAAAACATTATCATAGCTAACAAATCACTAACTAGCCCAGTAAACCTAAATGACTTATTTAAATGTTATATTTTCTTTTTTTTTTTTTTTTTGAGACAGTCTCGCTCTGTCACCAGGTTTGGAGTGCAGTGGTGCAATCTCAGCTCACTGCAATCTCCGCCTCCCAGGTTCAAGCGATTCCCCTGCCTCAGCCTCCCGAGTAGCTGGGACTGCAGGCATGCACCACCATGCCCGGCTAATTTTTTTTATTTTACTAGAGACACAGTTTCACCATGTTGGCCAGGACAGTCTGAATCTCCTGACCTCGTGATCTGCCTGCCTCAGCCTCCCAAAGTGTTGGGATTACAGGCATGAGCCACCACGCCTGGCCAAATGTTATATTTTCATAAATTTGTACTCTCTTCATGATTTCTTCGTCTTCTTTATTGTCACTTTTTTAAATGGTCCTAGGTTTGAGGACAAAGTTCGCTAACTTTCTTGCCTAACCTAAAATGAAAATATACTAAAAGCTATGGCTTGGTTTCAACCTGGAAATCTTCCTCAAAGACTTGAACATGATATTACCTTTTTTATAGTGTTCTTTGCCTCATTTCTCTGATAGTGTTTTACATTGTCTTATATTCCTGAATTTTCACTGTGTCTGAACTTTTGTTTTGATTAAGTGCCGTTCACTGTGGACGTCTTAACTGCCTGGGACTTTAGGAACAGGGTAGGGGCAGGGGGTTAGTGGAGGCTGCCGATGTTCCCCTCAGCCCATTTTCAGAGCCCCATGCCATACTGGCTTAGTTTCTATCGAAAGTAGAAGGCAGAGGGAACATCTTGGTACCAACCCATGGCTCCAGTTAGTTGCTCCTCATGGAGACGTTCCATCAGTTCCCCAGCTTTCAACTCCATTTCCATGATACCCTGTGCTTCTGAGACAAGAACCCCAGTATTTACACAGGATGCATCCTCTCCTCTTGTCAGTGATACTTGGTAAGCTGCTGGACTGACTCATTTCCACCTCTTCATCTGTTTCTCGTGAGAATTTCTTGATGTGTCTCATCTACTTTTTCTCCTCTTGTATTAGCTTGTTGCTTTTCTACTTCGCCCCTCTTCCTTCCAACCCCAAATAGCTTAGGACAATGGAGTCCTATAGCCCAACACTTGGTTCATATGCAGCAATCCACTTTCTAGGCAAATGCAGCTTTGAAACTATCTCATAGTTGGAGTTCCGGTTTTCATGTCAAATGGATTTTATACGGTGATGTCATAAACTCCTTTGAAATGCTTCACATGCAGCTGCTGTAGTTAACTGAATTCCTTCCTTTATTGCCATATGGAGGGAAGGGGGAAATTTGGGGGGAAGAGAAGAAAAATACATGAGTTCAGTCTGCCATATTTAATCAGAAGCTCCTAAAGCCCATTTTTAACTCATTTCTCTAACACCAGCTTCTCAAAAGTGAAATAAGAAGATTGGAAAGGAATCAAGAGCGAGAGAAGTCTGCAGCTAACCTGGAATACTTGAAGAACGTCTTGCTGCAGTTCATTTTCTTGAAGCCAGGTAGTGAAAGAGAGAGACTTCTTCCTGTTATAAATACGATGTTGCAGCTCAGCCCTGAAGAAAAGGGAAAACTTGCTGCGGTTGCTCAAGGTGGGTAAAAGGAGAGTCTCAGAACTTCTGACTTCTAACTTAAACTAAACAGCCTGGTGGTTGAGAAGTTGTCTGTATGTGTAACTTTTCAATTTTGCTCATTTGAATTGGGTCTGTCATATGAGTAGGCCGTGACTAGATTTGAAAAGCTGACTTTTTAACATCTTGAGGCAACTGTAGTACATTTATATAATTTTAACGTTCAGCAAAATACAATAAGTGCTTAGCTTGATCTTCTAGCTCTTTGAAAATTGGATTTTTATCCTGGGGTTGAGTTCTGGTGTTCAGCTGAACGTGGTTTTGTTTTAAATTCTACTTTTTAAAAAACATTTATTAGCTTGTTCCTTTTCTACTTCACGCCTCTTCCTTCCTCCAACCCCAAATAGCCTAAGACAATGGAGCCATAGAGCCCAACACTTGGTCTATATACAGCAGTCCACTTTCTAGGCAAATGCAGTTTTAAAACTGTGCCATAGGCCAGGCGCCGGTGGTTCACGCCTATAATCCCACCACTTTGGGAGGCCGAGGCAGGCGGATCACAAGATCAAGATACCGAGACCATCCTGGCCAACATGGTGAAATCTCGTCTCTACTAAAAATACAAAAATTAGCTGGACGTGGTGGCATGCGCCTGTAGTCCCAGCTACTCAGGAGGCTGAGGCAGCAGAGTCGCTTGAACTCACGAGGCGGAGGTTGCAGTGATGTGTCACGCCACTGTACTCCAGCCTGATGGCAGAGCGAGACTCCATCTCAAAAAAAAAAAACAAAAAACTATGATGTAGTTAGAGTTGGTTTCCATGTCAGATGGATTTAATACTGTGATGTCATTAACTTCTTTGAAATGCTTCATATACAACTGCTATAGTTAACTGAATTCAAGCTGCATCTTAAGAATTATGGTTTCGTTTTTGTTTTAGTTTTAAATTACTTTTATTTTTGACATTTACAAGCACAAGGAAGACGCTATAATCTCTCTTGAGTTGTCACCCATCTCTAACAGTTTTCAACTCATGGACAATCTTTTGGCGTAACTAGGGGAGAGTTAGAGACTTAAATCCCACACATCATTTCTTTCCCCAGTGAATAATTCAATGTTTATTGGATTTCTCTGTCACCTATACCTAGTTTATGTTCATTTTGCCTGTGTTATTGTGAATGTCTTTTTATAGTATCCTAAATAGGGCTCATATATTGCATTTGGTTGATATTCCTTAAGCTTTATTTTGTTGTTGTGTTTTTGTTTGTTTGAGACGTAGTGTTGCTCTGTCACCCTGGCTGGAGTGCAGTGGTCCGATCATGGCTCACTGCAACCTCCGCCTCCCGGATTCAAGTGATTCTCCTGCCTCAGCCTCCCAAGTAGCTGGGACTACAGACGCACGCCAGCTAATTTTTCTATTTTTAGTAGAGACGAGGTTTCACCATGTTGGCCAGGATGGTCTCAATCTCCTGACCTTGTGATCTGCCCGCCTTGGCCTCCCAAAGTGCTGGGATTACAGGTGTGAGCCACCACACCCAGCCATTTTGTTGTTTTTTTATCTATAACAATTATATATATAAGTATATTTTTAATGTGCCACTTATTAATTGAAGAAAGTGGTCATTTATGCTATAGCAGTTCTATATTTGGGTTTTAATCATTACAGGGTAACACTGAGCTTGTTCCAATTGCCTATAAATAGGAAGATCCAGGTGCAATTGGGTGGGATGGTGGACAAAAATACATCATAGATGGTATTGTGTGCTTTCTAAGACATGAGGAGGCCCAGAATGTCCAGACAACTTACTTTTGACTGATTGACCTTATCTAGTTGGTGTTCTTTAACATGTTCCCCATCCCCTGTAAACCCTAATAACTAAACTGATAAGAGTCATCCTCAAAATTGAGCAGGCATCTGAATCATCTGGTATACTTACTAAAATTCCAATTGCTGGTCCCCAATTTCTGACCCAAGATTCTGCATTTTTAGCAATTTGTTGCTGATGCTTCTGGTCTGGGGCCCATACCTTGAGAACCCCCGGTCTAGAGGCCTGATAAGATTCAGGCTTAATTTTTTTTACAGACATACTTCATAAGTAGTATTGATAGTTTCTTTGAATCTGGTTTTTAATAATCTTTCTAATGATGAAGGAGGAATGTTCTCAATACTGACAGTAATCTCAGTTCTTCAAACTATAGGATAGGTTTCTATAGCCACAATAGTATTTTTGTCACAAGGGCCCAAATAAGAATACATCATGTATATTTTTAATACTTATTCAAATTACAAATTCACTGTCTTTAATTTATTCTAACAAAAGTAAACCTAATTTTATAGTTATAAAAAAGAAGAAATCTACTTCTAGTCACCTAAGAGTAAAACTGCCCTTATAAAAAACAAGACAGAAATCTCAAAATTATAACTAATTTTATAGTTATAAAATTAACCAGGACTTTAAGAACGTTTGCATTTTAAAATTAAAGTTTTCAATAGTTTTCAATACAACAATGATACTATCTCAAAATACTCAGCATGTCTAACAGGCCTCTTTTAAAAGCTCAGCATGTTTAATGTAGGTGTTGCTAACGTCCAGGTGGCTCCTATAAGTTAAGGGTCCATTGATTTAGAAGTTCTAAAAGAGACTAACCTAAGGGATACCAATAACAGATATTTTTAAAGAATTTCATAGAGGAGATACACATTAGAAACCCAGAACTCTAAGATGTGCATTTGCTAAGTCCTGTAAACAGACAGGAAAACACATTTACATTAGTTTGCCCTTTAAAGATTATTTCCTACTTGTCTCTTATCAATGTGAGTACATAAAAGAGACCTTATTACAATTAAAAACAATGATGGTTTAGCAGCAGATTTAGATACCTTACATTCTCTCTTTAAGAGAGAGAATGTAAGGCCTGGTGCGGTGGCTCACACCTGTAATCCAGCACTTTGGCAGGCCGAGGAGGGTAGATCACCTGAGGTCAGGAGTTCGAGACCAGCCTGGCCAACATGGTGAAACCCCGTCTCTACTCAGAATACAAAAATTAGCCGGGCGTGGTGGCGCATGCCTGTAATCCCAGCAACTTGGGAGGCTGAGGTAGGAGAACTGCTTGAACCCAGGAGGCAGAGGTTGCAGTGAGCCGAGATGGTGCCATTGCACTCCAGCCCAAGCAACAAGAGCAAAACTCCTATCTCAAAAAAAAAAAAAAAAAAAAAAAAAAATAAAAAAAAAAAAAAAGAATGTAAACTACAAGATGGTTCAAAAGAAATTACACGGAATTCAGCATGGGAGAAACAAAAAACAAGAGTGGGAAAAGACATCAAACATGTTTTTACTAATCGAAGTTCTAAAAGGAGAGACGAGAATACAGCACAGATAATATATGAAGAGAATGGCTGGAAATCTTTCAGAACTGTTGAAGGATATCTATCCACAGATTCAAAAACCCAATAAAATCTCAAGCAGTATTAAAAAAAAAAAGAAGAAATCTACTTCTAGTCACATAAGAGTAAAACTGCCCCTAAAAAAGACAGAGAGAAATCTCAAAAGCAGCCAGAGAAAGAAGACACATTGCCTCACAATAGACTTCTCAACAGCATTGGTGTAATACTATCTCATGTACTAAAAGAAATAACTGCCAACCTTTTATATTTTCCAAGATCTCTTCTGGAAAACAAAAACTTTAAGAATCTGCCTTCACTGGAAATTCTTAATGATGTACTTCAAGCAAAAAGAAAATTTCCTAGGTAAAAGGTCTAAGATGCTAGAAAGAAAGACATGCAAAGGAAACTTACCACCATATTACAGATATGGACTGTCAGTCTGACTGGTCACACTAGGGGCATTTTGTTACCAAGGCCTTGAAAATAATAACCAACACTGCATACATGAGGGATGCCAGAAGAAAGGTCTGAGAGCCACTCTTCCTGGCACTGAAGGAAACAGGGCCCATCAGAGCAAACAAGTACCTTTTGCCTCTCTCATCTCCTTGGAGGCAAATGTTTATAATCTCTGGTTTTGTGTAAAGTTTATAACAGTATTTTTCATTCAGGTTGCTACCTATTAGTGGATGGTGAAATTAATTTGGTGGATCACATTCAGGATATTTTTTTTTTAAATCAAAAGAATACAAGCTGGGCTCAATGACTCACACCTGTAAGCCCAACAGTTTGGGAAGACCAGGCAGGAGGATTGCTTGAGAACAGGAGTTCAGAATCAGCCTGGGCAACATGGCGAGACCCTATGTCTACAAAAATTTTAAAATATGCCAGATCTGGTGGCATGTGCCCATAGTCCTAGCTACTCGGGAGGCTAAGGCAGCAGGATTGTTTGTTAGAAGGAGTTCGAGGCTGCAGTCAAACTTCTGGTCGAAATCCTGGTCACGCCACTGCATTTCAGCCTGGGCAACAGAGTAAAACCCCATCTTTAAAAAAATATTAAGAAATAAAAATAATATGTGAAACGTTAGAATATGTTGAATCTGGTAAGGATAAGCAATTATTTCTTGAAACTCTACATACATACATGAGTGTTGGTAAATACCTGACTGTATCATCAGCTCTAGATATAAAATGTTTATGATGTTGGCTGTGAGTTAATGAGGAATAGTTTTCCTTTCTGTGGGTTTGGGTGTATTTGGGAAACATTAGCTTAGGAGGGTAAAGTAGGTTACCCAACTCTGAAAAGCAGCATCAAAATCTTTATAATAAACACATATTAGGGGCCCAACTTAAATTTCAAGCAGATGTCATGAGCTGCTCAGAGTAGCATGTTACAACTCTGCGTTATAAGGTAAAATGACTTAGAGTGTAGCAGTAGTCCCCAATGTCAAATAGACAGTGGTAAGTATAGATTGCTCTTCTCCTTGCATCACAAATGTTAATTCACCCTGCCCCCACACGCATTAAAACTCAGCATATTTCACAAATTGAGTGTTTCATTTCTATTTGAGATAGACTTATGGTAAGTCAGCTTTGCTCCCCAAATAAGTTAGCCATATAGTACTTCTATATGCAAAATTTGAATCTCAATTTTACTACTCAAGCTGGAAGTAAAAGTCATTTTTGTATATCTTCTTTGCTCCCAGACTGGGTTACAGTTTACAGATCTGAATATTGTCACTTGTACACCATACATACACAGAGGTCTAAAACTCTCTACAAGTAAATAAAGAAAAAAAGCCCAGCAACCCAATAGGAAAATAGGCCAAGCCTGTTATAGGCTTTTTGATCATCTCCAGACTGGCAGGAAGAGAATGCATACTCACACTGTAAGTGCCTGATTTGATTTGCAGAGGATATAGAACCTTATCAGAAAACAGCCTTCCAAGGCAAGAGCAAATGCACCCTATCTAAGCACAGCTTTTCTCCAATTCTTATTTACCTAAGGAGATGAATAGCTGCCAGGAACATTGTTTGCACAAGGGCAGGAGCCTGCCAGATCTGAGAACACAGCAAAATTTTTATTTTGTCAAAAATCTTATATTCAGCTTACACCATTCATTTCAGGTGAACATACAACAGTCTGCATTTCAGTTTAGGGAAATGTTTACAGTCGTCTGGTTCTCTTTATTCTTGGGAACAAGGTTACCTCACTTGGAACACATAACCAGTGCCAAGTTGTCCATCCCTAAGCAATATCGCTTCCTCCTACTTTCTAGAAGTTCTTCAGGTTGTGGAAGACAGACTTTTCAGAATTGTTTGCCCTCATTCCCTCCTCCAGAAATGCATGCCTTTGTATAATCTCTTCCCCTTGAGAGCCAGTAGGCTAACCTAATGAGTTATGTTTAACCAGTAGAATACAGCAAGAATGATAGATTACAAGAGATTGTGGCTTCTATCTTGCTAGCGGCCTCTCTCTGTCTTCTCTGCTTGCACACTTTGTTGAAGCAAGCTACCATCCCAGAGGCAAGGAACACAGGCCATCAGTTTAGCAGCCTTGAGGAACTAAATTCTTCCAACTACCACATAAGTTTGGAAGTAGATTCTTCTCCAGTCCAGCCTTCAGATGAGACCCCAGCCATGCCAACATCTTGATTGCAGCCCTGTGAGAGACCTTGAAATAGAACCATTTCTGATCTCCTGACCCACAGAAACTGTGAAATAAATATGTGTTAAGGTACTAAGTTTGTAGTAATTTGTTACGCAGCAGATTGTAAATAACACGCAGATAAAACCAGACAGAACAGAAAAATAAAATGACTTTAACTCTAGAAAGTTTCCCCATGTAAAATTTTGAAAATGCTACTCTGCCTAAGGTCAAACTGTCATACATATATACGTATGAAAACACAGAAAGGTGTCTGGAAGGGTAATACCAAATTAAATCTTTATCCAAGAGGAATGAAAACCAGTATTCACACAAAAACCTATGCACAAACCTTGTGAATATATTAAAAACCAGTGAATTATGCACTTTAAAAAGGTGAATTATGTGGTATATGAATTATATCTCCAAAACATTTAATTAAAAACCTGTACACAATTATTCGTAGAAACTTTCTTTAAAATTGCTAAAAACGAGGAAGATCTCAGTTATCCTTCAACTGGCAAATGAATAAACAAACTGGTACAGCCGTGCAATTGAATACTGCTCAGCAATAAAAAAGAATGCACTGCCAGTTCAGCAACATGGGTAATTCTCAAATGCATTATGCCAGTTGACAGAGGTCAGACTCAAAATACTATGTACAGTGTGATTCTACTTATATGACACTGAAAAAAGCAGAACTATAAGGACAGAAAACAGGTTAGCGGTTGCCAAGGAGTGGGAGAAGCAGCCAGGGAGAACTTTGAGGAGATGAAAATGTGCCAGGCCTTGGTCGGTGGTGGTACGTAACTGTGCATTTGTCAAGACTCAGTGCTATATGCTGAAAAGGGCAGGTTTTACTATAAGTAAGTTGTACCTCAATAAACATGATTTTTAAATGATTAAAACTTTGGTTTTTGTTTGTTGTGGTTCAGTTTTAAGGTTTCCCATAAATCTATTGGTTTTAGATTCTAAGTTGTATATAAGCTTCTGTTTTAAAAGAATTTTTTTTTAAATCCCCTTATCGTCAACAATATTTAGTTGTGCTGGAAATTTTATTTTGGAATTGTTTAATAGAGAAAGACAATAAATAATGTTCAAGAACAGACATTGATTCATAACATCAAAGTATATTGTGAGAAGATGGTATTTCAGAATAGAGGAAGAATTTCTTATGTGCTGGTAAGATTGTAGATAATCATTTCTGCATAATTTTCATAGCTGGATTGCTTTAATAAAGCCATTTAAAGGTTAAGTTCTAGATTGCTTCATGTTGCTTATCAATGTTTTAAAGCTAAAATAGAAAATTAGCTGTTAAGTTGGCTCAACCGGAAATTCAGTATATCCTTTAAAAAGAGAAATTTAGTAAGCAGTGTGTCTAAAGAATGACATATGGTTGGGTACAGTGGCTCGTGACTGCAATCCCAACACTGTGAGGCTGAAGTGGGAGGATCACTTGAGCCCAGGAATTTGAGACCAGCCTGGAAAACAGTGAGACCTGCATCTCTACAAAAAAACAAAAAATTACCCAGGCATGGTGGTACACACCTTGTGGTCCCAGTTGCTTGGGAGGCTGAGGTGGGAGAATCACTTGAGCCTGGGAGATCAAGGCTGCATTGAAGTCTCATCACGCCACTGCACTCGAGCCTGGGTGACAGAGCAAGACCCTATCTCAAAAAAAAAAAAAAAAAAAGAACCCCCCCCCCCCACCAAAAAAGGCATGTGATCAGTAAAAAAGACATTATTTGCTTATATTGTAGAGTGGTTCTAAAATATAGATTTTACATTGAGAAATTTTAATACTCTCTTTTTTCTTTTTTTTTTCTTTGTTTTACTTTCTAAAGATGAGGAAGAAAATGCTTCCCGTTCTTCTGGATGAGCATCCTATCTTCGTAGTTGGTTTGGACTTCGATAGGTTGATGGAAGGAATACTTCTATTAACCAAATAGAATCTGTTTACAAAAATGGTTCGTGTGTGTTACCATTATTCTTTTGTCAAAAAGTGTGTATATATGTTTGCATTTACATATATTTGTACATCTGTATGACAGATGTATTTTAAAAGTTTCAACTTGAAGTAAAAGTACAACAGCTTGAAGTGTTGATACCAGGCCACAGCCCTCTAACTCATGTGATCTCCCATGCATGCTGCCAGAATAAAACCACCAGGAATGAATTCACTCCCCACTTCTCTGGAACCTCAGGACCCGCCCATTTCTCGGCAGTACTGTGAATTTTGAAGTTAAACTAAATTTTGGTACCATACCAACTGGAATTTAGGCTTTAAAAATAATGTTTCAAGGCCAGGTGTGGTGATTCATGCCTGAAATCCCACTACTTTGGGAGGCTGAGGCTGGAGAATCGCTTGAGGCTAGTGAGCTGTGATTGTACCACTGCACTCCAGCTCGGGGAACAGAGCGAGACCTTGTCTCTAAAAATAATAATAGTAATAAAAATAACGTTTTATGACTATTTATTGCAAGGTCAGATTTACAGATTGTTATAAATTGTTGAGAAATTTTTGTGATTAGAATATGAAGGAAAAAGCTTTGTTGGTAAAAGTGACATGTTAAGGGGCTATGAAGTAAATATGCTGCAGTTAATTGTGCTAAGTTAAAATACAGTTTAGTTATTTGCTTTAAAATAAACTCTTCTTTTTTTCTTTAAAGTATACTACCTCAAAACTCATTATGTTGTCAGAGCCCTAGAGCTGGCTAGTGTAACACTGACTATGAGTAGGTGGGCCCACCACTTGAGTTGAGGTGATTTCATGGTGTCTTTCCAGGCTCTTGATAGGGTGTCACTGCATGCAAGCCATGAATCTGTTTTGAGAATCCTCTCCATTTTCCCAAATAAAAACCTATCCCAACAGTGACTATATCACTCAGCATTGGATCTAAATATAAAAGTGGTGCTTTCAGTGTTTTTGGCAGATAGTGTTCCATAACCTTTCCATCAGAAGGGATTTTAGACACCTTAGAGGTCCGTGCTACATCTTCACAGTTCCTCCGAATAACCTTAGGTGGTAGTGTTACTTGCCTTTGACACCTGTGCATATGTTTTAATGACTAGATCCAAACTGTGTTGTTCTTAAATCAAAAATTGGATAATTTTTAATATTTATGTATTAATCACACAGTGTGCTCTCTGAAGTTCTCTTAAGCCTTCAGTTTATACTCTTAATTTTCTTTCTGAGCTGGGGAACTGACTTTGCACTTTGGTTACACAGAACATTGGTTTCCAATTTAGTTTAACTGAAATTTGCTGCTGATATGTTGAGTTTGTTCTTTAAAAAATATCTCATATATCTCGTCTTTCCTCCTTAGAAGAACAGACCTAACTAGCGAATGTATGAATGAAAATGCATCTATTTCAGAGCCGACATGAAGAGTTTAGTTTTTTTACTTTATAAACTGTGAATATGAGTATGCCAGCTGCATTAGATGTAACTAATCATATTTAAATATATTTCACTTTGACTTTAGACCTTTTGAAGTCTGTATAAACTTGTTTTGAAATACAGTCTCCACTTACGAATGTCATAACAAAATACTTTTTTGCATGATAAAAAATTACTTTGATTACAAAAGGCATATTCTTTCATGGTTTCTGCAATGAGAGGAAGTGTAATGATTATTTTAATATTTCTATTAAAACTGTATATTTTTATGGCTGCTCTTTTATGTTACCCACTGTCTCTTTGGGGTTGTTAATTGGTTTCTGAAAGGGAACTTCAAACTCCTTTACTACTGGCCTTCCATGGTTGGTCCCTATTAGGTTGTTGTGAGAACGTCGACCAACTCTTTGATACCCGCCAGGTAGACCGTAGTACCTGCCATGTCTGACACCCTGCATCCAGCTAAAACCAGAAACAGCGCTGGGCCTCCCTGTGGACAAGACATTGATTTGACCAGAAGCAGATGTCTGGCTAAGGCTGCCAACCAAAGGGTGGCCTTAGATGAAGGGCTTTGTTCAGTTAGGGGCAGAGGTCATTAATTTTTTTTTTTTTTTTTGAGACAGAGTCTTGCTCTGTCGCCCAGGCGTGAGTGCAATGGCGCGATCTCGGCTCACTGCAAGCTCTGCCTCCCAGGTTCACGCCATTCTCCTGCCTCAGCCTCCTAAGTAGCTGGGACTACAGGCGCCGGCCACCATGCCCGGCTAATTTTTTGTATTTTTACTAGAGACAGGGTTTCACCGTGTTAGCCTGGATGGTCTCGATCTCCTGGAGGTAATTTATTTCTTTGGATGTTTGGACTAGGAGATGGGGAGAGGCAGAGCAGAAAGAGAAACACAGATGCCACAAGGAGGAGGAACAGAGCTAACCCTGGATAGGACTGGACACAGCAGCCAGACCAAGAGAGGCATCTAGTGAGAAGCAGCTCTTCAGCCCTGGGCCTGGTGCACACATCACTCCTTGGTTTCTAAGAACCAAATTTGGCCCAGCACAGTGGCTCATGCCTGTAATCCCAGCACCTTGGGAGGCCAAAGCGGGTAGATCATGAGGTCAAGAGATCAAGACCATCCTGGCCAACATGGTGAATCCCCGTCTCTACTAAAAACACACAAAAAATCAGCTGGGCATGGTGGTGTGCACCTGTAGTCCTAGCTACTTGGGAAGCTGAGGCAGGAGAATCACTTGAACCCAGGTGGCAGAGTCCAGTGAGCTGAGATCACACTACTGCACTCCAGCCTGGCGACAGAGTGAGACTCTGTCAAAAAAATAAAGCCAAATTCATACAGTCCCTGAGGAGTGGGAACTGATGCACATCTCTTGCATACAATAAGCTATGCTTGTGCTCTGAACAGTGTAAGATTGAGAATTGTATTCCTTTAAAGAAAGTTCGGCAGAACTGTAACTGAATTACTAACAAGGCACTGAGAAGGCATACCGTACTTTGTATGGTATTTGGCGAATGGCATAACACATCAAAAAATTGGTTGTATCATATGATTAAATTGCAACGTGATGATTTCAACTTGGTGGAAGACTTCTGCTTCGTCTTGGTATGTGAAAATCCCCTTTGCTTCAAACTTAATACACACCAAGGAAAACAACCTGATACAAGTTTGCAAGTGTCTTTGAGCTAATGGCTTTTCGTGGGTATTAAAAAGCATTGGGTTATTTATGTATAATTACGTAGAAAGAAAATGTTTGTTCCATTCAAGATACGGTTACACAAAAAGTCATCTAGTTGTGACCTTCAAATTATTACTTATATACCTACAGAAAATTCCTATAAATAGGCTGGGCGCGATGGCTCACACCTGTCATCCCGGCACTTAGGGAGGCCAGGGTGGGCAGATCACCTGAGGTCAGGAGTCCAAGACCAGCCTGGCCAATATGGTGAAAACTTGTCTCTACGAAAAATACAAAAATTAGCCAGGCATGTTGGCCCATGCCTGTAGTCCCAGCTACTCAGCAGGCTGAGGTAGGAGAATCGCTTGAACTCGGGAGGGGAGGCTGCAGTGAGCCAAGATCACACACCACTGCACTCCAGCCTGGGCAACAAAGTGAGACCCCCATCTCAAATAAGGAAAGAAAATTCCTATGAAGAAACACTATACCTCTGAGTTTCAATAATAGAGATGATTAACCCAGTTTCCCTGCAAGGATGTGCTCACTGTGAACAGATGTAGTGGTTACCACTCCAGATGTCTGCCTAGCATTTGAGACAACAGTCTCTGTCACCCCTGCCTCTCTCTGGGAACTTCTGCCCCACCACCATACAGAGGGGCAGTAGGCCCAGCCATAATCAACTGAAACAGACACAGAGTTATGACCTGAGCCTAGGCAATTAGGTTTTCTCAGGAATATGGATCTGGGACTAAAGAACTCAGCATCTTCCTGTGACTGGAGTTGTAGCATGTAAGTACAGAAGCTTTGGAGTGCCCAGAAAGAGCAGAGAAAGCCAAGAGAGTGCCAGGTTTAAGTTGACATAAGAGGTCAACAAAATCGTGAAGTGAGTGTTCTGGGGACCTGAGAGTCAAGGGACTGGATTCTGTACAATGTCTCTGCATCATCATAGTAAACTTCCTACACATGCTTTGAAAGTAAATATCAGATAATTTGGAGCACAGTATAATGGTAAAGTATAAACTGTGAACTTACACAAGGACACCACAATTTCTGCCTCACTGACGAATAACTTGGGGCATGTTCTTGACTGCTCTGAGCCCCCATTTCTTTATCTGTAAAAAGGAAATAAATTACATAGTTGTGAGTTATTGGATGACATAATAAAACCCAGCACAGAGGGCTGGGCGCAGTGGCTCACGCCTGTAATCCCAGCACTTTGGGAGGCCACGGTGGGCGTATCACAAGGTCAGGAGATCGGGAGCATCCTGGCTAACACGGTGAAGCCCCGTCTCTACTAAAAATACAAAAAATCAGCCAGGCATGGTGGCAGGTGCCTGTAGTCCCAGCTACTTGGGAGGCTGAGGCAGAAGAATGGCGTGAACCCAGGAGGCGGAGCTTGCAGTGAGCCGAGATTGCGCCGCTGCACTCCAGCCTGGGCGACAGAGCAAGACCCCATCTCAACAAAAAAAACAAAAAAAAAAAAACCCAGCACAGAGTAGGCATGCCAGCATTCTCTCACTTCTCAGCCTGCAAAAAGATTTACCAATTTACCTCATTTTCTTCTGTTCCTTGTTCTGACCTCAGTGCATGACCCACAGCACCAAGTGTTACTGTCGTTTATGAGTGAACAATTGTGTTAATAAGGAAATAAATTGAATGTTTTCCAGCATTTTGACCTTATTTTTTAAAACTTTGTACCTCCCAGAGCTGGGAAGAGATTCCAGATTTCCAGACTTAGTCCAGAGTCATGACTAATGCTGGACTTCGTCTATAGCTCTTATTGAAATGTCAGAAAACATTTTTTGCCCCAAAAACTATTAACTGATAAATTTATAGCATCAAACTGCATTTTTTAAAGGAGGCTTTTTGTTTTTTCTTTTTTGAGAGAGAGAGAGAGTCTTGCTCTGTCACCCAGGCTGGAGTGCCTTGGCATAGTCTCAGTTCTCTGCAATCTCTGCCTCCTGGTCTCAGGTGATTCTCCTGCCTCAGCCTCCCAAGTAGCTGGGACTACAGGTGTGCACCACCACATCTGGCTAATTTTTGTTTGTTTTTGGTAGAGACGAGGTTTTGCCATGTTACCTAGGCTGATCTTGAACTCCTGGACTCAAGTGATCCACCCACCTCGGCCTCCCAAAGTGCTGAGATTTCAGGTGTGAACCACCACACCTGGCCAAAAGAGACTTTTTTTTTTTTTTTTTTTTTTTTTTTTTTTTTGAGATGAGTGTCGCTCTGTCGCCAGGCTGGAGTACAGTGGCATGGTCTCAGCTCACTGCAACCTCCACCTCCTGGGTTCAAGTGATTCTCCTGCCTCAGCCTCCCGAGTAGCTGGGACTATAGGCACGCGCCACCACGTCCAGCTAATTTTTTGTATTTTTAGTACAGATGGAGTTTCACTGTGTTAGCCAGGATGGTCTCGATCTCCTGACCTCGTGATCTGCCCACCTTTGTCCCCCAAAGTGCTGGGATTACAGGCGTGAACCATCGCGCCCAGCCCATGCCCGGCTAATTTTTTTTTTTTTTTTTTTTTTGGATTTTAGTAGAGACAAGGTTTCACCATGTTGCCCAGGCTGGTCTTGAACTCCTGAGTGCAGGCAATCTGCCCACCTCACCCTCCCAAAGTGCTAGGATTACAGGTATTTGGTTTTTTGTTTGGTTTTCAAGCAACCTTTCTAAATTTTGCTATGCTCACTCTTTCTTCACATGTTGGTACTGGCTAGATACAGATTTTGCTTTCCTATTGGAGACTCTTTTGAGAGCTGGCTATCCCCTCTTGCTCCTTTTCTTTTTTCTCTTCCCTACTTTCAAGTTTCTTGCTCTTTTTCTTACCCCATAAGTTACCAGAAATTCATACCCCCTTGAGAGGGCTTTTTGTTTGAACTTCAGTCTTTAGTTTCGTCAACTTTTCTAAGGCAATTGATCTGTTAATGAAAGTTGGCTTGCTTGACTTCAGAATATCTGTATTATTCAGTGATGTGTTTTTCTGGTTGCTTTGTTTGAGCACAGTGTAAATATCACCCATTGCATAGCTTTGGCAGTGACATAAATCTGGCAGCGTAAGATCGAGAAAAGCTAGAAGTCTCACCACAGATTGTATTTCAGTGAAAGGGATTCTTTTTAACTGCTTATAAAACTAAAGAAAACCTATAAACATGGAAAACAATTATTAAACCCACCATATGCTCATACTGATATTAAATGGTGTGACAGATTCTAGAAAGAGTTACCTTTTGGTAAGAGCACTGCTTGTTAACTATAGTTGATTGCTTTAGATGTCTAGTGTGTACACAAAAGCATGAATTTTATTCCTTATAACCAAAGTAGAAACCTACTCTGAGCAATTTGACAAAAGGTTTACATTATTTATTTTAGTGTAGTTTAAGATTACAGTAAGATACAATTCCCAAAGAGTGAAATATAAGGCTGGGCGTGGTGGATCACGCCTGTAATCCTAACACTTTGGGAGGCTGAGGCGGGTGGATCACCTGAGGTCAGGAGTTCGAGACCAGCCTGGCCAACATGACAAAACCCCGTATCTACTAAAAATACAACAATTAGCCAGACGTGGTGGTGCGCACCTGTAATCCCAACTACTAGGGAGGCTGAGGCAGGAGAATCACTTGAACCTGGTGGGGCGGAGGCTGGAGTGAGCTGAGATCATGCCATTGCACTCCAGCCTGGGCACACTCGCAAAAAAAAAAAGTGCAATATAGCTTTTCACAAAATATGGAACTGTGGTAGTGTAGAACAATGTCTCAATATACCTCCTACACTAAGTATAATAGTAAATATCTGTATTTGGTGGCATAATATGTTCTTAGTATAAACCAAAAACACATGCTGAGCATTGGACATTGTCCAATGTTTAATTCATATGATTCATTCTGAGTTTCTGACTGAGATCATTCTTTCAGACTATGTCTATTTGTCCTGGGACCCATAAAATATGCAGCCCTAACATGATTTCATTTTTGTTTCCTTTCCTGGAAAAGGAGAAATCATTCAGATCAGCTTTCATATTGCCTTATAGACGATGACTTCAAAATAGTTTGAAAGGGACTCCTTTGTTCTAGAACTGCTCTAACACAGTAGCCACTAGCCACATGTGGCTATTGAAAGATTGAAATGTGGTTATTCCAAATCAGGATGTACAGTAAATATAAAATACACACCAGATTTCAAAGGCTTACATGAAAAAAGTAATGTGAAATATCTCACTAGTAGTTTTTATAGTGATTACATGTTGAAATTTTAACATTGTGAACATATTAGTTTAAATAAAATGTATTGTGAAAATTAATTCCATGTTTCTATTTACTTTTGATAAAAGTACTACTAGAGGCTGGGTGTGGTGGCTCACTCCTGTAGTCCCAGCACTTTGGGAGGCTGAGGTGGGAGGATCACGAGGTCAGGAGACCGAGACCATCCTGGCTAACACGGTGAAACCCCGTCTCTACTAAAAACACAGAAAATTAGCCAGGAGTGGTGGCAGGCGCCTGTAGTCCCAGCTACTAGGGAGGCTGAGGCAGGAGAATGGCGCGAACCTGGGAGGCGGAGCTTGCAGTGAGCTGAGATCGTGCCACTGCACTCCAGCCTGGGCTTCAGAGCGAGACTCCGTCTCAGAAAAAGAAACACTACTAGCACATTTTTAAATTACTTGTAGTGATCTCATTTGTACCACATTACATTTCAATCGTATACTGCTTTTCTAAAGAGTCACTGCTAAGCCCTGAAATTAACTCCAAATACCTCCCTGGAATACAGTGCCAAGGCAGGGGCTTCCTTGAACTTCAACCTCCAAAAGTAAGCAAGAATTGAGAAATATCTTCTGCTTTGAAAAATATTCACTCCCCAACCCTAATACATCAATTACATATTATTTGGGGGCTAACTAAGCTCCTGTTTTAAAATGTAAATTGAAGAAATTAGGCCAGAGTCATTCCCATCTTAGTGCCAATCATATAATCAGATAATTAGATTGCTCTTTCCCTAAAGCCTGTTTAGTTTTCTTGTTTGCTGGTTTTGTTGTTGTTGGGTTTTTTAATTTGTTTTTGTTGTTGTTGTTGTTGTTTTGAGATGGATACTCACTGTGTCACCCAGGCTAGAGTGCAGCGGCATGATCTCTGCTCAGTGCAACCTCCAACTCCTGGGTTCAAGCGATTCTCCTGCCTCAGCCTCCTGAGTAGCTGGGACTATAGGTGCATGCCACCACGCCCGTCTAATTTTTTTGTTGTTTTGTTTTTTTTTTGTTGTTTTTTTTTGTTTGTTTTGAGACAGTCTCGCTGTTTCCCAGGCTGGAGTGCAGTGGCACGATCTCGGCTCACTGCAACCTCCACTTCCGAGGTTCAAGCAATTCTCCTGCCTCAGCCTCCCAAGTGGCTGGGACTACAGGTGCATGCCATTATGCCTGGCTAATTTTTTGTATTTTTAGCAGAGATGGGGTTTCGCCATGTTGGCCAAACTGGCCTCAAACTTCTGGCCTCAGGTGATCCAGCCGTCTCAGATCAAAGTGCTGGGATTCCAGGCATGAGCCACCACTCACAGCTCGCTAAGGCCTTTTGCCAAGACAAATTAGCTCTTAGAGAACCACAGGATTCCTCTTGTAATGTATTACAAACTAAAGTCTTACCTGCTCTTGAAGAGTAGAAAACATGAAAAAGTTCTGTTAGCCCTTAGAATAATTAAAAATTCATAAGCTCTGAAATAAATACAGGTAATAAAGGTAATAAAATTATTGCCTATGACAAAACAAAAGTTTAAATTGGCGTTTGTAAACTCTGCACGAAAGCCAGGTTTCTCACTACTAGAAAAAGAAAAAAAGTTATAAATAAGCCAAGAATTCCAGAATGAATCCTGTGGTGCCAAATATATGTTAACTACAAGGAATAACAGTGACCTTACACTGGAAACACCTTAACCATGGGCCAAGGTTAAAGATATAACAGCATTCTCACACCCCTTGCACAGCTACCCCCAATGTTAACATAACTGTTAATAAATTATCAAAACTAAGAAATTAGTCTTGGTATAGTATCACTAACTACACTCCAGACCTCAGTCAGGTTTTCCCAGTCTTTCCTTCAGTGTCCTTCCTCTGTTTCAGGATTCAATCCATGATCCTTGACACTTGGTACTTTGTCAGATGTCCTGCTATATGGGTTTGTTTGATGTTTTCCCATGATTAGGGATAGACACTGCAAGACTCAGAGCTACTTTACAAAGAAGCCTCTAGGGAGCTCCCCAGAGAAGACAGGGGAGACAACACAGGGACACTAGAGGAAATTTTAGCCTCTGACATCCATGACTATATAGCAAAGAGTAAACAAAGCCTAACTCCTAGCCAGAGAAATACAAAATCTCATACTAAAGCCTTATTTAACTCAGTTCCTTTCACCCAGTACATCATATACAGCCTCAAACAAAAAATTACAAAGCATACTAAAAGACAAGAAACCCCACACTTTGAAGAGACAGAGCAAGCATCAGAACCAGACTCAGATATGAAAGAAATATTGGAAGTGTCCAACCAGGAATTTAAAATAACTAAGATTAACATGCTAGGGGCTCTAATGTAAAAACAGCATAACATGCAAGAACAGATGGGTAATGTAAGCAAAGAGATAAAAACACTAAGAAGAAATAAAAATGAAATACTAGAAATAAAAAACACCATAACAGAAATGAAGAATGCCTTTGATGGGTTCATCAAAAGAATGGATATGGCCAATGAAAGAATCAGTGAGCTTGAAGAGATGTCAATAGATACTTCAAAAGCTGACACACAATGAGAAAAAAGAATGAAAAAGAAAAAACAGAACAAGAGTCAAGAACTGTGAGACAATTACAAAAGGTGGAACATGGAGACTTTTTGGAAATACCAGAAAGAGAAGAAAAAGAGAAAGAAAGCTGGGCGTGGTGGCTTATGCCTATAATCCCCACACTTTGGGAGGCTGAGGCGGGCAGATCACAAGGTCAGGAGATCGAGACCATCCTGGCTAACACGGTGAAACCCTGTCTCTACTAAAAATACAAAAAATTAGCAGGGCATGGTGGCAGGCGCCTGTAGTCCCAGCTACTAGGGAGGCTGAGGCAGGAGAATGGCGCGAACCTGGGAGGCGGAGCTTGCAGTGAGCTGAGATCGTGCCACTGCACTCCAGCCTGGGCAACAGAGCAAGACTCCGTCTCAAAAAAAAAAAAAAGAAAGAAAGAAAGAAACAGAAGAAACATTTGAAGCAACAGTGACTGAAAATTTCCCCAAATTAATGATATATAAAGATATGGTCTGAATGTTTGTGTCTCCTCAAAAGTTATATTGAAACTTAATCCTCAATATGATAGTACTGAGGTGGGGCTTTTGGGAGTCAATCAGGTTATGAGGGCTCTATCCTCAGGACAGAGATTAGTGCACTTATGAAAGAAGCCCCAGGGAATTAGCTAGCCCCTTACACCATGTGAGGACAAAGCCAGAATGTGCCATCTATGAGGAAGGAGGGCCTCACCAGACACTGCTAGTGCCTTGGTCTTGGACATCACAGCCCCTAGAACTGTGAGAAATAAATTTCTGTTGTTTATAAACTCTCCAGTTTATGAAATTTTTGTCACAGCAGCCCAAATGAACTAAGGTAGACATAAAGGAACAGATCCAGGAAGCTCAAAAAACACCATATAGGATAAATAACAAAAATGTTACATCGAGGTATATCTTTTTTTTTTTTCCTAAGATGGAGTTTCGCTCTTGTTGCCCAGGCTAGAGTGCAATGGTGCAATCTCAGCTCACTGCAGCCTCTGCCTCCTGGGTTCAAGCGATTATCCTGCCTCAGCCTCCCAAGTAGCTGGGATTACAGACCCCCGCCACTAAGCCCAGCTAATTTTTTGTATTTTTAGTAGAGATGGGGTTTCACTATGTTGGCCAGGCTGGTCTTGAACTCCTGGCCTCAGGTGATCTGCCTGTCTTGGCCTCCCAAAGTGCTGGGATTACAGGCATGAGCCACTAGGCCTGCCTAAGTATATCTTATCTAGACACAGATCTCAATCCTTTCACAAAAATTAACTCAAAAGGGATCATAGACCTAAATGTAACATGCAACACTACAGAATTCCTAGAAGATAACATAGGAGAAAACTCAGGTGACCTTGGATTTGGTGATGACTTTTTAGATATAACATCAAAAACATGACTCATAAAAGAAAAAATTGGTAAGTTGGACTTCACTAAAATTAAATTTTTCTGCTCACACAGGACACTGTTAAGAGAATGAAAAGGTAAGCCATTAAATGGGAAAAAATCTTTGCAAAAAAATAGTTCTTTATATATGATATATAATAATATATATCATATATAATATTATATATATATATATTCTGAAAAAGGCAAAACCATAGAAACAGTAAGAAGTTCAGTGGTTGCCAGGAGTTAGGTGTTGGGGGCGGGGAGGGTGGATAAATGGTGGAGAACAGCTGATTTTTAGGGTAGTGAAACTATTCTGTTTCTGTAATGATGAATACATGTCATTATACATTTGTCAAAACCCATAGACTATACAACACCAAGAATGAACTCTAATGTAATCCACAAAGCACTATTGTTAACAAAGCTTTAATAATGGCTCATCAATTATAACAAATGTACTATAACTAATGCAAGATGTTAATAATAAGGGAAACGGGGGTGGGAGGGTTTGGGGTAAGAGGGCATATGGGAATTCTCTTCTGTTTGCTCACTTTTCTGATAAGCTGTAATTGTTCAAACAATAAAATGTATTATTAATAGTTTTCAAAAATTCACTCAATGGGCTACATAGCAGAATGCAGATGACAATGATAGGAGTTTGTGAACTTGACGACAGATTAGAAATGGTAGACCTAAATCCTACCAAATCAATAATTACATTAAATGTAAATGGTCTAAATATACCAACTGTAATGCAGAGATTGTCAGACTACATTAAACAGACAAGACCTGAGTACATGCTATTTATAAGAAAATCACTTTCAATATAAAGACTTAATTGATTAAAAGAATGGGCTGGGCTTGGTGGCTCACACCTGTAATCCCAGCACTTTGGGAGGCCAAGGCAGGCAGATCAAGAGGTCAGGAGACCGAGATCATCCTGGCTAACACGGTGAAACCCCGTCTCTACTAAAAATACAAAAAATTAGCCAGACATAATGGCACGCACCTGTAGTCCCAGCTACTTGGGAGGCTGAGGCAGGAGAATCGCTTGAACCTCAGAGGTGGAGGTTGCACTGAGCTGAGATCATGCCACTGCACTCCAGCCTGGGTGACAGAGTGAGACTTCATATCAAAAATATATATATAGAAAAATAAAATTAAAAGTGGAAAAATGCAAATACTAATCAAAGGAAATTAGGCTGGGTGTGGTAGCTTACACCTGTAATTCTAGCACTTTGGGAGGCCAAGGCAGGAAGACTTCTTGAGGCTAGGAGTTCCAGACCAGCCTGGGCAACAGAATGAGATCCCTTCTCTACAAATGAAAAAAAAAAGTTTAAATAGCCCAGCATGGTGGCATGCATGGTATAATGTACCCTAGCTACTTGGGAGGCTGAGGTGGGAGGATCGCTTGAGCTCAGTAGTTTGAGGTTACAGCAAGCTATGATCACACCACTGCACTCCAGCCTGGGCAACAGAATGAGACCCTGTATCTAAAAAAATAAGCAAAAGAAAAAGGAAATGAGAGTGTCTATATTAATATCAAAGTAGACTTCAAACAAAGATGATTACCATGAATAAAGAAGGATATTACATAATTATTAAAGGGTCAATTCAACAAGAAGACATAACAATCATAAATGTGTAAATATAATTCCATAGTAAAAGGAATCAGGAGGCTTGAGAGATGCTTATTTCAGGTCTGGGGTAAGGAATGTACAAAGTGAACCAGGACTAATGAAGTTATATTAAAACTCCAAAAGACGAAAAGAGTCATTTAAAAGACTAATGGAGTCATATGAAAAGGTCCCAGGAGCCAACAGAAAGGACTCCCCTTGGCCAAATCTGGAACATTTTGACAGTTTGAGCATCAATAAGAGTAATGAACCATAATTGACTAGAAGACATTTAAAGCATAAAAATTCTTGAGTCCATAATCATACTCAATAAAGATGAAAACAAACCATCTTAATCATCACTGATGGGGGTGGCTGTTATTCAAGTTCTTATTCTAAAACTTGGTAATTAAAGGTAAGTAAAGAATAATGTATTCTTTCTCTGCAGTGGAACTAAGTTTTAGATACAAAATAACCCCAGTGGATGAGGGAAAGTTCTTTAGAGGTAAGAATGACAGTTAATAAATGTAGAAAAAAAAAGATAATTTAATCACCATTTTGCAACTTCTAATTAAGTAACTGATCTGAGAAAGAATCATTACTGCATGCTAAAACCATTAAGGGAAAGATGTCAAAGATCTCAGTGTTCCAACCCATAGAATACTTTCCAGTGGCAAGAAGATAAATCGATAGTTAACCCTATAATCTTAGAATCTCTAATAGTGGGTACACTAGATATTATGTGAAGAAAATGGCATCAGGCTGGGCGTGGTGGCTCATACCTGTAATCCCAGCACTTTGGGAGGCAGAGGTGGGTGGATCACCTAAAGTCAGGAGTTCGAGACCAGCCTGGCCAATATGGTGAAACCCCATCTCTACTAAAAATACAAAAACTTTCAGGGCATGGTGGCGAGCACCTGTAATCCCAGCTACGTGGGAGGCTGAGGCAGGAGAATCACTTGAACCCAGGAGGCGGAGGTTGCAGTGAGCCGAGATCGTGCCACTGCACTCCAGCCTGGGTGACGAGAGTGAAACTGCATAAGAAAGAAAAGAAAAGAAAAGAAAGAAAGAAAGAAAGAAAGAAAGAAAGAAAGAAAGAAAGAAAGAAAGAAAGAAAATGATATCAATGGTGAAGAATTGTTGTCCAACATGTTTAATGTAATTGTGTTCAAGCCTAAAATTCTGCTTTACTGGAAATAAAAGAGAATACAGTTAAAGGACACCATGAGGAAACAATCAGATAAATACAGAAAGTGAGAACATTGACCCAACTTCTGTAAGTCAACTGGCTAGGTCTCTCCAATAAGTTCAAAGTCAAGAAAAAAAAGGGGGGGCCAGGTACTACACTTGATTTTTAAAAAGCTTAGAGACAAACAATGAAATGCAACCTATGCTCCTTAATTAGAACCCTATTTAAACAAACCAGCTCTCAAAGACATTTTTTGGGGTCAAAAAGGGAAAGGTGAATATAGTCTGGTTATTAGAGAACATTTAGAAAGCACTGTTACTTGTATTAGGTGTGAAAATTGTGTGATTATATTGTGAAAGAATTCCTTCTTTAAAAAAGATGCATTCTAAAGTATTTAGGGGTGAAAAGTTTAAAGTAATTTACTTCAAACTACAGTGAAAAAAATTTAAACACTGCAAAATATTAACTGCTAAATCTAGATGGTGGCTTTATAATATTCATAGATGAACATATTTCCTTTAAATTTCTATGTGCTTAAAATTTTTCATGTTAAGTAATATATGTATTACACTGGGATACATATAACTATGATTGACAGAAAATAACACTAAAAGTGCAAGATCACTGATTCTGTCTAGGAAGTAGGATTATAGGGACTTCAATTTTCAAGTTAGCTTTTTTTTTTTGAGACGGAGTCTTGCTCTATCGCCCAGGCTAGAGTGCACTGGCGCAATCTCAGCTCCCTGCAAGCTTCGCCTCCCGGGTTCACACCATTCTCCTGCCTCAGCTGGGACTACAGGCACCACCACCATACCCGGCTAATTTTTTTTGTATTTTTAGTAGACACAGGGCTTCACCGTGTTAGCCAGGATGGTCTCGATCTCCTGACCTCAGGTGATCTGCCCACCCTGGCCTCCCAAAGTGCTGGGATTACAAGCGTGAGCCACTGTGCCCAGCCAGAAAAGAATATTTTTTAAAAAAGAAAATCCATAATCGTAGTAACATTTTCTAGATGGAAAAAACAAGAAAGAAAAATAGAAAATTAGGTACAGAAGGTAAGTTCCATTCAGCTGTGCTCAATTTTGGTAACATATTAAACATGGTCAAACGCTTCCTCATATTCCATGTCCCCCTTCCCACCACATACCATGGCAGTTTTTTCAGATGAATAAAAACAAAAGCTATGGACATGAATGCATTACCGAATGTCAAACTTGCGATGACCTGGCTCAAGCAGCAGAGGGTGCTCAAGATATTTCTGGATCACGTGCACTGGGCCCTGGTTGTCTATGAAATGGAGAAGCTCTGAAGCCTCTGAGGAGATGAGAATGCCTTCACCTAACAGGGAAAAAGCAAAAGAGAAACCAATCCAATTCAAACCAAGAGCTCTCTATAAAGCCAGAAAGGAAATACGAACAGCAAAAACCCCACAAGAGGCTTTCAATGTCCTGCTCACCTTTTTCCCTCCCTTCCTTACTCCAGTCCCCCACATGCTCCCTTCTCCCCTCAAGAGCACCCAGGATTATCCTACCAACTCTTTCTCCATACAGGTGTCAACGCTATCTTGGCTGGCTACAACCATGAAACGTCAGTTTTACAGAAATTCGTAGTGCCTAAGCACTCAAAATAAATACCATTCTAGTACTAGTCACTGGCTACCACAATAAAGACTATAACAACAATAAATCCCCTTCCTTCACTATATCTTATAGAACTACCAGGAAGATAAAGGCATAAAGATGAATGTTCAAGTACGTCCCTTGCAGCATTGCAATAGAAAAAACTGGATACATTGGAATTGTCCATTAACATTAAATAATTGATATATCCTTTTTAATAGCTTGAAGTATAATTCATATACCAAAAAATTTATCCTCTTAAAGTGCACAGTTCAATGGCTTTGAGTATATTCAAGAGTTTTAAACCATTACTACAGTTTTTGTTGTTATTTCTTTGTTTGTTTGTTTGTTTTTGAGATGGAGTCTCACTCTGTCGCCCAGGATGGAGTGCAGTGGCGCAATCTCAGCTCACTGTAACCTTCGCCTCCTGGATTCAAGCAATTCTCCCACCTCAGCCTCCCAAGTAGCTGGGATTACAGGTGTGCACCACCATGCCTGGCTAATTTTTGTATTTTTAGTACATATGGGGTTTCACCATGTTGGCCAGGATGGTCTTGGTCTTCTGACCTCGTGATCTGCCTGCCTTGGCCTCCCAAAGTGCTGGGATTACAGGTGTGAGCCACCATGCCCGGCCTACTACAGTTTAATTTTAGAACGGTTTCACCACTCCCCCCAAAAAAACTCTGTACCTATTAGCAGTCACTCACTACTCCCTCCTCACCCCAGCTTCTGACAACCACTAATCTACTTTCTGTATGTATGGATGTCTCATCTGGACATTTCATATAAATGGAATCACACAGTATGTGGCCTTTTGTGTCTAATTTCACTTAGCACAAAGTTTTCAAGGCTCATCCCCATTGTAGTGTGTATTAGCATCATGTTCACTCCTTTCTATGGCTGAAGAGTCATTTTTGTTCATTTAGTCATCAATTGATGGACGTTTGCATTGGTTCCATTCTTGTCTGCCTCTTATGAATAATGCTGCTATAAGATTTGCATACAAGTTTTTGTGAACATATATTTTCAATTCTCAGGAATACTAGGTATGCAGGTGTGTGCCACCACATTGGCTAATTTTTGTATTTTTTTGTAGAGCTGGGGTCTTACTGTTTGCTCTTTTTCTAATTGGATTGTGTGTCTGTTGTTGTTTACTGTTAAGTTTTGAAAGTTGTTTACATATTCTAGATCTGAGTCCCTTGTCATATGTATGACTTAAAAATCCTTTCACCCAGTTTGTAACTCATTTTTATACTCTAATGAGGTGTTTCATAGAGCAGAAGTTTTATTTTGATGAGGTTCAATTTATCAATTTTTACTTTTATGGATTATACTTTTGGAGTCAAGCTCAAGAACTCTTTGCCAAGCCCTATCTCCTCTTTTCTGAAAAATTATTAGGTCCACGATCCATTTTGAGTTAGTTTTTGTATGAGGTGTGAAGCTTATGTTGATGTTCATTTTTCTGCCTGTTGATATCCACCTTATCTAGTACAATTTGTTGAAAAGTTTATCCTTCCTCTATTGAATGGCTTTTGCACCTTTTTCAAATATCAGATGGGCATATATGTTTTGGTCTATTTCTGAGTTCTCTATTCTCTTCCACTGATTTATGTTTCTTCTGTTTTTGAGACAGAATCTTGCTCTGTCACATAGTGGTGTGATCTCGGCTCACTGCAACCTCTGCCCCCTGGTTCAAGCAATTCTCATGCCTCAGCCTCCCGAGTAGCTGAAAGTACAGGCATGCGCCACCACACCTGGCTAATTTTTTTTGTATTCTTAGTAGAGATGGGGTTTCACCATGTTGGCCAGGCTTGTCTTGAACTCCTGACCTCAGGTGATTCACCCGCCTTGGCCTCTGCTGGGATTTCAGCCGAGAGCCACCGTGCCTGGCCCCACTGATTTATGTTTCTATTTTTTCATGAATACTACAGTGTATTAAGTACTATAGCTCTAAAATACATCTTAATATCAGGTAGCATGTTCACTTATATTCTTCTTTTTCAAGATGTTTAAGCTATTCTAGGGCTTGTGCCTTTCCATATGAATTTTTATTATTTATTTATTGATTGAGATGGAGTCTTGGTCTTGTCGCCTAGGCTGGGCCCAAGCGATTCTTCTGCCTCAGCCTCCTAAATACCTGCAATTACAGGCGCCCTCCACCATGCCTGGCTAATTTTTGTATTTTTAGTAGGGACAGGGTTTCACCATGTTGGCCAGCCTGGTCTCGAACTCCTGACCTCCGGTGATCCACCTGCCTTGGCCTCCCAAAGTGCTGGGATTATAGGCGTGAGTCACTGCACCTGGCCTCCATGTAAATTTTTTTTTTTTTTTTGAGATGGAGTCTCGCTCTGTTGCCCAGGCTGGAGTGCAGTGACATGATCTTGGCTCACTGCAACCTCCGTCTCCCGGGTTTACGCCATTCTCCTGCCTCAGCATCCCGAGTAGCTGGGACCACAGGTGCCCACCACCACGCCCGGCTAATTTTTTGTATTTTGAGGAGAGACGGGGTTTCACCATGTTAGCCAAGATGGTCTCGATCTCCTGACCTCATGATCCACCTGCCTCGGCTTCCCAAAGTACTGGGATTACAAGTGTGAGCCACCGTGCCCGGCCCCTCCATGTAAATTTTAAAAGAAGCTCCATGTCTATACAAAAATCTTGCTAACATTTTGATAAGAATTACATAAACCTATAGACCAGTTTGGGGTGAACTGACATCTTTACTATACTGTCCTGCAATCCATGAACACAGTATGTCTGTCCATTTCTTTAGGTCCTCTTTGACTTCCTTCATAATCATTTTACTATTTTTAGCATACAGAGCCTATACATGTCTTGTTAAATTTATACCCAAGCATCACATTTTCTCTAGGGTGACTGTAAGTAGTACTGTGGTTTTTTGGGGTTTTTTTAGACGGAATTTTTGCTCTCTTGCCCAGGCTGGAGTGCAATGGTGCGATCTCAGCTCACTGCAACCTCTGCCTCCTGGGTTCAAGCGATTCTCCCACCTCAGCCTCTTGAGTAACAGGGATTACAGGTGACTGCCACCAAGCCCGGCTAATTTGTGTATTTTTATAGAGACAGGGTTTCAGCAAGTCGGCCAGACTGGTCTCGAACTCCTGACCTCAGGTGATCCGCCCGCCTTGGACTCTCAAAGTGCTGGGATTACAGGTGTGAGCCACTGCGCCCAGCTAAGTAGTTTTGTGTTTTTAACTTTGGTTTCCACATGTTCATTGTTGGCATATAAAAATGTGATTAAGTTTTGTGTGTTGCTCTCATATCCCATAATATGGCTGAACTCACTCTTTAGTGAGTTGTCACCACTTCTTATTTTAACCATTTTAATAAAAGTGTAGTGACAGCTCGCTGTGGTTTCAGTTTGCTAGAATCTTCTGATCTATGCTTTAGATTTATAGCTGATTTCTACCTGGATCTCATGCTTTCTTTATAAATGAATTCAATTCAGTTCATTAATTCAATGATCCACCTTTCCCAAACGTTAACGCCCTTTTCAACTATCTTCTTCCTGTCACTTGTTCGACCATCTGGTGAGCTTCTTGAACAAGAAACTGCAAATCAACCTGGAAAAGCTCCCTTCTTCTCTTTCCCTACACACATGACTCATGCTGTTTCATCTCCCTTAGGAATCAGACTCAGATTTTTTGATACAACAGTATCAAAAATTATAAAATAAATTTGAATTTTATGTATCGTTTTATACCTATAAAATAAGAAAACAAAAATGGTGATACTTTTAGTAGAAGTTCGTCATGAACTGCTCCCTGTTAGCTCACGGCCCTTTGAAAAAGCAAGAGGATAACACAGAGCAAGAGCCATAAAGGCTTCATATCATTTGACCAAGTAATCTCATGTTTCAAACTTACTCTAATGAAATTTTTAAGAAGAAACAAGAGTCAAGGCTGGGTGTGATGGCTCATGCCTGTAATCCCAGCACTTCGGGAGGCTTGAGGTGGGAAGATCACTTGAGCTCAGGAGTTCAAGAACAGCCTGGGTAACATAGTGAGACTTCATCTCTACTAAAAATCAAAAAATTAACAGGGTGTGGTGGTGCACGGCTGTCGTCCCAGCTACTCAAGAGCTTGAGATGGGAGCGGGCCCGGGCACGGTGGCTCACGCCTGTAATCCCAGCACTTTGGGAGGCTGAGGCGGGCGGATCACGAGGTCAGGAGATCGAGACCATCCTGGCTAATGTGGTGAAACCCTGTCTCAACTAAAAATACAAAAAATTAGCCAGGTTTGGTGGTGGGTACCTGTAGTCCCAGCTACTCGGGATACTGAGGCAGGAGAATGGCCTGAACCTGGGAGGCGGAGCTTGCAGTGAGCTGAGATTGCACCACAGCACTCCAGCCTGGGCGACAGAGTGAGACTCTGTGTCAAAAAAAAAGAGGTTGAGGTGGGAGGATCGCTTGAGCCCAGGAAGTCGAGGCTGTAGTGAACTGAGATCATGCCATCTCACTCCAGCCTGGGCAACAAAGTGAGACCTTGTCTCAAACACACACACACACACACACACACACACACACATACAGACACATATATATATAAAATAAAAAATTAAAATTAAAAAAGAAACAAGGGTGATCTACAGCAAAGACATTTACTACTGTTATCTGTAATAGCGGAACAATGGGGTTGTTTCTAAACAATAATTTTCTGTTATAGATGTAGTGTGTTCCCACGCTCCAGGTGAGAGGTGAAGGTGGCTAGATTAGAGATAGGCAGTGGACATGGTAAACAGTGGCTTCATAATGGGTAGAGTTTGAAGGTTGAGCCAACTATACAAAGCATGTAGTGGGTACCAAATAAATACTTGTTTAACAAGAATAAAAGCCATTCATTCATCCTATTGATTTCATTTTATGGTTTCCAAACATAATAAATATATATCAAATATATATCTCTTCAACTCCTAAAGCAAAAAGTCTTTAGCATTTTATTCTCTCTTGACTTCCCCCTGCTGCTTGGTGTCCCTCTGAGTCTTGTCTTGGTGAGGGTCCAGGGATCACCAGGTGTCCTCACAGTGGCCATTCTGACTCCAATCCCAAACCCACCGGAGAAGGGATGTCTATTTCCTCTTCCAAATCCGTCATTTACCATTGGAACCACACTAGGGGGCAGTAGTTGAGAAAAGGTCACAAGAGGGGAGAGAGAAGTAGGTGAGATACCTGACTTGTGGCAAGAGTCCAACTCTCCCCCTTTCAGGGATACCAGTTGAGGCCTTCCTGTCTCATGGCTGGTGGAAAAGAAGGTGAGGTCCCTTCGACCCAGAACAGAAATGAGTACCAATGGCCAGATGTCTCCCAAGGCAATACAAGAAGTGAGTTCAAAGTGGAATGGTTTTTTTTTTATTTTTTGAGAAGGAGTCTTGTTCTGTCGCCCAGGCTGGAGGTGCGATCTCAGCTCACTGCAAGCTCCACTTCCCGGGTTCACGCCATTCTCCTGCCTCAGCCTCCCGAGTAGCTGGGACTACAGGCTCCCACCACCACGCCTGGCTGATTTTTGTATTTTTAGTAGAGACGGGGTTTCACCATGTTGGCCAGGCTGGTCTTGAGCTCTTGACCTCAAGCGATCTGCCCTCCTCAGCCTCCCAAAGTGCTGGGATTACAGGTGTGAGCCACTGTGCCCGGACTTTTTTTTTTTTTTTTTTTTAAAGAAAAGGTAGCATCTGTTTTCTCAGCCTGCTTCCTGCTAGAATTTTGGAGGTCCAACAATTCCTTTTTATGTTGTACTGGGTCTGCCTTTTCCACTCCAAACTGACACACAGATTTCTCAGGAAATTTGTGGGTCTTTTTGTTTGCTTGCATAATGTGTTAACTACATTAGACGAAACCCTACAAATCTCTCTGGATAAACCCTTCACTATCTTGAGCTTCTGCTGAGAGGCTGAGGAAAAATACTCTTAAGCTCCCTAGAGGTTTAATTGTTTGAGACAATCTGAGAGCAACACCCTTAATCTCTTTAAAGGGACCTTTGTGTGACTGAATATGACTGTGATCCTTTGGTCTCTCTGAGATTTTAACATTAGATTGTATATACATAGAAATAGGTAACTAATGCAGGCAGCGTTTAGCATTCTCCACTATATAGTGGATATAAACGCAATTCCCTCTCATTATTCTTTGACTTAGTGTCTTGGTGATTCTGAAGCATTTATTTTTCCATGTAATTTTTGAAATCCTTTTAGCTAGCTCAAACACATTGTGTAAGAACTGCAGCAATATCCATACATTATTAATGTTGGGAGGATTTTTATTCCTATGATAGTGAGTCTCCCCATTCAGATACGGTGTCTCTCAATGTACTTAGTTTTAACGTCCACTACAAAATTTTATTCAAGTTAAACTCATGTCCTTGATGTTATTTTTATTTCACTTTGAATTTAGTTGCTATTCAATGACATGGTTTTCCATTTCCATTTCTGATTTCTGTTCATAGAGAAAACATGTGCAACTATTTAACCAAATTTACTTATTCGTTTAAGATTGTTTTTGTTCCTTTTTTTTTTTCAAGACAGAGTCTTGCTCTGTCACCCAGGCTGGAGTGCAGTGGTGCGATCTCTGCTCACTGCAAGCTCTGCCTCCCGGGTTCACGCCATTCTCCTGCCTCAGCCTCCCGAGTAGCTGGGACTACAGGCACCCGCCACCACACCCGGCTAATTTTTTGTATTTTTAATAGAGACGGGGTTTCACCATGTTGGCTAGGATGGTCTCGGTCTCCTGACTTCATGATCTGCCCACTTCAGCCTCCCAAAGTGCTGGGATTACAGGCGTGAGCCACCGCGCCCGGCCTGTTTTTGTTTCTTTTCTAAAATATCTTGGATGGTTTTGCCTACTTTCCAACATTTAAATTGATTATTTCAATTTTTTTTTTTTTTTCTTTGAGACGGAGTCTCCCTCTGTCACCCAGGCTGGAGTGCAGTCTCGCGATCTCGGCTCACTGCAACCTCTACCTCCCGGGTTCAAGTGATTCTCCTGTCTCAGCTTCCCGAGTAGCTGGGATTACAGGTGCGCACCACCATGCCTGGCTAATTTTCTTTTTGGATTTTTAGTAGAAACGGGGTTTCACCATGTTGACCAGGCTGGTCTCGAACTCCTGACCTCAAGTGATCTGCCCACCTCGGCCTCCCAAAGTGCTGGGATTCCAGGCATGAGCCACCATGCCCGGCCCCAATTATTTCAATTTTTGATCGAATTATATTGAGTAGAATTTTGAAAAAATATGTTTAATAATGGTGGCAGCTGATATTTCAGCTTGAAACTGATGGATAAAATTGGCTCTGTGTTTTACTGTTTAGTATAAAGCTTTCTCTTGATGACGAATCATATTTAATCATTTTACTTGGAAACTTTGAAAAAAGATCAGAAACAAGCTTTTTAGTATTTATTGATTTAATCGTATTATCCTAGTTTAAATTGTTGATTTAATATATTGTGATAGTTGAATTTTTTAAAAAAATAGTCTTAACTTTTTGGACAGTTTTGTACTTACAGAAAAATTAAGAAATTCGTACAAAGAGCACCTATATGCCCTGTACTCAATTGTCTCCTATAACCAACATCTTACACGAGTATGGTGTATTTGCAACAATTACTCAACTAATATTGATTTGTTATTATTAGCTAGTGTGAATATTTTATCCAGATCTCCTTAGTTTTTGCCTAATATTATTTTCTGTTCGAGGATGTCATCCAGGACATCACATTACATTTAGTTGTCATCTGTCCTTACGCTCCGCTTGGCTGTGACAGTTTCTAAGACTTTTCTTGTTTCTGATGACCTTGACAGTTTTGGGGATACTGGTGAGATTTATTCCTGTTGATGCTGACCTTGATCACCTGGCTGAGACGGTGTCCATTACGTTTCTCCACAGAAAAGTCCCTCTTTCTTTCCCTTTCCTTACTGTACTCTTTGGAAGGAAGTCCTTATGTCAGAGGTGTTTGAACTGGAGTGACTCCATTTTGAGTGAGGGCTAGGAAAATGTGTCTGAGGCTTCCTGGGCTGCATTCCCAGAAAGTGAGGAATTCCTAGCCCCTAGATGTTTATGGTTAAGGGAACAGATTAATAATGTTTACTAAACAGATGCAGACTCGGGAGTGTCCAGATATCCCGATATCTGGAGAATAAGGGCATTCCTAATTTTGCTTTAAACATATCGATTCTTGCAAAATACAGTAATTAGGAAAATTAATGCTTTATCACAAACCCCTGTAGCAGAGCACATCTCCCCAAGATTTTTTTATCATATATATACATATGTGTGTGTATATATATATACACATATGTATGTATTTATCTCATATATACACATATGTATGTATTTATCGTGTGTGTGTGTGTGTGTATACCAACATTGTATCTACGGTGGAAGCGTTCCTCCTTTTGCTTTCAGGAACGCCCTGCTCTGTCTATGGAGTAGCTGTGCTTTCACTACTTTACTTTCTTTAATAAACTTGCTTTTGCTTTGCACTGCAGATTCATCCTGAATTCTTTCTTGTGCAAGATTCAAGAATCCTCTCTTAGGGTGTGGATCGGGATCCCGATCCCTTTCCAGCCCACACTTAAGGATTGGAGAGTTATGCTCTCCACTGTTTGAGGGTGAAATATCGACATCAATCATTTAGAATTCTTCTGCATGAGAGGTTTGTCTCCCCTATTTATTTATTTTCTCAATCATTGTTCATAGATACTTATTTCATACTTTGGATTAGAATCCAGTGTTACTTTATGGTGTTGCTCCAATCATGCCTCCTTTGGCCACTGGAAGTTCTTTCACTTGCTCCTGTGTGCCTTTGACAAACCTCCCTCAAAGTGGGTTTGGTTTTGTTTGGGAGCACTTCTTTATTTCCTGTCATTTCAAGAGATTCTGTGCTTACCTTCTCTATTCCTGCTACAGTCCTTGAATCAGCCATTTGTCCAAGGAATCCTGGTCAGTTGAGTTTGTAATGTTGAAGCACCCTCTCATTCCTCAAACCCTGATTAGTTAAGGAGTACTATTCTTTTTCCGTATCATTGGATTTCATATTCTAATAATTTGATTATAATTTTTGTGTCTGTATCCCTTTATAAAAATGGTATATACTCTAATTTTTTGATATTTCTTACTAGTTTTAAAAATTAAAGCAATGTTAGCCTTATAAGATAAACAATGAAGCTTTGCACTTTTTCCAAGTACTGAAATTGTTTAGGCATTGTAAGAATTGTTCCTTCTTTAAAGGCCAGAAAGAATTCAGGGATTAAAATCTTCTGGATCTATGACCTTTTAAAATATAGGCCTTTATTATTTCAGTCTCTCTATAGCTAATAATTCATTCAGGCTTTGTGTTTCTTCTGGGTAACTTTTGTTTATATTTTGACAAGAAATGTTTTTATTTCCCCTTCATTCCTGAAGTATAGTTCACTGGGTATAGAATTAGGATGAACAGTTCTTTTATTTTAGCCCTTGAAAATGTTAGCTATTTTCTTATTGTCCCACAAGTTCCTGGATCTCTGTTCATTTCTTTTTCAGCTATTTTCTTTTTGTCGTTCAGTTTGAGAAACTTGTAATAATCTATGTTCAAATTAATTGACTTTCCTCTGTCATCTCCATTCTGCTATTGAGCCCATTCAATGAATTTATTTTAATTATATTTTCAGTTCTAAAATTTCAAATTTTTTCCTTCTATGTCTTTTTTTTCTTGAATTGTAATTTTTAAAATTTAAGTGTGTTCAATTACTTGTTGAAGTATGTTCATGACATCTGCTTCAAAATCCTTGTCAGGGCTTTGTTGGGTATACATCATCTGAATAACACACATTTTTACCTATTAAGTAATTTCTCACCATCAACTCCCCTCCCACCCCCTCACTCTTCCAAGTCAACACTGTCTATCACTCCACACTCTATGTCCATGTGTACACATTATTTAGCTCCCACCTGTAAGTGAGAACATGCAGAATTTGTCTATGTCTGACTTTTTTCACTTAAGATAATGGCTTCCAGTTTCATTCATGTTGCTGCCAAAGACATGACTTCATTCTCTTTTTATGACTGAATAGAATTCCATTGTGTATATGTACCACATTTTCTTTATCCAATCATCTGTTGATGGATACATAGGTTAATTCCCTATCTTTTTTTTTTTTTTTTGACAGAGTCTTGTTCTGTCGCCCAGGCTGGGGTGCAATGGCGTGATCTTGGCTCACTGTAACCTCCCCCTTCTGGGTTCAAGCTATTCTTGTGCCTCAGCCATCAGAGTAGCTGGGATTACAGACATGCACCACCACGCCTGGCTGATTTTTTTTTTTTGTATGTTTAGTAGAGATGGGTTTTCACCATGTTGGCCAGGCTGGTCTCAACTCCTGGCCTCAAGTGATCCACCTGCCTCAGCCTCTCAAAGTACTGGGATTACAGGTGTAAGCCACAGCACCTGGCTGATTCCATATCTTTGCTATTGTGAATAATGCTGTGATAAACATATGAGTGCAGTTATCTTTTTGATATAATGATTTCTTTTCCTTTGGGTAGATGCCCAGTTGTGGTATTGCTAGATTGAATGGTAGTTCTATTTTCAGTTCTCCGAGAAATCTCCATACTGATTTCCATAGAGGTTGTACTAATTTACATTCTCACCAAAAGTGTATGACCTTTTCTCTGTACTCTTGCCAACATTTGTTATTTTTGTCTTTTTAATAAGTCATTCTGACTGATGTAAAATGATATCTCATTGTGGTTTTAATTAGCATTTCTCTGGTGATTTGTGATGTTAAGCATTTTTTCATATGCCTCTTGGCCATTTGTATGTCTTCTTTCAAAAGTGTCTATTCATGTCCTTTGCCTATTGTTTAATGGGATTGTTTTCTATTTTGTTGTTGTTGTTGTTGTTGCATTGTTTGAGTTCCTTGTAAATTCTGGACATTAGTCCCCTGTCATACATAGTTTGTAAATATTTTCTCCCATTCTGCAGGTTGTCTGTTCACTCTGATGATTATTTCTTTTGCTGTGCAGAAGCCTTTTAGTTTAATTAAGTCCCATTTGCCTATTTTTGTTTTTGTTGTCTGTGCTTTTGAGGTCTTTGTCATCAATTTTTTGCCTAGATCAATGTCCGGAAGAGTTTTCCCCAGATTTTCTTCTAGTGTTTTTGTAGTTTCGGGTCTTACATTTAAATCTTTAATTCATCTTGAGTTGATTTTTTTATATGGTAAAAGATGGTGGTCCAGTTTCATTCGTCTGCAGATGCCAATCCAATTATCCCAGCATCATTTATTGAAAAGGGTGTCCTTTCTCCACTGTATGTTCTTGTTGATTTTGTCAAATATCAGTTGGCTGTAATATGTGGCTTTATTTCTGGATTCTCTTTTCTATTCTATTGATCTATGTGTCTATTTTTGTACCAGTATCATACTGTTTTGGTTACTACAGCCTTGTATTATAATTTGAAGTCTGGTAATGTGACAGCTTTAGCTTTGTTGTTGTTGTTTTATAATGCTTTGGCTATTCCGGCTCTTTTTTGGTTACATGTTAATTTTAGCATGTTTTTTCTAATTCTTTGAAAAATGACATTGGTATTTTGATAGAGATCCCATTGAATATGTAGATTGCATTGGGCAGTATGATCATTTTAATGATATTAAATCTGACCAATGAGCATGGGATATCTTTCTATTTGGTTGTGTCATCTACAATTTCTTTCATCAGAGTTATGTAGTTTTCCTTGTTTAGATCTTTCACCTCCTTGGTTAGTTGGTATTTTATTTTATTTTATTTTTGAAGCTATTATATATGAGATTGCCTTCTTGATTTTGTTCTCAGCTAGATCCTCATTGGTGTATAGAAACACTACTGATTTTTATACATTGATTTTGTATTCTTAAGTGTTACTGAATTCATTTATCAAGTCTAAGAGTTTTTGGGTGGAGTCTTTAGGTTTTGCTAGATATAGAATCATATCATCAGTGAACAGGAATATTTTGACTTCTTTTACAATTTGGATGCCTTTTATTTCTTTCTCTTGCCTGATTGCTCTGGCTAGGACTTCCAGTACTAATTAATATGTTGAATAGGAGTGGTGAAAGTAGGCAACCTTGTTTTGTTTCAGTACTTAGAATGCTTTCAGCTTTTCCCCATTCAGTATGATGTTGGCAGTGGGTTTGTTATATATGGTTTTTATTAATTCAGAGTATGTTCCTTCTATACCTAGTTTATTGAAGGTTTTTATCATGAAGAGATGCTGAATTTTACCAAATGCTTTTGCTGCATTTATTGAGATGATCATATGGTTTATCGTCTCTAATTCTGTTGATAAGATGTATCAAATTTATTTATTGATTTGCAAATGTTGAAGCATCCTTTGCAACCCTGGGATGAATCCCACTTGACCATGGGGTATTACTTTTTGATGTGCTGTTAGATTTGGTTTGCTAGTATTTTTTGAAAATTTTTGCATCTATGTTGATCAGGGATATTGGTGTGGACTTTTCTTTCCTTATGTGTCATGGTCTCTCTGATTTTGGTATAAGGTATTACTGGTCTCATAGTATGAGTTAGAGAGAACTCATTTCTCCTCAAATGTTTTTTTGGAACAGTTTCAGGAGGACTTGTATTAGTTCTTCTTTGTACATTTGATAAAATTCAACTATGAATCCATCTGGTCCTGGGCTTTTCTTTCTTGGGAGATCTTTTATTACTGATTTAATCTAGCTATTCATTATTCATCTGCTTAGGTTTACTGTTTCTTCCTGGTTCAATATTGGGAGGTTGCATGTTTCTAGGAATTTATTCATTTCCTCTAAGTTTTCTGGTTTGTAAGCATATAGTTGTTCATAATAGTCTCTGATGATCTCTTGTATTTCCATGTTATCAGTTGTAATGTCTCCTTTATCTTTTCTGATTTTGTTTATTCAGATTTTCTCTTTTCTTGGTTAGTCTAGCTAGTGGCTTATCAATCTGTTTTTCTTTTTGAAAAACAAACTTTTCATTTCATTGATCCTTTGAATTTTTTTATCTGTATTTCATTTAGCTCTGCTCTGATCTTTGTTACTTCTTTTCTTCTGCTAACTTTCCATTTGGTTTGTTCTTGCTTTTATAGCTTCTTGATGTGTGATGTTAGGTTGTTAACTTGTAATCTTTCTTTTTTTTGATGTAGGCGTTTAATACTATAAACTTTACTCAGCACTGCTTTTGCTGTATCCCACAGGTTTTGGTATGTTTTGTTTTCATTTTTATTTGATTCAAAAAATTTTTAAACTTCCAGCTGGGCATGGTGGCTCATGCCTGTACTCCCCGTGGTCTGGGAGGCCGAGGCGGGTGGATCACCTGAGGTCAGGAGTTCGAGACCAGCCTGACCAACATGAAGAAACCCTGTCTCTACTAAAAATACAGAATTAGCCATTGTGATGGCACATGACTGTAATCCCAGCTGCTTGGGAGGCTGAGGCAGCGGGATTGCTTGAACCTGGAAGGCAGCAGTTGTGGTGAGCCAAGACCGTGCCATTGCACTCCATCCTGGGCAACAAGAGCAAAAATCCATCTCAAAAAAATTAAAAAAAATTTTTTTTACATTTCTATCTTAATTTCTTGATGCAATGATCATTCAGGAGTATGTAGTTTAATTTCCATGTATTTGTATAGTTTCCAAAGTTCCTCTTGGTATTTATTTCTAAGTTTTTATTCCACTGTGGTCTGAGAAGAACTTGATATGATTTTAATTTTTAAAAATTTGTTTTGGCCGGGCACTGTGGCTCACGCCTGTAATCTCTGCACTTTGGGAGTCTGAGGCAGGTGGATCACCTGTAGTCAGGAGTTTGAGACCAGCCTGGCCAACACGGTGAAACCCTGTCTCTACTAAAAATACAAAAATTAGCCAGACGTGGTGGCAGGTGCCTGTAATCCCAGCTACTCAGGAGGCTGAGGCAGGAGAATCGCTTGAACCTGGGAGGTGGAGGTTGCAGTGAGCTGAGATCGCGCCATTGCACTCCAGCCTGGGAGGCAAGAGCGAGACTTTGTCTCAAAAAAAAAAAAAAAAGAAAAATTTGTTTTGTGGCTTGATAGAGGTTTGTGTTGGAGAATATTCCACGTGCTGATGAGAAGAATGTATATTCTGCAGTTGTTTGGTAGAGTGTTCTGTAAATGTCTGTAAAGTCCTATTTAAGTTCAATGTTTCTTTGTCAATTAACCATTTCTTAAACTGCCTCTATTTCATATAGTTTGTGAGTCCATTCGCCATTGTTTGCACCTCTGAATCTATCTCATTGTGCCTTTGTCCCATTTTTTAATGTTTCTGCTAAGCCACAACCTATCCCATACTTGTGAGGTCCTAAAAATATCTCTCCCAACTTATCCCTTTGATATTTTGCAGATTTCTTTCTCATCATAGAAGTAAAATTAGATGAACATCAAGTCAAAGAGAAGTAGGTTTACATGTCAGTCAGTGTGAGTTAAACTATGTTGTAACTTCTGTTCACAGACTAAGAGAGATGGAGTCTTTCCTCTTGGATGACATCAGCTCTGTGATACAGAACAAAGGCATTGAGAGAATCATCTCACCAATGATCGTTCAGCTTTGCCATCTGCTCATCTCAATGGAGAGGAAAGAAGTGGAGAATGAAGTATTTGCCTCGTTGGAGAAGATGGCTGAGGAATTGGCGAAAGCTTGTGAAGACTTCGTGCAAGTTGTCAAAAGGTAATTCTTTCAAAGAACACAATAAATTTTCACTCTGACAAATTTGCAGAAGAAGGAAAGTGTAACTAGAGACTTAAATCTTTTTAAGTGCTTTTGGAAAGAAGTCAGATGAGAAAAAAATTAATAAAGCACAAAGACACAAAGCAAATTTATTTAATAGGTTGTTATTTATGACTTGGGGTATAATTTAAGTATGCAAACATTTGAGAATTAGTTGACTGAGTTTTCCACTGAGAACAAGTTCTACATGCCATCAGAGGGTTTCTAGATTATTATTTCATTTCACAGATGAATTATTTTCTATTATAGGGATAAGAATTTTCAGAGTAGTCGAAACACAATTTTCATGTCTGTCTTTTAGTGCATTTGAGCCTGATTCTTTATTAGTAAACCTACATGCAAATTATTTTCATAATAAGTTTCAATTCCAGGGTTAATACAAAGTAGCCTAGTTATAACAACAAAACCGAACTCTATTAATAAAAACTGAATACCACTACAAAAATGTTACTTTTTTCTTTTTTGCCCCAAACTTCATGTAGGTGTTGGAGCAAACTGCCTATGTTTGAATCTTAGCAACACCATCAATTTAGTGCAATCCTATAAAAATTCCACAAGCTTTCTTTTTTAAATGGAGCTTGAAAAGTTGATACCAAAGTCCATATGAAAAAAATTAAACATAAGAACAACTAGAAGAACCCTGGAATAAAAAGCTGTGGAGAGAGAATAGCTTGTCAGGTATTAAAAACACTTCTAGATCCTCTTTTAGGAAAGTGTATGATACTGTCATATGAAGAGACAGATTGACCACTGGAACAGAATAAAAAGCCCAGAAACACACAACTACACATGGATCTGTACACCACAAAGAGTGGACTTTAGTGCACGCAAATTTGAAAAATGAACCAGGCTGGCCGGGCGGGTGGCTCATGCCTGTAAACTCAGCATTTTGGGAGGCGGAGGCAGGTGGATCGCCTGAGGTCGGGAGTTCAAGACCAGCCTGGCCAGCATGGTGAAACCCCATCTCTACTAAAAATACAAAAATTAGCTGGGCGTGGTGGCGGGCGCCTGTAGTCCCAGCTACTCTGGAGGCTGAGGCAGGAGAATCACTTGAACCCAGGAGGTGGAGGTTGCAAGTGAGCCAAGATAGTGCCATTGCACTCCAGCCTGGTGACAGAGCAAGACTCCATCTCAAAAAAAAAAAAAAAAAAGAAATAGGCTGTTAGGAAGTCCTGTGGAGAAAGCAGGCTATAACAAATGAATCTAACAATATTACAAACGCATGATACAGCCTCACTGAAAGAGTTGCATGGAGAAGTAGCTGACCTAAGCAATTTTGGAAGACAGCCTTTTGACTGGATACTGTAAAACTAAAGAAAATTGTATATTAACACAGTATTCTAGGTAGTAAATTTGTTTCTCAGTAATTTTGAAACTACAAGTATAATAAATAGATAGATATGTTGTAGATAATGAAAGTTGGGGTCTCACTCTCAGAGAAAAAAGTTACAAATAAGCAAGGGGGGAAGTTAGAATGAGCCTTGTGGAGTAGAGTGGGAGGTATCAGTATGAATGTGTGCGTGTCTATGTATACACATGTATAATACACTAATCTGTTTAGCTATATTTTTTCACTCTGTCTTCTGAGAAGCCCTAGAAGCAGTGACACCCCAGTATTTCTGGAGAAACGCCTGAGAAATTCTAGGTCTGGAGCCAGGAATACACAAAATAAGGCTGGAACATCTTGTAGCACCAGAAGGAAAAGAAAGGATGGAGGCGTGTAAGAAGGACATGTGGTGGGCTGAATAATGGCCCCCAAATATGTCCAGATCCTACTCCCCAAAACCTGTGAATATGTTACTTACATGGCAAAGGGACTTTGCAAATATGGTTAAGAACCTTTAGATGGGAGATGATCCTGGATGATCTGGGGGCCCGAGGGAGTCACAGTCGTCCTTATAAGAGGGATGCAGGAGGATCAGAAAGAGGAGAAAGGAATGTGAGGATGGAAACAGAGGTCAGAGTAATGTGCTTTGAAGATGGAAGAACAGGCCACAAGAAGTTGCACCTATAATAAAATGTCAAATAAGATCTAGAGGCTTCAGGAGAACCTGAGGTTATCTGTGGAGGGTGGAAGGCTTATGCTGAAGTGGTCCCCTGAGAGCAAAGATCAGGAGTAAGGGATGATCCCCTTGTACTCACTTGCAGAAGTGACTTAAAGCTGCTAAAAGGATGTGTGTCAGGGCTTTGGCATTCTGCCGCAGACATAGAAAGACCTGATACTGTTTTGACTTCCTGTGTCCCTGTAGGCATTCAGCGGCCAACATTTGTATAGTACTTTATCTTTCTCAGCTTATTTCTAATTAGCGATAATTAATACTCTTAGTATTAATACGAGTTAATTTGTAATTCTTACAAAAGAGTGTGAGATAAATGAGCATGTGCTGTCTTTAATTTCCAAAGGAGGAAATGAAAGGGTCCATGGAAGATGAGCTGTAGCTGTGGAAGGAGCAGAAAAGCCAGAGGGTGGCTCAGGAGTCTGGTGTTATATATGATGACAACATTTTAAAAATAAGAGGTGAGGAAAATGGGAGCACACTTTTTGGAAGATTAACATAAATGTAAAATGATTTACAGAACAGATCAATGGAATTCAGTTAGGTCTCAGATTTTACTTTCCCCATTAGGGATGTATGTAAAGAAAGGGCATGTTGGCCGGGCATGGCACATGCCTGTAATCCTAGCACTTTGGGAGGCCAAGATGGGCAGATCACCTAAGGTCAGGAGTTTGAGACCAGCCTGATCAACATGGAGAAACCTCATCTCAACTAAAAATACAAAATTAGCCAGGTGTGGTGGTGCATGCCTGTAATCCCAGCTACTCAGGAGGCTGAAGCAGGAGAATCGTTTGAACCTGGGAGGCAGAGGTTGCTGTGAACCGAGATCACGCCATTGCACAGCCTGGACAACAAGAGCAAAACTCCATCTCAAAAAAAAAAAAACTAAACTAAACTAAAAAGGAGGGGGACATGTTGAGGCAATAGGAACTTGAAGTACTTGGGATGGTTCATTAATTTCCCTACGAAACATCTTTGGTTCATTAATTTCCCTACGAAACATCTTTTTTTTTTTTTTTTTTTTTTTTTTTTAGACAGAGTCTTGCTCTGTTGCTGGGGTGCAGTGGCATGATCTTGGTTCACTGCAACTTCCGCCTCCTGGGTTCAAATGATTCTCCTGCCTCAGCCTCCCGAGAAGCTGGGATTACAGGTGCGCACCACCACACCCAGCTGATTTTTGTATTTTTAGTAGAAGTGGAGTTTCTCCTTGTTGGCCAGGCTGATCTCGAACTCCTGACCTCAGGTGATCTGCCTGCCTCAGCCTCCAAAAGTGCTGAGATTACAGATGTGAGCCACTGTGCTTGGTCAAAACATCTTAATTTGACCTTTTTTTTTTATTCACAGACCACTTTGAGACTCAACACTTACGACATTCATAGAAGAAAATGCACAAAGGCACATGCATAGAAAGTTTTTGTATAACTTCCAGGAATTCATGCCCCCAGTCCAGCCACAGCAACACGTGATTGTAATGATGATTGCATTTCTGAAGACTTTTTAAAAGCATTTTTTTGGATAGAAGAGTTAAAATGTTGTGAATTCTTGATAAATTGAATAAGCAACAAATACACTAGCAGTCACTAGAGGGTGATGTTTTCTAGCATACAACATCAAGTTCTTTCCGGCAGGTTGTCATTGTAAGTTCCTGTGTATGTGCTTGCTTGTGTGTGTGTCTGTGTGAAAGAGACAGAGGCACACACACAGACTGTCTCTACCTGCATAACTAAAAGAATTTCTTTGTGCATGTTTCTTTTTTCTCCGTTTCACTTATCTATAATACAAGCAAAAATGCTTTTTTTTTTTTTTTTTTTTTTTTTTTTTTTTTGCGACAGATTCTTGCATGTTGCCCAGGCTGGAGTGCAATGATGCAGTCTCAGCTCACTGCAACCTCTGCCTCCTAGGTTCAAGTGATTCTCCTGCCTCAGCCTCCCGAATGGCTGGGATTACAGGCGCCCGCTGCCACACCCGGCTATTTTTTGTATTTTTTAGTAGAGACGGGGTTTCACTATGTTGGCAAGGCTGGTCTTGAACTCTTGACCTGGTGATCTGCCCGCCTCGGCCTCCCACAGTGGTGGGATTACAGGTGTGAGCCACCACACCTGGCCAGAAATGCTATTTTTTTAAAGCCTTCTCCCACCTGTTCTACAGATGAATTCTGAATGTTTTCTAATATATCCTTGTTTCTCATCATCCTAGGAATAGCTACCAATTATGAGCACCCACTGTGGTTGGCTGTGCACTGGGTGGCTTATGAACTTTACCCCTCATCCCTACAACTGCAGCGTGGGCTATTTCATAGATTAGGACATGATGTGTAAGTAGCTGGCTCAAAGCCCTCCATCTAGTAAGTTTGCCAGTATATCATCAGTTCATAGTAAACTAAAAAAATGTCTACTTTATCCAAACTTTTTTGTTTATAAATGAATTTTTGTCACCTGGTATGTCTTAGATATGATTTGAGACTTTTTGTTGTTGTTGGCATAGCTTTAATAAAATTAACATAAACTTTGACTTTGTATAGGCTAGGAGGAAGGAGAGACTGAGGAGTACTATGTTTGGAAGGAAAGTTGAAGGTAGGGCAGCCGGATGGTTAGCTTTGCAGATACCAGGCCAGTGAGAAGAAAACAGCTAGTTCAATATTTTGCTTAGGATTGAGCCCTGATGGTTGGATACTAGCCATCTGGGGGGTGGTGGGTGGGGAATCCTTTTGGGAGAACGGACGGAGTGTGGGAATGAGGCCCTGGCCAGGCAGATGTGTGCCAATCTGACACTGTTCATTTCTTCTGTTGTTTATGCCAGTTCAGGCAACACGGAAGCTGTGTCTGTTTCTCCTGTCATTGTAAATGCAGCCCTGGTCTTTCAAAAAGCTGTGGTTGTGTGGGTCTTTAAGGTATTCCTTCAGTAATTGTGGTGGCCACTATTTCATTTAAGGAGTTAGCATCTTATAAAGAAAAATCTGTTTTCTCAAGGCTCTATAGTAATGATATTTTGTTTAAGTTTGTCCAATATGGTATTTAGTTCTTCCTATTAAGGAGGAGTCTCTAAACTTCAGTCTGTGGGCCAAATCTACCTCCTGTTTCTGTTTAATTATTTTATTGGGGGGGGGTGATATTTATCCCCTCAAGCATTTATTCTTTATGTTACAAACAATCCAATTATATTATTTTAGTTATTTTTAAATGTCCAATCTAATTATTATTGACTGTAGTCACCCTGTTGTGCTATCAAATACTAGGTCTTATTCATTCTTTCTAACTAATGTTTTTGTACCCATTAACCATTCCTTTCCCATTCCCCATCTCACCACTACACTTCGCAGCCTCTGGTAACCATCCTTCTACTCTCTGTGTCCATGAGTTAAATTGTTTTGATTTTTAGATCCCAAAAATAAATGAAAACAAGCGATGTTTGTCTTTCTGTGCCTGGCTTATTTCACTTGACATAATGATCTCCAGTTCCATCCATGTTGTTGCAAATGGCTGGACCTCATTCTTTTTTATGGCTGAATAATACTCCATTGTCTATAAGTACCACATTTTTTCTTTATCCATTCGTCTGTTGATGGACATTTAGGCTGCTTCCAAATCTTGGCTATTGTGATCAGTGCTGCAGATATCTCTTCGATATACTGATTTCCTTTCTTTAGTGTATATCCCCAGCAGTGGGAGTGCTGGATCCTATGGTAGCTCTATTTTTAGTTTTTTGAAGAGCCTCCATACTGTTCTTCACAGTGATTGTACTCATTTACATTTCCACCAGCAGGGTACAAGGGTTCCCTTTTCTCCACATCCTCATCAGTATTTGTTATTGCCTGTCTTTTTGTTATAAGCCATTTTAACTGGGGCGAGATGAGATCTCATTGTACTTTTGATTTGCATTTCTCTGATGATCAGTGGTATTGAGTACCTTTTCATAGGCCTGTTTGCCATTTGTACGTTTTCTTTTGAGAAATATCTTTTCATATATTTTGCCCATTTTCTGATCAGATTATTATATTTGATTTTTTTACTATAGAGTTGTTTAAGCCCCTTATATATTCTGGTTATTAACCCCTTGTCAGATGGTTAGTTTGCAGATATCTTCTCCCATTCTGTGGTTGTCTTTTCACTTTGTTGACTGTTTTCCTTTGCTGTACAGAAGCTGTATTTGTTGTTTTTGTTGTTGTTGTTGTTGTCGTTTGAGATGGAGTCTCACTCACTGTGTCGCCAAGGCTGGAGTGCTGTGACGCAATCTCTGCTCACTGCAACCTCCGCCTTTTGGGCTCAAGCGATTCTCCTGCCCCAGCCTACCGAGTAGCTGGGGCTACAGGCACCCGCCACCACGCCCGGCTGATTTTTTGTATTTTTAGTAGAGATGGGGTTTCACCATTTTGGCCAGGCTGGTCTTGAACTCCTTACCTCAGGTGATCTGCCCACCTCGGCCTCCCAAAGTGTTGGGATTACAGGCATGAGCCACCACGCCTGGCCTTGCAGAAGCTTTTTAACTTAATGTGATCCCATTTGTGCATTTTTGCTTTGGTTGCCTGTGCTTGTGGGGTATTATTCAATAAATTTTTGCCCAGACCAATGTCTTTGAGAGTTTGCCAGACATTTCCTTGTACTAGTTTCATAGTTTAAGATCTTAGATTTAAGTCTTTAATTCATTTTGATTTGATTTTTGTTTATGGTGAGAGGTAGGGGTCTAGTTTCATTCTTCTGCATTATGGATATTCAGTTTTCCCAGCACCATTTATTGAAGAGACTGTCTTTTCCTCAGTGTACGTTCTTGGCACCTTTGTGGAAAATGACTTCACTGTAGGTGTGTGGATTTTGTTTCTGGGTTCTCTATTCTGTTCCATTGGTCTATATGTGTGTTTTTATGCCAATACCATGCTGTTTTGGTTACTATAGCTCTCCAGTATAATTGGAAATCCGGTAATGTGATTCCCCCAGTTTTGTTCTTTTTGCTTAAGATAGCTTTGGCTATTCGGGTGTTTTGTGACTCCACATAAATTTTAGAATTTTTTGTTCTTCTCTTCTCTTCTCTTTTTTCTTCACTTTTCTTTCACAGAATCTTACTCTGTCACCCAGGCTGCTCTGATGCAGTCTCTGCTCACTGCAACCTCTGCCTCCCAGGTTCAAGCGATTCTCCTGCCTCAAGCCTCCTGAATAGCTGGGATTACAGGCACCCGCCACCATGCTGTTCTGTGCGGGAGATGCCTAAGGGGGGAAGAAAAACACACACACAATACCTTTAAGGGTAAACAAGCTTTATCCCACGTAAAAGGCAATGCAGATATAATAAACAAATGATACAATAAACAAATTGCAATGAAAAGGGGAGAAGGGAAAAGATATATATATATATTTTTTTACACTCACCAAACTATGGAGGATTCATCACCAGACCGGGAAGCAACAGCCTGTGCTCCAGAGTCAGCCACTGGTCCATGCACAGCGAGGGAAGGTCTCATGAAGTTTCGGTGCAGTCTGGGACTCTAGCTGTTTTTGTAACAAGTTGTTTGGCATGAGACCCAGTCACAAGTGCCTTCGTGACTGGGCTTAAGGAACACAAAAAGGTCACAACTTGTTTTTGCGATTGTCTATTGTTTTTCAATAACTGACATGTAAGAATAGATTGAAATAGAGATTTCTCTGAAACAGCGCTGGATGAATGCCTCAAGGGGCTCACTCAACCTGTTTCAGGACTTGGTGACCATTGTTTGTGTCCATGTTCAATTGAGTTCAAATTTAATATTTAACTTTTCCTCCACACACACGCCCGGCTAATGTTTTGTGTTTTTAGTAGAGACAGGGTTTCATCATGTTGGCCAGGCTCCTGGCCAAATCTCAAACTCCTGACCTCAGGTGATCCACCCGCCTCGGCCTCCCAAAGTGCAGGGATTACAGGCGTGAGCCACTGCACCTGACCACCACCTAAACTTTCCATGGCCACACTGTTACAGATCCTTATTCACGACATACAAACAACCTTCTTCACTCAGCACTGGGCACCAAACTATGTACTGTATAGTCATAGAAGCAGAGGCTATGACTTTTATTCATTCATTCATTCATTCATTCATTCAGCAGATTGTAGTATCTTCTACTGATGGTGGGCTGGATACTTCTTAGGCACCACATTGGGCCTATTGCATCATGGGCTCATAGTAAAAGTTCCATATGTCCAGGAATGATGTAAAGCCAACAATGGAATAATGCGAGCAACTATTTTTCTAGAAGAAGTAGACTTTACCAGAATGCCAAAATGGGCTGCTAAAGGAAGGGCAGCCCATCAGTGCTGTCACCAGCTCCTGAAACCCCGGGGCCTGTTTACTCCCACCATTGCAGTGGAGGACATGTCTGAGCTTCCTGCTTGGCTTTAACCCCCACATTAGTTCCTTTGTTGTTTCAGTGTAAGTAGCTTGGGTAATGTGCAGAGAATTTCTTTGCCTTGTATTATTATGAGAATCAACTGGTTGGGTCATCAGTTCCTAGGGAGAGGCTAATGGGAAGGTGATCTATAGAGTGTGATAGAAGACAATCTAGCTTTCTTGCTGCATCTTTTCTTCGTTCAGAACATCAGCTTCTCTTTTCCCTCCCAACTCCCAGCAGGATATTCCTGATTGAAAGAAAGGCCAAGAGGAGAGAATGAGATCTAGCAAAATTGTAAACAAAGGAACAGAGCCAGAAACCTGTTTTACATTCATATAAAATGTTACATTGATTGATTAAACAGTTTAAAAATATCTTCATAGTATATGGTACCTTTGATCATAAAACCAGGTCATGTTAAGGTGACCTCTATTGAAGAGTTCTATTTAGGGTTACTGTGTGCCAACCACCCTCATTAAAATAGTCACAGATGTAAGTAGAGGAAACCAGATAAAAGGAAAGATCTCTATCTGCTTCCCCGTAGTAATCCTTACATAGCATAACTTGAGTTAAGAACAGCCAGATGGAAGAGATAATGGGGCAAGGTGTGGGGAAACAGAGCAGAGCTTCTCTCCTCTGGGAGCGCCACCCTCCCAGCACCTCCATATGTTCAGCAACCCAGAAGTTCCCCTAAACTGTCCTATTGAGTTTTTATGGAGGCTTCTTTTCATAGGCATGATTGATTTGATCATTGACCACAACTCCTCTCCCTTCCAAGGGGTTGGGGCTGGAGCTGAAAGTTGCAGCCTTCTTATTGCATGGTTGATTCTCCAGCAGCCACCCCCACACCTGTCACATTAGCCTACAAAAGACACTTACCACTTCAGAGAGTCCAAGAGTTTTAGGAGTCCTGTGCCAGGAAATGGGGGCGGAGACCAAGAATAGATTTATTATTAAAAGTCACAATATGACAGGCAGTTTCTTTAAAACCTAAGCATTCACTTACCATACAACTCAGCAATTTTACTGTTGGGCATTTATCCCAGAGAAATAAAAATATATTCAATACAGAAATTTCTATAGTTTCATTCACAGTGCCACAAATTGGAAGGAAAGTACTTAAATGCTCTTCAGCGGGTGAACAGTGAAACAAACTATGCATCCATGTCATGGAATACTACGTGGCAGTAAACAAGAGCAAACTGTGGACATGTGGAGCAACTTGGATTGGTCTCAGGGCATTGTGCTGAATGAAGATGTCACATGAACGATTCCATTTGGTAACATTCTTTAAATAACAGAATCATATAAATGAAAAACACATGAGTGGTTGCCAGAGGTTAGGAGTGTTGGAGTGTGCAGAGGTATGTGATGGTCAGAGATAACATGAAAGAGAAGTCTGTGGTGATGGAATAGTCCTGTAACTTGATAGAGGCTGTTGTTACAGGAAGCTGCCCATGTGATGAAATGACAGAGACCCGCACACATGCATTGCTGCAATGTCAGATTCCTGGTTTTGCTCCTGTACTGTAGTCACGTAAGATGTGAGCACTGGGGAGACTGTGAGGGAGAATTCTGAGCAGAAGGCTCACGTGGCTTCCTGCCTCCTACCATGCCACCCCCACCGGATGCATTAAATTTCTGGTCTGAGTCAGCCTGCCTCTGTCCTCATCCATCTGTCTGTCTGTCTCTTTCTTTCCCTCCCTCCCTGCCTCCTCACTGTTTCACATGGTCATTGTAAAAAAGAAACCTAAAAAATTAGGAAATGTAGATAAATTGAAAGGAAAAATTTTAAACCATGAGGTTGTTCCTTTCTTATTTAAATATGGTGGTTCCCTTGTTTCATCAGCCATAGGCTTTGGGCCTGGGCAGGATCTGTAGCCCACAGCCTTTGAATTCTTGACCTATCCTCTGAGATTTTTAGGATTCAAAGTAGAAAGACTTGGTCCCCTGCTTCCAGTCCTATCTGGTACCCACTCCCTCATCTTTTCTGGCTAACCATTGTGCTTCCCAGTAATTATGTTTAACATTTTCTCACATAGGGATTAACAACATAGGCTCTGGACTCAGAGTGCCTAGGTTTAAATCTTGACTCCACCACCTCCTTAGTAGTTATTCAGTCTCTTTGTGCCTCAGTTTCTTCATTTGTAACTAACACCTATCTCAGAAGCCGTGGGAAGGATTAAGGGATGTGATAGGAAGCACTCACTGACTCTTGGATATCATTATTTATGGTTGTTACTTGGTGTCTCTGGCTGCATTTTGTTTGTCGCTGCTGGTTCCGTGACTGTCCATCAGTGTGCCTTGCGCCTGTTCTGTAGATTTTATTTCACAGTCTCTTGGTTTTGGTGGGTGGCACACTGCCCTGAGAGGACGGGGACGTGAGAAAGATTCTGAGCCCTTTAGTTGTCTCTAGTGCTACATCATGATTGTCATCATTGCTGTAAACCAAAAAGTATATGAGACAAGTCTTACTCAATTTAGAACATGTATTTTGCCAAAGTTAATGACGCACCCATGACACAGCCTCAGGAGGTCCTGACAACATGCGCCCCGGGGTGGTCGGGGTACAGCTTGCTTTTATACATTTCAGGGAGACATGAGACATCAATCAATATATGTAAGATGTACATTGGTTCAGTCCAGTAAGGTGGAACAATTCGAAGTAGGGGGTTTCCAGGCCAGAAGTAGATAAGAGACAAAAAGTTGCATTCTTTTGAGTCCTTGATCAGCCTTCCGATGAATACACAATTGTGTCTGGCTCAGTGAACCTACATTTTTACGTGAACAATAGGGCAGAGGAAGCAATCAGTTATGCATTTGTCTCAGGTGAGCCTCAAAGGGATGACTTTGAGTTGTGTCTGTCCTTTTTCCGTAAGGAGTTTTCTTGCGGGCAAATGGTGAGGGAGGGATGTAGGTTGTTATCTTTGTAGCTATCTTATTTAGCAATAAAACAGGAGGCAAGTTTGCCTGACGTAGTTTCCAGCTTGACTTTTTCCTTGGCTTAGTGATTTAGTTTCCTTTCGCATTGCTAACTCAATCACAGGAGACAGGAGTGTGGACTGAATATAGCAAGAATGCCAAAGTATGTAACAGTTTCCTTAGTCATGATAGAGACTGAGAAACATCGGCTCACCTAAGCTTTGAGGTTAGCTGGAGTCCAGTAGAAGAGTTATAACTAAACACTGGCCCTTGTCTGTTTCCACTTGTGCCCATTCATTGAAGCTGAGATTGGACTGAGTACATTTGTGACTATGTACCAGTAGCAAAGGTGATAGAAGTCAAACGTAGCTCTTAGTTTTAGGGGCTCATGGCCTCCTGGGGAAGGGACCCATCAGGCATAGCTGGCAGTCATGGCCAGGGTTGTGGAAGCCCAGGTCCAGGCAGGGTTCAAATGCTCCTCAGAGTGTGCCAGCAGCCTCAGCCTCAGGGAGAGCTTGTCAGGGGGATGTTTTACAAGGTCTCCAAAAGCCTCTTATGCCCTCCAGAGTGAAAAGCACGGCATTGTTGATGAAGTCTTGTGGCAAATATGCAAGGCACGTGTGGATATTTCTTTCTCTTGGAGGCTTACAAGGTAGCCCCGGTCTCCTGGTGCAGTGTTTATAGCATAGTCCACTGGGACTGCCGCTCTGACAAAGACTGTGTCACTACTTTGTGGAATGTTATTTTAGAACTTCCAGAATGCCTCAGTAAATCCTGACTGCCATGTAACTGTGTACTGTGCTGCTGAGCTCTTAACATGAAGCAGCAGCAGTGACCCTGGCGGGCCAGGCTGACGTGCGTGGGAACAGTGGGAGTGACCCTGGCTGGGAAGCAGGGAGGCCTGGATATTGTTTCTCCTGGCTCTGTGTCCTGCCATTCTCATCCCTGTGCTCAGAGCTCTCAAGCACCCACGATGGCCTTCTCAGGCCGAGCGCGCCCCTGCATTATCCCAGAGAACGAAGAAATCCCCCGAGCAGCCCTTAACACTGTCCACGAGGCCAATGGGACCGAGGACGAGAGGGCTGTTTCCAAACTGCAGCGCAGGCACAGTGACGTGAAAGTCTACAAGGAGTTCTGTGACTTTTATGCGAAATTGTGAGTGTCTCCTCTCCTGGAGTGCCCTCTTCCAGGTCCAGCGTTCTTGGCTGTCTGTTCAGGAGCCATCCTGAGCTGGCCCATACAATTTTATTGACTGGACTTTGGGTGGGAGTTTTCCAGGGTGGTAGGGCTCCGAGGGGCTCGCAGCGCAGCATGTTTAGGGAGACAGGAGACTGCCTTGTCGGTAAGACATGCAGCGACACGCAGATGGGAGGGAGGTGCTGCCCTCACTGTGAGAGCATGGCGGCCCCGTCTTCAGTAGGTTCCTGATCACTTGGTAACTAACTGCATTTTCATCATGTCGTCCGCAAGGGAGGCTTAGTGTTGTCATTGTCAGTAATTACGTTAGAAAAATTCTGCAGTCTAAAACGGCCCAAAGATAAGGGGCAGATGGGTTGGGACAGTGAAAAAAACAAATTACAGACTGTTGGTAAAGATAAATATTTTTGTTTTGTGTAATAATCAACAATTTGAAGTAAGCTAACTGGGTTTCTTAATTGAATGAATAAATATATATATCGTATAAGTAGCAGCTCAATACACATATAGAACATACTGTTAACTCTAAAAAGCTAGGCTAATTTATATTATTAAATAGGTTTTAGCAAACACATTTTTTTAAGAAAATGCAGAGTAGCCATCAGACCAGCTCAAGATTATTGACCTCATTCAAAGTTGTGAGCTTAGAATTACTGCGTATCCCAAATTTGTCAAGTAAGAGTTAATGAGAATTTAACTGACCCGGTTCTCTACTTCCATAATCCGTGCTCTGTGGTACAGATGTCACTTATCTTCACAACTCACAGAGAGCTCTGTTTGACAGTAACTGGGGAATTGTAATAATACAGTAACCAATATTTTGACTGCTTGGTGAACTCTCAAGAAGATTTTTGGATTTATACATTGCTGCATTTTAGGACCAAACAATTTGTTTTGCATACTTGAATAATGGAAAGCAAGATATCAGTTGTGCTGTGTGAGGTTGATTTGTGGAAGTGGATCAGCTTCATCAGTCATGCCTGGCCTGACTTTTACATATAAATATCTATCTATAGATAGATAGATAGATAGATAGATAGATAGATACTCCCCCACTTACATATTTCTTGTCATCAACACTTTTTAGTGAAAATCTTTTTCTAAAAAATTAGCTAATTAATTATAACTAATCTGATGGTAGCTATAACTGTCACTAATGACTTTTTTAAAGTAATTTCTGTCATCTGTAGTATTAAATATAAAATCAACATTTAAAAAAAAAACAACAACAGGCATTGTGCCAGAGGGTCAAAGGCAAAAGAGGAAAGGGAAGCCTGACTGGTTCAGGGGGCAGCAAGGTGATTGTTCTGTTTCCTTTTTCCCCCTGCTTGTGATGAAAAGGAATACTTCTTGCAAAATATATATTATATTACCTCTAAAACTAGCGGATTTTTCCTGTGTGTGGGAAGTAACTGTGTGCTTGTTTTTATGATGTATCTACCTATTTCCTAATTCTACTTGAGTATTTGAACTTAAGTAGAAACAATCTATATTATAATGAGTTTAAACTGGTCAGTGATAATCAAACGTTTTAATCTAAGGGCCTCTTAACACTCTTAAAAACTATTAAGGTTCCCAAAGGACTTTCATTTATCAGTATTTACCATATGAGAAATTGAAACTGGGAACAATTTAAAATACTTATTAATTCATTTAAAAACAACACTAAGCTTATTACGTGTTAATAATAGTAAATGTTAATATTAATGTTGTCATGAAAAATAACTGTTTTCCAAAATGGAAGAGGCTTAGAGGAAAGGATGGCATTGCGTTACATTTTTGCAAATCTTGTTAATAAAAGTTTCTCAGATTTGTTTCTGCATTCAACCTATTACAGTCTATTGTTTTAGATGAAATATATGAAGAAAACATGGCCTCCCACAGAGATGTAGTTGGAAAAGAGGACTTTTCTGCCTCCTGAAAGGGTCATGGTGACGCTGACATTTTGAAAACGACTGATTTAGGTGATAATGATCCAGGACATTCTAGAATATTCTTTTTGGGCTTTTTTAGAGTCCCATTAAGATTGTTGAGGTTTGGTGAATCTTTTGAGAGGGTTTAGAATTAACAACAGAGCCATATATTTGAGCAGCATCTTACGGTTTCCAAATAGCTTAAAATACTTTTTCCTCAGAACAATAATGAGAACAGCACTGAGAATGACCAGGCAGATGTGGAGCTTACCGTGCTCCTTCATCCAGGAATACCTGTGGACTTTGGTCAGAAAGAGGGAAGAAGCACAAACCCCTCCAGAGTTTTGTAAAACTGCCACAATCATCTGGCTTACGGCAAAGCTGGGCGATGATGAGAATTTTACAGATTTTTTCCCCAACCTACAGTAACTTTGAAATGACAAAATGGAAATTCATTTTAACATGAGGCTTGGGCCAGGTTTACTGAGCAGTGAAGGTGCTTCCCTTTCTCCCTTCCTTCCTTTTTTTTGTGACATTTTAATTCTGCATTCAAACCTGTTAAATAAAGTTGAGCTTTGACTGGTCTGAAGTGATGAACATGGTGTGTCTGCACGCAGTTATTTATGGCAAGGCTACAAAACAGGATGACTGTTTTGTGAAACATTTTGGGGAGAAAGGCAAAGGGAAAGTTGTCTTCCAGAGGTGTGGAGGGGAGTGAAGCAAGTAAGTGGAACCACTTTTGCTAAGGAAACAGCAAAACTTGGAAACCAATAGGGGCAAGGCAGTTAGTTACTCTGTTTATAGAATGGAGACTGTCTACCTGTCTGTCTCACTAGTTGGTTGTGAAAATTCAGGAGAACATTGGTAATAACTTCATGAAGTACATTGATTAAATATCTGGAAGGTCAGAAGCTGTACCAGGGAACTAGACACACAGGTGTAGAGCTCATGCTGTGGGTAGGCCTGTGAAAATAAACTTGCCAAAAATTGAAGGACCGCTTGGCATGGGGGACCTTCTCCATTTCTAGGACTTTTAAGAAATAAATAGGTCTTCACGTGAAATCCTCATCTAATTGTATGCCTGTCAAAGCCATGTTGCTTTTCTTTTCCTTTTTCTTTTTTGAAATGGAGTTTTGTTCTTGTTGTCCAGGCTGGAGTGCAGTGGCGAGATCTTGGCTCACTGCAACCTCCGCCTCCCAGGTTCAAGTGATTCTCCTGCCTCAGCCTCCCAAGTAGCTGGGACTACAGGCATGTGCCACCACACCCGGCTAATTTTGAATTTTTACTAGAGACGAGGTTTTACCATGTTGGTCAGGCTGGTCTCGAACTCCTGACCTCAAGTAATCCACTGTCCTCAGCCTCCCAAAGTCCTGGGATTACAGGCGTGAGCCACTGCAGCCATCTGCCATGTTGCTTTCCTTCTTCCAAACTGCACAGTGGTTAGAGCCTGAGATTATTTATTGAATGCCTTCTGTGTTTTAAGGTGTAGTGAGGCTACCGATGGGGGAATTTCCCACGTCACCAGCCGCAGCAGTGGTTACTTGACAACTTGGTGTCACTTTCCTAACCTATGAAACGTGGTGGTATCCCTGTCATGTCCTTTCAAGTGTTTGAAATTCGTGGTGTAATCTGTTTTGATTGACAGTGTGATTTTATGAGCAGGGGACCTGGATTTCTAGTCCTGCACCTTCCTTTAACTAATTAGCCTTGTGATGTTGGTCTGATCCTTCCATCTCTGTGAACCTGTTTTGCCATCTGTAAAATGATCTTTATTATGTAAAATTCTGTGATTTTAAGATACATTTTATAATATTGGTAATCAGGTTCGTCTTACCGATTAGGTAACAGGACTGGGGCATCTTGGCTGGTTTTAAGGCTACTTAAGCAGTTGTTTTCTACGGGATTTAATCAAAGGGATAACCCGTGTCTAGGTTATATGACATGGCATTTAGTTGACATGCATTTTAGATTCTGTTCTCAGAAGGGAAAGAAACTGGCCTTGAGATGTTGACTTTTGGATATTTTAATTAAGCTACTTATTAAGCTATAAACCCAATTCCTTGAGAGCAGCTTGTAACTTTCATCTCTGTCTCAGGTGCCTAACACATAGTAGGCACTCACTCATAGTATATTCAGCAAGAAGAATGCCAAAAATGTTAGAAACAGAATCAAAGTGGGACACCCTTACAGAGCCTCAGATGCTACGGTAAAGAGGCTGAAGTGTCCGAGTTCAGAGCATGTAAGGAACAAGCAAGAAATTGAGCTTTTTAGATAAAATAGGGTTTTTGTGATCAGATAGAATTTGCTGCTCGGTTCTTAGTGTTGTTTGATCTTCGATCTAAGAAGTGGCTGACGGTCTGCAACCTGCTGTTCTTTGCGTGTTACAGCAACATGGCCAACGCCCTGGCCAGCGCCACTTGCGAGCGCTGCAAGGGCGGCTTTGCGCCCGCTGAGACGATCGTGAACAGTAATGGGGAGCTGTACCATGAGCAGTGTTTCGTGTGCGCTCAGTGCTTCCAGCAGTTCCCAGAAGGACTCTTCTATGAGGTGAGTTGCACTGGACAAAAGCAGGGAGGTGCCATTCCCCACCCTCCCGCTTCCTGCCCTTCTTTCCTGAGGACTCCTCCTTCATGTTCAGTTTCATGATGAAAGACTGAAGTGCCACATGCATGCCAGGTATTTGATAGCTGTGAGGTCAGAGGTGGCATCTCTATGGCCCATATGGGCAGTGGCGTGATTGGGACACCCTCACAGACCCTGCATTTGTATTGCTCAGTTCATCGTCCTATTTCAGAACCCAGAGTCCCTTATGACAGAGCCTTTCAGACCTAAGCAGCTCAGCTCCACATAGAAAATTCTTTCCGAGTCTTCAGCCACACTCAGGCCCCCCACACACCTCACCCACTCCTGTCTCTGTGTCTTTCCCCCTTCTCAGAGGACCACTGGACCTGCTCTAAAGGAGAGCGTGCGGTGTACGTCACCCCCTCCACAACTTCCCAGCCTCGAGCCAGGAGCGTCCATGCATTTATTTTCTAAGGGAAAAAAAAATAAGTATTTTAGGGAACTATACTGTCTACATTTAGCTCTCCTGGGTGTCTATGTTCTTTTCTAAATATTTGTTTTTCTTGATCCTCGGGTGTTAGCATATGGTCTGCACTTCCTTTGTAGTGTATTTGGTATTCTCAACATTACCGAAACCACTTTCTTGTTGTTTTTTATTGTTTTGTTTTGTTTGAGACAAAGTCTCATTGTATAGCCCAGGCTAGAGTGTAGTGGCATGATTATAGCTCATTGCAGCCTTGAACTGCTAAGCTCAAGTGATCCTCCAGCCTCAGCCTCCTGAGTAGCTGGGGCTACAGGCACGTGCCACCATGCCCGACTAATTTTATTTTTCATAGAAACGGAGTCTCCCTATGTTGCCCAGGCTGGTCTCAAACTCCTGGGCTCAGGTGATCCTCGGCCTCCCAAAGTGCTAGGATTACACGCATGAACCTCCATGTCTGGCCCACTGAAACTCCTGTCTCACAGTAAACATGTATTTTGGGGGATAATCTAGAGATGCTGACCCCAGGCTATAAATGACGGTGAGAGTGAGGTGTATGTGTGTGTTAGATCAAATAGGTAATTTACTTTTACCACCTTACTTCTTACATATTTGTACGTAAATGCACATCTATATATGATAATATATGTATATAGAATTATTTTATAGCTGGAGATGGCTGCTCTTTGATTTCTTCTTTTGCCTAGCAGATTTTTATGTTTCCCTGTTATATAAACCATGCTTGAGCAAGGAAAGGTAGTTGACAAAGATCATTGGTAAGTCCATTGTATGCCACTCCGGCAGCATTTTCCCATAGAAACAAACATGAGAGTGGGGTTCCCAGGCCAGCCCACAGAAAAGCTGTTTACCCCATCATGGGTACATGAAATACAGGGCTAGCAAGTATGTAATAATGTCAACTTGGAAACAGCTTTAAGGGTTTGGGTTAAGGAATGCTATTTTATTCACTAGCACACATTTTTTTAAGCTCCTATTGTGTCCCCAAAACACACATTCCCAACAACAAAAACCTTAGCAGTGGAAAGAGGTTTTCGTTTTCTCTTTTCTTCTCGTTCTTTTTTTTTTTTTTTTAAGTTTATTTCTTTAGGCCTCCAAACATGCTCTATGTATCTTCTTACAGTTCTTCCTGTTCTTCCTGACTCCTTCCCTGGGCAGTGGGAATCTTTTGGACAAGGATGATGGATTTAGGGATGGGCAAATGACAGTTGTGAAGATGGACAGGAGCAGGAGAGGCCAATGTACCACAGCAGAAGAGGGCAGGAGAGGAGCTCCAGAGGTGTGAATGGAGGCATCAGGCATAGAGACCCCCTACCGAGGCTATAGGTAGACTGTGATTAGCTGGTGAGGAGAAGGAATAGGAAATCCCTAGGTGCTGCGGCAGCAAGAAGAGAGGGCATTTGCTGGTGGTAGTGGTGGTGAGCCATGACTCAATTCAGTTAAAGGGACCTGAGGACCTGCTTCTACCTCGGCACCGTGGAGGCCTGGTGGGACTATGGCAAGGAAGGAGGTGAGACTCCCAAGGCACATTGAAGGGAATTCTGGAAAGCTGGCTTGGAGAGAGCATGGTCTTCTCACTATATGAATTCCTTCTGTATCCCTCCCTTCTTTTTTTTTTCTCCTGTAGTCCAGAGAGGTTGAAATGTCTGATAACATAGCAGGTTTGCGACATGAAAGAGATGAGAACCTAGCTGGTCTCCTAGTATCCAATACAATATTCTTTCCCTTACATATTCTTTTTAAATATAAGATATTTTTATTGAAATGGGTGATTATGACAAAGGCCTTAGGAGAGCTCGGTCCAGGGGAGCAATAGAGAAGAACTCAGAGAAAAAGACAGGCTTTGTTTTCCCAAACATTTTCCTTATATCCCTGGCTTGCTCTTTCCCCTGTGAGCACCCTGGAGCTCCAGCCCTCCGTCACCTTCTTTCTCCCATTTTGCCTGTGACTTAGGAACGAACGTGATGGTTAAGCTACCTTCATTAAGCAGCATGACCGCTTCCTGAGCTCCTGCTGCCGCATTTAGGCCCTGTCAGCTGTGAGGCCACTGGTGCTGAGTCAGAGGGAAAAGCTCAGAACAGCCTTGAGCAGCGAAGAATAAAGCATGACTCATCTCGTCCTGCCCACCCCTCACACTGGACTATAAATACCCTCCCTGGGTCTGTGTGCTGTTATTCCAAAAGATGCGATGAATACCCAGAACTAGGCTATTCATGGGCTGTTGCCCAGTTCAAGCTCTATTGGGTCCTGAGGAAGATTACTATTTTGGCTACATTGTTTATCATTAAAACCAGCCCAGGGATGTGTAAACCTGCATCTGGAGAATAAGACATTTCTTTTTGGTTAAATGATATTAGAGAAAAAAAAAACTATCCAAGGCTGCTAACAAATAATCTTCACTTTCAATTATATCCAGCAATAAGTTGTTCTCCAGAAAAGAAAGCTTGGAAACTTACCCAGTTTGCCTTCCATTTGGGACATGACTGATGTGCTTCAGTCTTTGTATAATAAATGCATCTTCGCCACTCTATATCTTTGTTATTGCTTTTGTCTCGTTATCACAACAACTTCCTTCCCTGATTTCCACAGCCTCTATTTTTTCTTTTCTCTAGAAGACTAGTTAGGAAGACTTAGAGGTGGGGTCTGTGCACTCGCTTCCCCTTGAAAATGTGATTTACTTTTATGGTATAACTTTCTGGTACTTTGAATTAAATAGGACATTCTCTTCCCTTTGGCCACAGAGGCAAGTATAGAATGAGATCCTTGTTTCCTAACCACTTACCAGAACATATATCTGAAGAAATGAGCACCAGTATTTCTGTCTCAACTACAGTTTCTCTTTTTTTTTTCTTTCTTTTCTTTTTCTTAAAACAGGGTCTTACCGTGTTACCCAGGCTGGAGTGCAGTGGCACAATCATGGCTCACTGCAGCCTTGACTTCCTGGGCTCAAGCAATCCTCCCACCTCAGCCTCCCTAGTAGCTAGGACTACAGGCACACACCACCACAGCCAGATAATTAAAAAATTTTTTTTTGCAGAAACAGGGTCTTGCCCTGTTGCCCAGGCTGGTCTCGAACTCCTGAGCTCAAGTGATTAGATGCCATTTCCCCAGGGAAATACCCTTTCAACCCAGAGGCCCTAACGCTAACTATAGTGGTTCCTAAATCTTTGTGACATCCAGCATTATCTCCAGTAAAAGAAGTATTTTAATTTTTCCCATAAGAAAATACTTTTGGGAGTGGTGGAGCCAACAGTTACAAGAGTGATTTAAGTCCAGGAAGTACTGCAGAGTGGGATGGACTGAACCAAGGACTAGGGACCAGGTGTGCAGCTGATTAACCCTGACTTAGTACATGCTCAGGGCTGGGTTCTTTGTTGGTGCTTCACATTTCTCTCTCCTTAGTTTGGATTTCACAAATGTGTCCCTTTTTTCCCATCACAAAATGCATTAACAGGAAAGACCCATTTTTTTAATTTTTTATTTTTATTTTTATTTTTTTTGAGACAGAGTTTCACTCTTGTTGCCCAGGCTGGAGTGCAAATGCGTGATCTTGGCTCACTGCAACCTCTGCCTCACGGCCTCAAGTGCTTCTCCTGCCTCAGGCTCCCAAGTAGCTGGGATTACAGGCAGGCACCACCATGCCCAGCTAATTTTGTATTTTTAGTAGAGACGGGGTTTCTCCATGTTGGTCAGGCTGGTCTCAAACTCCCGACCTCAGGTGATCCGCTCACCTCGTCCTCCTAAAGTGCTGGGATTACAGGAGTGAGCCACTACGCCTGGCCAGGAAAGACCCGTTTATGATGAGTAGTCTTGTAGCAAGATGTTTTACAAAGAGGTTTCTTCACTCATTTACTCTGATTATTCAGGAAGGCAGAAACTGAAATGGAAGACCCTTCCAACCAGCACATCTGTTTATCTGTGGATCCACTCACTTCAAGGCAGTTTATGACAAACCAGTATAAAGTACCAAATGAAGATTTGCAACTTTGCACTTGACTGGAAATGAGACTTTCAGCTGGTTTCCCGTTCTGAGCTTACTTGAAAGCAGCTCAGAATAACTGTTTCTTCCCCTAAAGGGAATATTTACAGAACTCCAAAACTTAAAACAGTTAGAGCCATTCTTGGAGCTCATCTTCCCCCACACAAAGCAACCCATTTCCACAAGCGGTGGGACCCCAGGGTTCTTAAGGCATTTTGTTTATAAATACTACTAATTTGGACCATTAATATTTCTAACAGGCTTATCGTATTCATTGTTTAAATCAGTTTGGGGATGTAATGTGTAGTTACCTAGAAAGGCTATATTTATAGAAATTTAATTCTTCCCAATTTATGATTCTTGATTTTTAAAAAATTTTATATCGTAGTTTTACTTTGGATCAACTTCTGGCCTTTCTCTCAGGCTCAAAAGTTGAGCTATACTATGTTTGATCATTTCTACACACTGTAGAAAAGAGGCAGCTCATTATAGCAGAAGTTCTCCACCTGGAATTAACAATAGTTGTGACACTGGAGAAGCATAGCCCAGAGTGCAAGAGATTTGCAGGATGAATGGTGGCAAGGAAATCTATTTCTAAGTCCTCCTATTCTGGTTTTGAAGGACTCAATTTCTGGATCCTTTTCTCTTTGCCTGAAAACATATTTATATTCACAATAGTACTTCTCTCACATTGCAAAAGAAAGAAATCTCAAATCTTACTATCATTAATTGCTCCAGGATACCCATCAAAAAGGATTAGTTAGGGAGTGCTGAAACCCATAAGGCTTAGTCTTTCCCTGCCTTATGTATTTTCTCGTTAAGGAGAAGCTTGGCTTTAGGAACTGTGTTGGATATTCTGTATTCAGGTACAGATATGCACGCCCCTTAACCACAGGGAAATGTCTGAGAAAGGTGTCATTAGGCAAGATCATTGTTGTGCAAACATCAGAGAATGTATTTAACAAACCTAAATGTCATAGCCTACAACACATCTAGTCTATATGGTATGGCCTGTCCCTCCTAGGCTACAAACCTGTACAGCATGTTACTATACAGAATACTGCAGGCAGTTGTAACACAATGGTGAGTATTGTGTATCTAAAAGTATCCAAGCAGAAAAAGTACAGTAAATATACCATATACCATGGTAGTATATATGGTCCATTGTTGACAGAAATGTTATCTGGCAGATGACTGCATATGCTGAATTTAGAGACGTAGGCAGTAGTTACAACAGCTTTCCTTTTTAATTTATTTTTATTTTTTATTTATTTATTTTTTTTGAGACAGAGTTTCGCTCTGTCACCCAGGCTGGAGTGCAGTGGTGTGATCTTGGCTCACTGCAACCTCCGCCTCCTGGATTCAAGCGATTCTCCTGCCTCAGCCTCCTCAGTAGCTAGGAATCCAGGCGCATGCCACCACGTCTGGCTAATTTTTGTATTTTTAGTAGAGACAGGTTTCACCATGTTGGTCAGGCTGGTATCGAACTCCTGATCTCATTATCTGCCCACCTCGGCCTTCCAAAGTGCTGAGATTACAGGCATGAGCCACTGCACCCAGCCAACAGCTTTCCTTTTAGGACTTAGCCTTTTTCATCCCCTGACTAATTTCAGAAGAATTTATCCATTTTAAGGGAAAGCTCTGGGAGAGCAAAGCAAAGAGCGTTGGTAAGAAATTGTGAATGAGGTGGATAGAAAACACAAACCATTTTCCCTCTGCTTGCACACCACAACAATCAACACAAGTTCTTCTGTGACCAAACGTGTGGGAACTTTTCACCACACGCCAAGCAAGCAATCAGTTCTGCAGTGGACACCAGCTGGGCGTTCTCCAATTCAATTCCCACACTATCTACCTGGAGACCACAGATTGAGGGGCAGCGCCAGGACTGTCTTCTCCTTCTGATGCCAATTGAAAGCCCCAGATTGCTTCACCTGTCCTTCTGGCTGACATGCTCTGTAAATTGGGAATCCCACAGCCTCCTCTTCTGGTTCTATTAATTTGCTAGAGCAACTCACAGAGCTCAGGGAAACACTTTTACTGGTTTATTATTAGTATTATGTTTATTTGTTTGTTTTGAGACAAAGTCAAGCTCTGTCACCTAAACTGGAGTGCAGTGGAACAATCACAGTTCACTGCAGTCTCCATCTCGTGGACTCAGGCAGTCTTCCTGCCTCAGCCTCCCCAGTAGCTGGGACTATAGGCACATGCTACCATGCCTGGCTCTACCAGTTTATTCTAAACAATATTACCAGCCAGGCACGGTAGAGCACACCTGTAATCCTAGCACTTTGAGAGACTCAGGTGGGAGGATTGCTTGAAGCCAGGAGTTCAAGAGCAGCCTGGACAACATAGTGAGATCCTGTCTCTACAAAAAATAACAAAATTAGCCAGGCATGATGGCACACACAGTCCCAGCTACTTGGGAGGCTGAGGTGGGAAGATCATTTGAGCCTAGGAGTTGGAGGCTACAGTGAGCTATAATCATGCCACTGCACTCCAGCCTGAAAAAACAGGGCAAGACCGTTTCTGAAAAAAAAAAATAATAATAATAATAATAAAATAAATTTTTAAAAAGGATATTACAAAGGATACAGCTGAAGAGATACGTAGGGTGAGGTATACAGGGGAAGGTGTTCAGAGCTTCCACACCTTCTCTGGCTGCACCACCCTCTGGGAAACTACACTGTGTTCAGCTATCCAGAAGCTGTCTGCACCCTGTCCTTTTAAATTTTTACGGAGGCTTCATTATGTAGGCATGATGAATTAAACACTTGGCCACTGGTGATCAACTTAACCTTCAGCTCCTCTCTGCCTTTCCTGAAGGCTGGAGGGTGGGGCTGAAAACCCCAACCATCCGATTCTGCCTTGGTCTTTCTGGTAACCAGTCCCATCCTAAATCTACCTAGGGGCTGCCAGTCAGGAGGCACCTCATTAACATATACAGAGACATCACTTTTAAGATTCCAAGGATTTTAGGAGCTGTATGCCAAGAAACTGGGAGGAAGACCAAATATGTATTTCACAATGTCACAGTGAGGGTATGCCATGAGCTAGAACAAACAGACCAAAGCAGTATTGCTTTTTGACTCTTGGGAGGCCCTAGAGGTTAAGCAACTTGCCCAAGACCACACAATGAGTCTTTCAGCCAGATTTTGAACACAGGCAGTCTGGATCCATGGTCAGTGTTCTTGACTCCTACTTGTCTTGTTAAAAGATGTTTCCAAATTATAGTTAATCCTAATTTTATTTTATGTATACAGTGATTATATTTTCAACCTTCTAAAAAAAATTATATATATATATATACTACTGGGCTACTTTTTAGTGTTTTTATGCAATATACATCTTTCTCTTTCATTTAATACAGAATAAAAGTTGATCATTTCTATCTAAATTAATGGAGTTATTTATGAGTTTTTACACAGTCGTCTTATGGTATCCACAGAGGATTGGTTCCAGGACACCCCCTCCACCCCACTCCCACCTCACCCTCAGAGCTTACCAAAATCTTTGAATGCTCAAGTCCCTGATATAAAATGGTATACTTACTTGCATATAACCTATGCACATCCTCCTGTATATTTTTCATTATCTCTAGATTACTTACAATAGCTAATAAAATGTAAATGCTATGTACATAGTTGTTATACTGTGTTTTTAAATTTGTATTATTTTTATTTTTCTATTGGTTTTTTTTATTGTTTGGGGTTTTTTCTTCCACATTTTTTTTTATCCTTGGTTGATCAAATTCAAGGATGCAGACCCAGCAGATACAGAAGGCTGTTTTGTGGTCATTTTGTTTTTTTGTTTCTAATTGACATAATAATTACACACATGGGGCACAGTGTGATGTTTCAATACATGTATACATTGTGTAAAAATCAAATCAGGGTATTTAACGTATCCATCACCTTGTACATTTATAATTTCTTTGTCGTAAGAATATTCAAAATACCCCTTTTCTAGCTATTTTGAAATAGCTATTTTGAAATATTTTGAAATGCAATATATTATTAACCAAAGTCACTCTACTGTGCAATAGAACACTAGAACTTATTCGTCCTAACTGTAACTTGGTACCCATTGACCATCTTCTCCCCATCCCCTCCACTCCATTCTCCCCAGCCTCCAGCAACCTCTATTTTACTCTATTTCTATGAAATCAACCTCTTTAGATGCCACATATGAGTGAGATCATGTAGTATTTGTCCTTCTGTGCTTATTTCACTTAATGTAATGTCCTACAGGTTCATCCATGTCGCCACAGATGACAGGATCTCATTCTTTTTTACGGCCAAAGAGTACTCTGCTGGGTATATGTACCGTATTTTTTTAATCCATTCATCCGCTGATGGACAGTTAGATTGCTTCCAAATCTTGGCTATTGTGAATAGTGCTGCAGTAAACATGAGAGTGCAGATATCTCTTCCACATACTGATTCCATTTCCTTTGGATATATTCCCAGTAGTGAGATTGCTGGATCATATGGTAGTTCCATTAATTACTGCTAAAAGCTAAATATCAGATTTTTATACGTATAGGTGGCATACATTCATCAGAAATATATCACGCTTCATAAATACTTGTACTTTTGGCTGCACATTATAATGTAGTATGGCATAGTATTGAGTAATAGCATATCAATTTATTCTTTCTGTTTAAAAACCAAATACATTAATCTGGACAAGGTAGTGTGTGCCTGTAATCCCAGCTACTCAAGAGGCTGATGTAGAAGGACCACTTGAGCCCAAGTGTTCAAGACGAGCCTGAACAACATAGCAAGACCTAGTCTAAAAACAAAAAGATACATTAAATATACTACATCTTATTCATTTGAATTAAAAAGTGAAAGCTGGACATAGTAGCTCACACCTGTAATCCCAGCACTTTGGGAGGCCAAAGGTGGGAGGATCACTTGAGGTCAGGAGTTCGAGACCAGCCTGGCCAACATGGTGAAACCCCATCTCTACTAAAAATACAAAAATTAGCTGGACATGGTGGCGGGTGCTTGTAATCCCAGCTACTCAGGAGGCTGAGGCAGGAGAATTGCTTGAACCCAAGAGGCAGAGGTTACAGTGAGCCAAGATTGTACCACTGCACTCCAGACTGGGCAACAGAGCGGGACTGGGAAAAAAAAAAGTTATCTTTCTAGGAGAAAATCTGCTTTGGTTGGTTCAACAGTAAGAACTGACTTTGCCAGTTAAGCTGTGGTAGATATGTTCACTAAATTGGATGCACTAAATCTATAGCCATAATTTGAGGAAATTGAGTTGACAACTGATACATTAAAAATGGATATCATTAAAAATGGATTTTAATAATCAAACAGTGTATGACTTTTGGCATATAACTTGTAAGGAGCTCAAAGACTCAAGGGGAGACATTACTATAACATTTCTCACAAGTTAGTAATGTGAAAAGGGCTTCTTAGCATTTCTATATTAAAAAAAAAAGCAACACCCAAAATAGAAAATAGACCTAGAATTAATATTGAACCTGAGTCTTCTAGTGGAAAGCCATATTGATGCATGAGATACATGAAATAATTGTGGGAGGAAAGGGCAGCCCTACTCATTTCACTATCACTAAGATATGCTTTTCAAGTAAACAGATAGTATAAAAAAATTAATGTTTATGTCTTGCTTGTCCTATACTAATCATTCTAATGATAATACAGAAGAAAATAAATGTTAACCTTTACAGCCTTATGGATTCAGAAAGCACATTTTAAAATTTCATGTTATATATATTTTTTAATTGCAGAAAAGTATGATAGGGTGATCAGTTAAAGACAAGTACAAAAATATACTAGGATAAAATTGGAGCACATAAAATGAAAACATTCAAGAAATGAAAGATGTAAAAATCTTGGCTGTTAAGAGAATGTTTTTTAATGGATTTTGGTCATTTTAAAATGTGCTAAGGCTGAGCGTACTGGCTAACGCCTGTGG